>NC_000002.12:1828181-2131212 GCF_000001405.40 Homo sapiens | reverse complement strand
TCCGAGCTGCACGAGGTGAGCTCTGTGTACCTGGTGGGCTCCTTGCTTTGGTTACTACAGCTTTTTATACTTAGGGAAAGGAGAACCAGAGTAGCTTTCCCCAGGGACAGCTGCTGCTGTTGAAGACCATCCCGTCTCTACTTCCATAAGGTATCGCAACACAGATTTCCCTCTCTTTCAGCTTTAAAAACTATTTAGGGGTCATGCATTTTTCCTTTAAATATTGACTGCTCCTTTTTAGAATTGTTAATGTGGAAATTTCTAACTGGATTTATAAACACACTCATGAAAGGAGCTTTAAAGATTTTTTTCTTGCCTGGGTTTCTTGTTGAAATTTCAAGAATAAAATTGTTTATGACAAATAAAATTGTCATAAACTAAGCAAACAAGAGCACACAAAGAAAAAAGCTAATATTATTCCCCTCATTTTATCCAAAGGTTCATGTTCACTTGTATCCACTCACAAAAGCATCTATGTTGACACAAAGCATTTCCTTCCTGCGAATTCCGTGGTTGTACTATGAAGTTCTCATCATCAACCTGTTCTTACTCCATTATGTATACAGACGCCTCTCTGGGTCAAAATGACCTGCCCTATCTCACTTTTTTTAAAATAGCAGCAGAGTATCCCATGGTGCATTTTAGCCTGAATTGACTCCACCATTCCTCTGCCATCAACATGAATGTGGGTTCCCAGGCTTTTCCACTCGAGACCACTGCTGCAGACGTGTTTGTGCACACACACCTGGACACCTGCGCCTTTATTTCTGTAGGAGGGATGCCTGTGTATTGGATCATTGGATCCAGGGGAATACCATTCAGAGTTTTCATCAGTAATGCCAGATTTCTGCAGACAATGTTATAGCAATTGGTTATGTTACCACCAGCGGTGGATGTGATCAATCTTTGGAGTTTTGGCCAGTGTTCTCGGTGGAACTCTTCTGTTATATTAATATGCATTTTTCCAGCTGCTAAGGAGGCTGGGCATTACCTCAGCTCCTCGTGCTGCTACCTCTGTGACTTGCCGTCCCTATTCGGAACCCCTTTTATACTGAGTTGTCTTTCTCTTTTCAAATTTAAGGCTATCTTAATATTTGGGGGATATAGATTATTTTTCTGTCCTATAATGCAAATGTTTTCTCTCAATCTACCATTAGATTGCTGATAATATTTATGAATACCTATGGTGCCTTTTCCCACGTAGAAAATTAAAATTTATGTAGTCAAATCTGGTCAGTTCTGTGGCCTGTTTCTTATGTTCCTTAAGTTTACAATTCTTTAAAGAAGTTAATTTTTTTTTTTTTTTTGAGATGGAGTCTCGCTCTGTCGCCCAGGCAGGAGTACAGTGGCCCAATCTCGGCTCACTGCAAGCTCCGCCTCCCGGGTTCACGCCATTCTCCTGCCTCAGCCTCCCGAGTAGCTGGGACTACAGGCGCCCGCCACCACACCTGGCTAATTTTTTGTATTTTTAGTAGAGATGGGGTTTCACCGTGTTAGCCAGGATGGTCTCGATCTCCTGACCTTGTGATCCGCCCACCTCAGTCTCCCAAAGTGCTGGGATTACAGGCGTGAGCCACCGCGCCCGGCCTAAATAAGTTAATTCTTGACTCAATATGCAATTGGTGTTTGTGGCTGCGGTCACTTGTCCAGCTGGCTGTGTTCTCTCCTGTGTGGGCTCCAGCCTGACAGGCACTCTGGGGGGACAGCTGCCTTCCACTCTAGGGCAGTGCCTTCTTTATCACACACTTTCTGCCATTTGGAACTTTTTCTAAGCTCTTCATTCTTTTCAATCAAACTGTTTTTTCCCATTTCTATGTCAATACCATACTGGTTTCATAGCATTAGCTTTATAGTAAGCCCTCAATATCCAGAAGAGCATGATATTTGCCTAATTGTTCAGCAGTTATCATATCTTTATTTTTCCAAGTGATCTTCAAATTTTGAAGATCCCCAAATTAACCTATCTGGAGACAGACTAGAGACACGTGAAACTGTGCTTGTGGATGTAACTTCTTCCCGACCACCTTCTCCTCCAGGCATCTGCTGCATCACCACATTCATTAAGGTCTTGCTCTGGGTTTGTGGATTAGCGTCTGTCTTCTCAGTGAACGAGGTTTTCTTTACCATTTCTGTGTCAATGTGGCGACTGATAATAGAAAGAAAAGCCATTAATTTTGGTATGTTTTTTGTCTCCAACCACTGTATTCAGTTTTCTACTAATTTTAATATTCCTTGGAAGAGTCTCTCTTCTGTTTCCTTGGCATGAAATCATTTCATCTGCAAACAAAGCATCTTCCCTTTTAATATTTATGCAAATAATGTTGGGCAATTATCTCACTATGTTAACTGGAGCCTCCTAAATAATGTTGGCTAGAAGGGATGATGAAGGACATCTCTTTTTCCTGATCTCAATGCAGTGTTATTAACATTTCTCCATTTAATATGACCTATGCTGTTGAATTATGGTGGGAATTTATGTACACTCTTTATTTGAAATGGGTATAGAATGTTTCCTATTGTTTTTCCATTTATTTCCTTTAATTTGTAGGTATAATAACCATTATAAATTTTAATTAAATACAAATGTGTATTTATGTAGTTAACATATATTAGACTATGTTTTTACATAGAATAATCCCCATTGCCACCAACTCTACCTTTCACCAGTGAATGTATGAATCATGCCTCTCTTGATTCTTGTGCATCCCATAAAGTTAGGCACTGTAGATAATACTCTTCTCATTTAGAAGTTCAAGCTTAAGGCTGGGTGTAGTGGCTCATGCCTGTAATCCTAGCAATTTGGGAGGCTGAGCCAGGTGGATCACTTGAGGTCAGGAGTTCAAGACCAACCTGGCTAACATGGTGAAATGCCATCCATCTCTATGAAAAATACAAAAAATTAGCCAGGCGTGGTGTTGGGTGCCTGTAATCCCAGCTATTCGGGAGGCTGAGGCAGGAGAATCACTTGAGAATGGGAGGTGGAGATTGCACTGAGCCAAATACACTACTGCACTCCAGCCTGGGCAACAAAGAGAGACTCTGATGCCCAAAAAAATAAAAAGAAGTTCAAGGTTTAGAAGCGATCTCAGAGCTGGTGACCTTTCTGGTTTGCATCACTATCTTTCTTAACGTCAGGAAAGGACAGTTGTTGTTTTTCATAATTAGCATTGTTATGATACTTTCCAATTTAAAGTAATTTCACATACATTATTTCATTCAATGATCACAGCAAATCTGTTAGGTAGCATTATTAATACATTTATTTTAGAGAGACTAAGATAGGATCAGTGACTTAATTTCAGGCAGCTAGGAAATGGCAAACTGAATTCAAACCCTATTCTTTGACTCAGAAGTCCCTAATCTTCTGATTACATTATTCGGCAAGGAGGTGGTGGTGTGTGGATGCAGGGAAATGTGATTCTGGGAGGAGCCTTCCCATCAGAGTCACAAATGTGAGCCTTTGTGCCTCCTTCCTCATCTTTGCTCAGTGGTCCAGCAGCTCAGTGGAGCACTGCATGAGAGCTGCGGAGCTCAGTCCAGACACAGACGTGCACATGCTGCGTGGTTCATTTACATAACACTCAGGACGGAGAGAAACGAAGGGATGCTAGTGCAAGTCAGAAGAGCAGCTGCTTACCGGGAGGGGTGTAGGGGAACATTCTGGAGTTCTGACAAGGCTCTATTTGGTAGCAGGATCTCTAGATTGAGATGGCGGTGTGGGTTTATGCACCTAGGGAGCTTTGTAGAGTTACAAAATTAACATTAGGTCACCTTATATCCTTGACAACATGGATGCTCTTTCAAGGCCAAAACAGGTTTTAAGAGAGCCTTTTGTTTGTATTTAAATAAAAAGTGTTGTCTTTACCGAGGAGGCTCTTTGGCTAGTTGTGAGAGCTGCTTCAGTGTGTGTGCATAATTGCACACGTGTACCTGCAGCGAAGTCTAATTCTAAAACACATATGGGGTGGAGGCTGGGAGGAGGGAGAAGATGAAGAAAAATAACTAATGGGTACTAGGGCTTAATACCTGGGTGATGAAATAATTTGTACAACAAACCCCATGGCCCAAGTTTACCTGCGTAAAAACCTGCACATATGCCCCTGAACTTAAAATAAAAGTTTAAAAAATGCATGTAGAATTTAAAGGTGGGTTGACTAGTTTGGTTACTACTATAAGGCAATTCAGCTCTTTAGAAATGCATAAACCCAGAGAATTGAGTAGGCTAGAAAAGCCCTGGAGGCTTCCGTTATGAAGAAAGAGAATTGCTGGGCTAAAATACATGGACACATCTGTGATCCGTGTGAAATGGAGCAGCAGTGTATGCTGGTTATAAATCCTCTGAAACTCAAGGAATGAAAATTTTGGTACTCAAAAATTAGTGTTCATCTGGGTGGTCCATGCTCTAAGAAATCTTCATACACAAACAGGAACTGGTGATAAAATGTGCGGATGGAGCCTTGGCACTTGGGGCACTTCTGTGGCAGCAGGCCCAGCCCTTGCCTCCCAGATGACCATGCCCAGTAGAGGAGAAGGCCAGTTTTGGAAAGGAGCTCATCAGAGCGAGAGTCCTGCAGCAGACTTCCATTTTTCCTTCCTTGTCTCAGTTGAGGTTACAAACCCCTCTCTGGATTGGTTCCTCTGATCAGAACACTTGTGTTGACTGCCTCAGGCTCGCCAATCCCTACCCACCCTATGGCAAGGGGCTGAGGTTATCTTGATAAGCACAACATGGTCATGACCCTCTTCTTTCTGGGCCCCAGACCCCATGGCTATGAAACAGCAGGGGTGGTGGTGAACACATGGCGGATTTCCAATGCTTACTTCAAGGGGCATTTTTTAAATTATAGAAGCATTCTTTACAGTTGGAGCTATGGGATTGCTTTAATTTGGAACAATTCTAGTGCAAACATTAAAATGCATTTCCTATGATAATGAGGATCATTGTTTATTGAGCATGGACATCCCATCTCTAAATCTCAAAATAATCCCCTAAAAAGGCAGTCGTGGGCTTAGAGCAGCTTGACCAGAAAGACATGTAAGCAACTTCCCTCCCAGGTAAACACAGGGACCCTGAAGCTGGTGGAACAGTTGGAGATCTGGGAAAGGGAAGAGAGCTCTTATCCCGCCCCTACTCTCCCCTTTCCAAATGCAAGGCCTGGAGCCTGGGTTAGCCATGGCCCACGAGGGGAATGTTGTGTCCACCATGATCTGGGTGATAATGAGAATGAAACAGTGTGCTCCACAGGAAAATGCTGTGAAGCTACACAGAAGCCGTCTGTTCTTACTTTTGATTCTTGCATTGCGGCATTGTTGCTAGAATGACTACATCTCTTGGTGTGTTTGAAAAGTTAATGGAAATACAGTTCTTCAATGGACTTACTTTATACTATTTAAAGTTATTTAGGTTGATGATATTAATGGTTTTAAGCATTTTCATTCTCTACTCTTTCCTTTCATTTTTTTTCCTATGGTCTTCTGCAACACAAAAGGGTACCATAAAAGAATGCCATTGCACTATACTCATAATGATTCTTTTCCAAAATTACAATATTTTGTATTATTTCTAATTACTCCCTAATTTGCCTTTTTTATTGAGCTTGGGTATTCAAGGACCATGTCTTCATACACCTGAGTGTGTAGGTTTTCATGCCCCACTCACGCATTCAACAAATATTTATTAAGGTTGATGTGCCTAACACCTAACCACAGCAATACACAGGTGAGCAGAATGTACCTGTTTCCTGCTTTGTGGAGCTTACAGTTTAGTAAAGGATACATACGGGAGTCAAATCATCATATTGTACATTTTTTCTAGAAATAATCTCCAGAAATTATTCATTGATGTGTAGCATTGTTAAAGGTTTTAAGTAGAATCAGAAATAGATCTTCAATAGCTCATCTTTGTGGCATAATAAAACTTGGATCCAGATGTGGGAAGGCAAGACAGGAGGCTGTGGCAAGTAGACCCCCACTCACTAAGGCCTGGACCACCCCAGCAGTGAGGGAGACTGGCAGGTGTGTGTGAGACACCAAGGTGTCGAACTGCCCCTGGGTAGTTTAGTAAAAGGGCAGAAGAGACAGGAAGGTAAAGAGAAAAGCAGGATGAGAGGCCCTGAGATTTTTATGTGATATTTTAGACTTCCTTCTGTGTTTCTCTAATGGTTATACATTGCTTATTCAGTTAAGAAAACCTCAACTAACTATGGATAAAGGTTTGCCTTTAATGTTTAAGTTCTATGGAAAGTCACTCACAAGGTAAGTGGTAAATTGTATTTGTTGAAAAAAATACGGGATGATGTGATGTGAAACCGTGGCTGGGAGAGGCCAGCACCGACCTGAGTCGGGGAGGCTTCTAGGCAGCCCCACCTGTGCCACAGGTGGACATGTCTGTGCCTCAGCAAAGTGTCTGGCCATACTTCAAACAACTTCAGCCTTTGTGTCGGGACCACCCCTTGTTCTCCAGAAAAGTCAACCTCTTTACATCTGTCTCTGCATTTATAATGGAAATAGTATCCTGGTATTCTTACCTCACATGGTCTTAAGAAAGAATCAATGAGATATAGCAGATAATCAAAGCTACTAAAATTCTAAAAATATGCAAATATAAAGAATAACTGGGCCAGGCAGGGTGGCTCACACCTGTAATCCCAGCACTTTGGGAGGCCGAGGCAGGTGCATTACCTGAGGTCAGAAGTTCGAGACCAGCCTGGGCAACATGGTGAAACCCCATCTCTACTAAAAATACCAAAATCAGCCAGGTGTGGTGGCACGTGCCTGTAATCCCAGCTACTCAGGAGGCTGAGGAAGGAGAATCACTTTAGCCCAGGAGGCAGAGGTTGCAGTGAGCTGAGGTTGCACCATTGCACTCCAGCCTGGGCAACAGAGCGAGACTCCATCTAAAAAAAAAAGAAAAAGAATAGCTTGTTTTTATTGTAATATTCGCCTATCCCTAATTGGCTTATGTGGTTGTATTTTCAAATTGTGTGTAAGACACACATCATATCCACATGTGAATTCTTCAGGGCCCTCTTCAGGCCAAAGAAACTGAGGAAGAAAATGCAGAACCCAAAAGCGAGTGGGTGGCTGGGAGTCCTCCAAGGGCATTTTGCAGTCTTAGGAAAAGTCTCTGTATTGTTGCCTACATCTGCGGTAACATTGGCCATACACTCTGTGGTTTCAACATCACAGATGATTGGCTTACAGCTTTGGAGGTCAGTATCTGAAGTGGGTCTGCAGGGCTGTGTTCCTGGAGGCTCCAAGAGAGGCTGTTCCCTGTACTTCCCAGTGTCCAGCGGCAGCCGCTTTCCAGGGCTCAGGGCCCCGCCACATGCTAATGTCTGCTTTCACCATCACGTCTACTTCTCTGACCCTCTTGCCTTCCTCTTTCCCTTACAGAGACCCTTGTGAGGACTGACACTGGGCCCTCCACTATCCAAGATCATCTTCCTGTATTAGTCTGTTCTTGCACTGAGATAATGAAATACCCGAGACTAAGTAATTTATAAAGAAAAGAGGGTTAATTGGCTCACAGTTCCACAGGCTGTACAGGAAGCATGGCTGAAGAGGCCTCAGGAAACTTACAGTCATGGCGGGAGGCAAAGGGGAATTAGGCACATCTTGTAAGGCCAGAGCAGGAGGAAGAGAGAAAAGGGAGAGTTGCCACACACTTTTAAACAACCAGGTCTTGCGAGAACTCAGTGTCGTGAGAACAGCAAGGGGAAAATGGGCCCCATGATCCAATTGCCTCCCAGCAGGCCCCTCCTCCAACACTTGGCATGACAATTGAACATGAGATTTGGGCGGGACACAGATCCAAACCATAGCACTTCCCATCTGCGGACTTTAACTTAATGACACTTGCAGAGTCTCCTGTGTCATGTAAGATACTCACATACTTTATCCCCAGGTTCTAGGGATTCGCTTTAGGGATTTCTTTTCTGGAAAGAAGAGCATTATTCCGCCTCCCACAGGCTCTAAGATGCTGAAACAGCCCCAAACAAATCAAATTCTTTAAATCCTAGGATTACAGAAAAACAGGGTAACCCAACATAGCCTGAGCCTTCAGAGTTTCATCCGGCAGTGATGCTGTGCCCAAAGAAATGGGTCAGATGATCCCCCACTGTGCCAGAATGTTGGGGAGGAAACACAAGGTCAGGCGAGCCAGCGTGCCCTGAAAACCCCTCAATCTCCTGGCTTCTCTCAGTTTGCATTCATTCCCTCACCCTGTGTGACTGCCCCCAAGCTCTCTCTCCTACTGTCCCTGTCTGCGCCTCCCCATAGAAATCCCTGTGTGGATCCAGTTCTGTCTTCTACTCATTGGTCTCTCTCTCTCTCTCTCTCACACACACACACACACACACACACACACACACACATTCCTATCCTCCCTCCCAGTTCCACAATTCTGTACAAAACACCAGGAACCAGCCTGGCAGAGACAGAACCCTCCACTGATGCGGAAGGACAGTAAGTTGTATGGCCAACCCAGCGTTCTCTGTGACAGAGAAGCGAAGAGGAACAACTTTAAACTCTTACACATTGGTAAATTTTGCCCATGGCCCAAGACTATACAACAATGTCCAAGTAATGGCTGTTAGCTTTAAATCGTCTATTTTGTTTGGAGGACTTGAGTTCTTTAAGAACTTGGACCCTGTACATGAATTACTTTGTATATGATAGCGTGTTACACATGTGTTATGTGCCTACGCCGGCCATTACAGGGAGGAAGGTGGGCTTTTTCCTACCCCTTCGTGTAGTCTAATGCCAGACACAGGCAGACATTCTGTGATGATGGTGGCTCTGATGCCCTGGGTGCTTCCGTGTTCCAGCCACTGCTCTGAGCACCTCGTATCCATCAGTGCATTCCACCTGCAGAGTCCCCATGAGAGTCCCCAGGAGAGAGGGGCTGCAGTGTTCCCATGACAGATGAGTAAACCGAGGTACAGAAAGGTCAAATACATCGTCCAAGATGGCACATACAGGAAGAAGTAGCACTCAGACTCCAAGCCAGACAGTCTGGAGCCGGTGCCCACACTCTTAAAGTGAGTGGGAGATACAGGCAGTTGACTGCACGGCATTGCTAGTCACATTGGATAGTGTGGGATCTCACCAGTGCCATAATCAGGTCCACGTGCACATCATCGCCAGATGACGGTGCCGCCCTGCTGACAGACGCACAGTTTAACAAGAGCGTAGGAAGACCTCACCTTCCCTGGTCAGGGGTGCGGGGAGCAGCAGTGCTTCCCTGCCATCGGGGCCGGCATCAGCCAAGCAACCCTTTCCTTCCCGGGTGGTCTCATGTGGCAGAAACAATCATTGATAGAGCAAGAAGGGACTGAGATCACAGGCGACCGCAGCCCCCTCCTGGGCTCCAGTAGCAAAGTGGGAGGACGAAGACTGCATTCATAATAGAGAATTCCTGAAAGCTTGAAAAAACGCGGTGGCTCACACCTGTAATCCTAGCACTTTGGGAGGCCGAGGTGGGCGGATCACGAGGTCAGCAGTTCGAAACCAGCCTGACCAACAAGGTGAAACCCCGTCTCTACCAAAAATACAAAAATTAGCTGGGTATGGTGGTGCGCACCTGTAATCCCAGCTACTCAGGAGGCTGAGGCGGGAGAATTGCTTGAACCCGGAAGGCGGAGGTTGCAGTGAGCCAAGATCACGCCACTGCACTCCAGCCTGGGTGACAGAGCGAAACAAACTCCATCTCAAAAAACAAAAAGCAACAAAGAAAGAGGTTGAGGGCGGTGGCTCATGCCTGTAATCCCAGCACCTTGGGTGGCCTAGGCGGGCGGATCACGATGTCAGGAGTCCAAGACCAGCCTGGCCAACATAGTGAAACCCCGTCTCTACTAAAAATACAAAGTTAGCTGGGCATGATGGTGGACACCTGTAATCCCAGCTACTCGGGAGGCTGAGGCAGGAGAATTGCTTGAACCCGGACCCGGGAGGTGGAGTTTGCAGTGAGCCGAGACCGCGCCGTTGCACTCCAGCCTGGGCTGCAAATTAGAAAATGTTTTCCTCGCCAATATGATTGAAGGAGAGCGAGTTTAAAAGACTTACAAGCACAATTATTTTTAACATGGAATCATGTTTAAAAGAGTTGCACTATAAAATGAAAATCCGGCAGTTCGATCCACGGGCTGGGGGGCACCTCCTTGACTTCCGCCGAGCAAGGGTCTGTGGGCGCTGGTTCCTCCGCGCCGGCCTCCCGGTGACCGCCATCGCCACCTGGTGGCCGTGGGTCTAACACACAGGTTCACTGGAAATGGACTTCGGGGGAGTCTGCAGGATTCCTGAGATTAAAACACCCACCACACAGTGCGCACTCAATGGGGACAGCTGGTAGGAATCTTCGGTGGTCGCTATGAGCGAGGTATTGCACGGTTCAGAGATGAGGATAATACACACACACGTGTGTGCAATGCGCACATTCGTATCCACAGTGCGGAGTGGGGAGCATGGGATCATCTTTCGTAATTTACAAACTGCTTTATAGGAACAAGTAATACCTTAAGAGTTACCTTAATTATAAATTTTTAGCTTCTCTTGTTTGAGTTTCACCAACAGCTTGATTTTTGTAAGAGCATGACTCCCCTTAGCTTCACATCCATCCCTCACAGTGTACCAGCGTACAGAGCCGGCCTTCAGGGCACAATAATTTAGGTTTAAAAGAGTGAGATGGAGAACAAGCCCTGTACTGACTTTACAATGATTTTTAAAAATAAAAATAAATAAAAAAGGCCTTAATAGGAAGCTTAATGTAGTGGAAAGAAGAGACAAGCAGAGAGGTAAGTACTATTTTTGAAACAGGTTAAGTTATAGTCATCACATTATGCATTTTACAAGCAGCACGTGACTTATGAGAAAACAGAGGCCCAGGCAGATGACGTTCATCCCCAGCTTTAAGGTGTACATGGCTGGCTTGTGATTTACCCTAAGCTGAGCTTGCAAGGGCAGCGACCACTCCCTCCCAGGGCTGTGAATGTAGACGCAAAGGAACCAGTGTCCATTCCTCATAGAAAACTCAGCTGATTGAGCTAATTTGACGATTAACACTATCATATTGTAGTGAGGCATGCCGGCGATCTAGACTAAAACTCTGTTACCATGGGGGGCAAAGAACGGCATCCTAACCCAGATTTTGTAACGAGCTGGGCAAATCTCCTAAGGTTGATCTCCATTTCCCTCATTTGTGAATGTTAGGTGTTTTCAGTCATCTAAGTCTCCTTTATTCTCTTAAACAGGCACACACCCTCACTCGCACACATACATATTTCTTTTCTCTGTCATATTTCCGCAAACCAAATTTCCTTGTAAGTGACGTAAGATAGCTATGATTAAAAAAAAATACTTTCACTTTACAGTTAGTATGTTTAAAAGGTAATGTATGTTAGTTTGGACATTTGAAATAATTTATAATTAGAAAGAGAATGCATACATACAGTTTTGTATACTTGAGTATTTCTAACACTATGAAATTAATATTATTGTGTCTTGTATTAATGCGAATCATGATGTTAACTCTTGTCACTAGCAAGGGAAGAATAAGTAAGGAACTGAGGTTAAACCTGGGCTGAGCTGCACTCAGGGATGTACCCTGAAATGCACAGCATGCTTCTCCTACTCCAGGTTTTAAGATGAATTTTTTCTTACGGAAAATGGAAAATGGAAATATGATCATTTAATTCTGAAAACTTGTTTTAGAATTCAAATACTTAATTCAGTAGTCTGCATTGAGATAAATTTTTAATATATTCATTACACAAAAACTGAATTTTATTTTCCCTTAATTACTTTTGGGTAATGACTCCCAAATAAGATGAGATATTTATGAGTTTTTACCTTAGACTACATTTTTCATAGATTACTATTTATTTACTGTAAGCATGAATTCTTAAGTGCCTATTTATGTAGGTAAAAGCACTCTGTAATTTTTAAAGCAATATATTATTACAAGTGTTATTTATTCCTAGCAAATTGCCTAACAGGTTGTCCTCTCACCATTTTTCTAATTTTTTTTGGCCAGGTCAAACATGTTTTCACACCTTTGAAAAATGTACGTGAAAATGTCCTGTTAGCGTGAAGCTGTGATTCAGAGGTAGCGTAAGGTTTCAGTGTAAATGCAAACCCAACCAGTAGCTAGAGATATTCTGTATCTTCAAATGTTTGTCTTAACCACATGGTTGAATATTTAACCTAATGAATATGGTGGCAGGAAAACTGGAAGCAACCATGCGCCCTGGCGCACGCTGTCATTTATACAGAGAGCTCTTAATTCCGTCACTGTTCTCCTAGGAGATGGCGCCTTATTCTATTTACCTCTCATTATGAAAATGTCAGTGTTCCAACCTTGATAAAACTATTGTTGAGAAAGTAGAATGTACTTGATGTTTTCTTGTGGTAGTTTAGTCTGGGAGGGAGGAAGTGGTATTTGATGGATAATTGTTAAATTTAGATTTTTAAAATTCCTTTTGTCATAATAATTCAAGTTTCACTGAAAAAAAATCCAAGCAAAATGACTGGAATTATTTAATATTGATTGGTAGTATCCAAGGCACTATCCTTAACAGAATTTGTTTTGTTGTCGATTTTAAAATTTGAGGAATTTTCAAATATTTTGACAAGCACAAGGCATAACCACATTTATAACCCTTCTATGTTTGTAACAGGCATCCTTGTAATTGATTTTATGGCTATGGGATATCTGAGTAGAGTTTCTCTGGGAATTTCTGGAATCACTGATTTTGATATCTCAACCTTAGTTATAGCCACATAATATTATTGGAGAAATCATTAATATCAGTGTTTATGCACCAATTATTTTGCTTAAGTTATCTTCAATTAGGACTTCAAGTAGAATAGGATTATCTCAGTTGTTTTATTGATTAATATACTTCAACTTATGCTTGAAAAATTTTAAGCAATTCTTCATATTAAATATCTAAGATGGTTTGGAGCACACCGCCTGGAGGAGCCTGTCAGTTTCCCACCTTCATTTGATTCCATCCTATTGTCTTAACTCTCCACTTGGCCTTTGTTTGACATAGATGTTCAAAAATTATTATTGAATATTATTGAATATAAAATATTATATATAAAAATATAAATAATATTCAATAATATAAAAATGTTATTGAATATAAATATAGAATAAAACCCTGACAACTAGCAAATATATCCATTATATAGTGTGGGCATGTGAGTATATGTGTGTTTTTGTACATATATAATATAATATTTTGTCATTCTATCAACTTTACACCCCAAACATAAGCATAAGAATCATGACATGCATTAAAAAAATGAGAAGCATTTGAAGATTTTCACTTTCCATGTTCCGCCTATTACCGACTCTGGCTCTGTCTCATTATTTTGGGGGTTGTCTCCAGTTTCTTCCTCTCTCAGCAGCTTCCTCATTGCTATCTAGTGGAGACGCAGCTCTTATTTCTAGTATGTTTCCTAATTTTTGTTAGTTTTTATTGTGATGATCCTACCCCAGTCATGGTTTTCTTATTCCGTTAAGTTAATATAATTAATGAACGTATTATGCTGTTTAGAATATAAGGATTAGGGAAACATTTGCATTCTAAAGGGAGTCCCTGTCACGTGTTGTTCATGGGTCTCACAACATGGATTGTGTTCTGCCCAATACCAGAGTGAGGGCTGCGTCTTGGCACAGATGCTTTTTGTATCCAGGCTTCCTTGGGAGTGACACACGTCTTCCATCATAGACCCTACACGGCGGTCCGCCTGCTGATCCAACGATGCCCACTGAAGTCCCGGTGATTCTGCAGAGACCCTCAGGATCCCTGAGGGTGGAGACGTCCAGGACAACATGCAGACGGAGTCCACAGATTCCTTCCTTCTCTACTGCAACACATTTTCTCTGGTTTATTTTTCACAAATCCTTACTACTGCATTTTATTCAACAAAAATCTTATTTTGAAGTCATGAGAAGATCCCACCTGTATTTTTTAAGATAACTGCTGTATTTATCTTGGATTAGAAGTGAAAGACATCAATGACGGGAAAACAAAATTGTTTCCGTGGCTCTGGCAAGAGACCCTGAGGGCTTACTGAAGGCAGGGGCAGAGGGAACGCAAGGGTGGGCAGCTGTGGGTGCTCTGCAGGGGGAGAGGTCCAGGAGCTGCTGCCATGTGGAAACCCACCCAAAACCCAGTGGCCTCCAGAAACCACTTGAGCTTCTTTCTCATAGCTCTCCCACTGCCCTCACTGGGTAGGTCCACTCACAGTTTTCATGTGGTTGGTGACAAATGCCAGATGTGTCTGGAGTCTTCTGACAACTGCTGGGCTGATGCCCAGGATGGCTCCAGTGCTCAGGTCTGGCCCCCGGGCCTTGAAGTGGAGCCAGGTGAGGGTTGGCTGCACCTCCCTCACTCCCTGCACAGCCTCTCCACGTGGGTGTCTTGGCTTCCTCCAAGCCTGGTGGTCCTAAGGTGGTCAATGGTCTTACATGGCCTGGCTTTCCCGGGGGCGGATCTTCCAAGAGACCTATATGGAATCTGAGAGGCATCTTCTAACCCAGTCCTGCAAGTCAGATGGCATCAATTGCACTGCATTGCGTTGATCAAAAGAGAGTCATAGGACGGGCAGAGATTCTGGAGAAGGCATGGCAGAAGGCCGTGCATATCACAAGGCATGGCTCACTGGGGACCCACTCTGGAGACAAGTTCCATGATGTGTAGATAAGCTAAATGTGGAAGGTGGAAGGAGGTTTGTTTGCTCATGATTCCAAGGTTTGCTAGCCTGAGAATTCAAGTCATCACTGTGATTGAGATCTCCTGGGAGCAAGGGCAGAGAATGGAGAAGAGAGGCAAGAATGCAGGTTGGGAAGAACATCTGTATTTGACGACTCAGCATGGTGCTCAGTGAAGGGAGTGAAATACAGACATTTTCTTCAAGAACGTAACATGGAATCAGGAGGCTTCTTTGTCACAGGAGACCCGTGAGCTTCCAGAAGGCAAACAAGGACAAAGGCATCTCCTCCGCAGCATTCCAGTCCCTGGATGGCCTTTTCTTCCTCGTGGTTTTGTGCCTAGCCCTCAGCATGGGCCTCATGAGGACAGAACGTGTTCATTGAACATCGAGTGGAACCATGGTCATTCGGGAATCAGGAATGTTGAGGCTCGTCCTGTTTTCGTCGACTGGACGTGGTGCATCCTACTTCTCAGCCTCAGCTTCCTCAACTGCACAGCAGGCTCGTCCTGTTTTCGTCGACTGGACGTGGTGCATCCTACTTCTCAGCCTCAGCTTCCTCAACTGCACAGCAGGCTCGTCCTGTTTTCATCGACTGGACGTGGTGCATCCTACTTCTCAGCCTCAGCTTCCTCAACTGCACAGCAGGCTCGTCCTGTTTTCGTCGACTGGACGTGGTGCATCCTACTTCTCAGCCTCAGCTTCCTCAACTGCACAGCACAGCTCTCCCGCTGTCCCCACCCCGACACTCCCGCGGGGGCCTTGCCTTGGCAGCGCCCTCCTAGTCTAGATGCCGCACAAGACCGAGCCACAGAAAGGCAGGGGCATCTCACTCACCAGTTTATTCAGCATGTCACCCAGGCCCTGGCACGTGCTAGACACACCACAAACATTTGGCAAAGTAAATGCCTTTGACCTTTTTAGTTTAAGTTTACACATTTGGCAAAAGTTGCATTCTGTTCATTGTCACTTCGCTTTCTAATGTTTCTTTTTCTATAAATAGAGTCAATACGGAAGCACGAGAACCTTCCTATGCCTGTCACTGTCTCATGGATTTATAAAAACGTGAGAGAACCCTTAATCCCTGTTGAAATTTTTATTGTGGGGGTTCTATAAATTCATTTATTCAAAAGCGAATCTATTTAACACCTACTATGTGCTCTCTGTATTAGGTGCTGGAGATATAGCAGGGGACAAACTGGTAAAAACACTGGCCTTGTGGCACTTACATCTGGTAGAGGCACTCACATGATAGCATTCGAAATGAACACACTTTACTGTATTTTACAAAGATTTCAATGCAAGGGAGGAAACTAAAGCAGATGGAGAGTGATCAACAGATCACCTGTCAGGAGGAGCAGGGAAAAGTGTTAACAGCCGGGTGGTGAGGGACTCACTGTGGGGAAGAGGAAGCACCGTGGCTGCATGGGGATGTGCGTGCCAGGCAGAGGGGAGATCCAGGGTAAAGCCCTGAACGCTCTGCTGTGTATGACGAACAGAAAACAGTCTGTGAGATGCTACGGAGGTAGGACTTTTGGACCTGGAATAGTGGGTGGATCTTCTGATTGAACAACACACAGCAAGGGGCTGGGCTTCCAGGCAGGCAGGACACTGAGTGAAAATCACTGTGATTTATGCACGTGATGACGGAAACCTGAAAAGCCCAGACTGAAGCAGCAGTTGAGCTGCATTTCAAAGATCTCTTCGACTCCTTGCGTTGTTTATGAAGATCCTGGGTCTGGCCACCTGTAGCATTGACTCATTGGCCAACTCTTGATTCATTCATCCACTCATCCATTCATTTGTTTGACAATCATTATTGGGTACCTCTTATATTTCAGAATGGGTATATCACAGTAAACTAAAATCATGGCTCCTGCTTTTAAAAAAGTATTATCTCCTGAGAGAAGCAGATATTAAACACCTGAAAAGTCAATAACTATCTAATTACAAAGTGTGGCAAATATCATGAAGGAAAGGAAGGTGTTCATGACAGAGCTGCAGGAAGCCTATCTTAAACTGGGCGATTATAAGGGGACTCTCTGAGGAGGTTGCTTTTTATCTAAAGCCAGAAGGTAGGAAAGACAAAAATGTTCAAGGTCTTTCATTTGTCAACATAGGACGGACTCCCCAGAACAAACGAACAGAAAGACACAGACTTCATGGTAACCTTGGGACTTGTTTTTCCTACACGAGGGAGCTAAGAGGGTGCTATAAGTAAAATACTTGCACTGAAAATCAAAATGCTGGTTTTCTATTTCTAGTCTATACCAGGAAATAGCACCACATTTTGAAGGTCAGATGATCATTTGCCTACTTACAATCCACTGCATGACTGGGCGTATTACTCTGAGCTCCAGCTCCCTTCTTATGCTGGGATCTGACACATAAAACCTCTGAGTCTATTTTCCTATCTGTATAATGGAGGCAGTAATGTTTTCATAACTATTTTCCTATCTGTGTAATGGAGGCAGTAATGTTTTCATAACTATTTTCCTATCTGTGTAATGGAGGCAGTAATGTTTTCATAACTATTTTCCTATCTGTGTAATGGAGGCAGTAATGTTTTCATAACTGTTTTCCTATCTGTGTAATGGAGGCAGTAATGTTTTCATAACTATTTTCCTATCTGTGTAATGGAGGCAGTAATGTTTTCATAACTATTTTCCTATCTGTGTAATGGAGGCAGTAATATTTTCATAACTATTTTCCTATCTGTGTAATGGAGGCAGTAATGTTTTCATAACTTTTTTCCTATCTGTGTAATGGAGGCGGTAATGTTTTCATAACTTTTTGAAGGTTAAATGAAACAATGACTTTGAACTCACCCGAGGCAGCAGCTGGCAGTTAAAACAGATCTTTGAGCAAGTTTTCCACTTAAAAGTGGCCCAGTTTTCAGCAGCACATACAACAGAACAATGAGGAGAGTGAGATGGACCAGGCTGGGGAAGCCTGCGGGCCCCACCTTACATTTCCACGTGGAAATCCCTGCATGCAGTGGTAAAGTGGGAGCACGTAGGAGTCTTCCCAGAAAGCCCCTCCAGGTGCAGGAGTGACCTGGCTGGCTGGTGGAGCTGTTGGACGGAGCGCGTGCCTGTCGCTTCATTCTCCCTCTGTGTTGTGGAGGAGCCCTGCTACGGCAGCTTTGTTTTTGCACCTGGATCATACAGCAGGCTTAGTGGGCAGGTTTTTCCCCCACATGGAAGTTTTGCAGCTTGGAGGACCAAAGTTTAATTTTTAGGATGCTTGTTTATCAGGAATCCCAAGTCACTCTCCAATTCTGTTCTATCAAACATAAAGCAATAGTTGGTTTTCATCCATCTGTTTCACTTTTACTTTTCATTAGTTCCCAACTCAGGAGGTGGGAGACAAGGTTATTAGGAATCTGCTTCTTCTCCCAGCCAGGAGACAGTGAAGCTGGCAGGGCCCCCGTGGTCATCAGCACCCTCCTTATGCTCCTCGTCGTGGCCACAGCAGCACCCAGTGGCTGAGCACTTGCTGCCTTCCAAGCACTGTATCAGGCAGTTTACCTCCATTGTCTCATGATTATGAAGCCAGCTCTGCAGAGGAGATCAGCATTACAGGCATTTGCAGATGATGAAACCTAACCCAAGCACCACTGTGCGACTCGCGGGAGGCTGCATGGTTCAGAGCTGATATTGGAGCCATGGTATTAAGGTTCATAATGAATTCGTTTTCCTCAACACAGACTGGAGAGGCCATGCAGTGGTCAGCAGAGTGGCCAATGCTTTCTTAGTTCTGAGAGTGCTCCTGGTGTTAGTTCTTCTCCTAATGAGCATCCTCAGTGTGGTCCGGGGTCATCAGCGTCAGTGTTGCCTGAGTGCTGATAAAAACACAGAAGCCAGGCCTTTCCCCAGAAACTGCATTGTATCAAGACTCCAGGGCATCAGATAACACAGCTGTAATGGGGATTGCCTGGGACCAGGTCACCACGTGGCTACAGTCTCAATGCCCCACCACACACTGCATCGTGTGCATGAGCTCTTTGCAGAAGGAAGTCAGTACAATTGTGTTAACTCTTTTTCTTTGAATTTATAGTTTTAGGCAAATGATTAAGGAAACATTTTTAAAGTGTTTCAAACGTACAATACTTTCCTTTGACCAGTAAATTGTGGGGTGATACATTTAAGCACTGCTTTTTATAAAAACTTTTAAAACTATTTCTTGGTTTTGTAAATAAGTAAATGAATGTGTTCTTACTTCATTTGAAATTTTGGTCACAGAAGCCTGCTGTGAGCTTCGATAGAGAGATGCCTTGTTTTAAAGGGGATGCAGAATATTTTGGTCTCAGGAAAGCAGGACTGGAGCATGAAACACTAAGAATCTTAATCACGCTGAGGAGCACAAGGTCCCAGACAGGGCAAACACGGGAGGGGGCTCTGGGCTCATCTCGCTCATTCCTTACAAGCTGGGGTTTGTTTCTTGTGACGCTCCTCAGGAAGCTGGCAAAAAAATAGTGGTCCCAAGTTTGCACGCTTCAAAGAACAATATAGAACAGGCTTTTACCTGACGCAAATTGTTTCACCCTGGTGTTTCACAGGAGTGATGGCAAAAGCAAGTGAATGATATACTGCCCGGGGGCAACGCCCACCATGGCAGCCAATGGAGGAGACAGGGCACAGGCCAGGACCCCCAGGAGGACCCCCAGGCTCGACTTTCAACACCCAAGGCAAATTCACTCACTCTTGTCTTCGTCCTTTTTTTCCTGCACGTTTTGAGATAAAGAAAGAGAAAATATTCACACACAATCCAACTATTCTAGTAGGTTTCTCCTCCGGTCTTTACCTGGTTCCTGGTGATTGCAAATGGATCATTTGATGATCTGTTGCCCTGTCTTTCTGTGTGTCATACTAACTGCCCTATTCACTACAGACAATTCCTCTTTGTTAGAAAGATCCTTCACATTTCTAGCCTCTGTTTTCAAGAATTCCTTTCTTATTCCCTAAATTCTCAAAATTAGTATTTGAAAATGGCTCCCAGTTTCTTAACCACCTTGTAATGCTGGTTGCTAGTCCCTGTTCTTCGAATTCATCGGGTTTGCTAAAATCTCCTCTGCCGTTACCACTTCCCTCTCGTCCATCTCTGGAGGAGCAGCACGTTGTGTGAGTGCCGTCGGGGGGAGGATGGGAGGACGCTCCTAGGACTTGTGCTCTGTTACATCGAGATGCCTGTGAGACACCAGGCGGGGATGCCAAGGACATCTTTGACCATGAATGTCTGGAGCTCAGTGAGAGTGGTAGGGCTTGAGGTGTACAGCTTAGAGTCTTTTTGCTGTTACAGGGACCAGTGAGCAGGGCTAGGCTGTGCTGACGCTGGGGTACTCTCCCAGGCCTCCTTTTTAGAGCTGACACCCTCACTTCCAGCCTCTAAGAACATGGGCTGCCCAGGGCCCACTGCTGTGTCCCTCAAAGGGAATAGCTCCTGGCCAAGGGAAATGGCTCCAGGGCCGCGTTCCTCCCAGGAGGAGCCCATGCCCCATAGCTGGCTGTGCTGGGGTGGAAGGGCCACCCTGCGTGCTCCACAGGGACAAGTTTGAAGGACCAGCTCAACTCCAGGGCCCGCCCTGGGGTGGCCTGAGACCTCAGTTGTGGTCACATTGCTGTTCACACCAGCACTCACTCCCGCCTCCATACTGCCCCCCATAAGCGTCTACACAGCATCCTCACACCCCTTCTGCAAGTGACCTCCATCTCCATGCCTGCTTCCAGGGGCCCCATGACAGAGCCAGAAAAGTGCAGAAGGTGCCAGAGAGTTTGACCATGAAAGACTGAGTGAGACACAGGAGCAAGCAAAGGAGATGGAAAAGTACCAGACAGGGTGGCAGAGGAAGGAAAGAATGAGGGGAGGGAGAGGGAGAGGGGAGGAGGAAATAGAGGGAGGGAGGAAGAGAAGGAGAGAGGGAGGGAGGGAGGGAGGGACAGGGACAGAGGGAGGCAGGGACAGGCAAAGCTAATAGAGAAGAGCCAATCGAGTGAGAGCAGAAAAGCGACCCCTGGCTTTGGGAAACTTGGAGGTTATTCTGAAGTGGTAAAAACAGAAGCTAACATGGGTTGGAGGATGAATATGAGGAGGGAAGTGGGCTACAGGCTGCTACAGACAATTCTTCTGTGGTTTTAGATTTCCTATAAAGGGGAACAGATAAATGGAGCTCGAATTAAATAATAAGGTTAAAAGAAGACCTATATTATATTCTATATTATATTATAGTAGGAGGTACTGGAGCACTGTATGTGAATAAGTCATTCAATAGGGGCAGGTTTTAGAATTGACTTCTCCTCTGATGAGTAGTGCCTCTGTACGATGACTGGTTATGGCACGACCTCAGGTATCTCCTGGCATCAAATGGGACAAAGGTCCTCAGAGGCTTGGACCCCTGGACTTGGCACCATGGAGGCACGTCCAACCAGACTGCCCAGCACAGTACTCCCTGCGTCACTCCATGCCATGCGTGCATACGCTGTGTTTCACTGTTTGTTTCCATGGATATAGAACTGTTAAGCATGCATTGATTTAGAATCTCTTAGCTCCGAATTTATTCTGAAAGGGATATATATATATATATATATATATATATATATATATATATATATATATAAAATCAGCACTTTTGTGAATCTTCCTCCCTGAAATTTTATTTCCACACATGGCTAGTTTTTTCTTTGTGTGCATGTGCATGTGTGTGTGAGAGAGAAATCCTACAAACCAATTTTCATTTACATCATCAAGTGGCCATCTATTAAATTCTTAATTGAAAACTTTTAATAATATCCAAATACTTGTTCTAGAGACTTCCTTTTACTTTCTTAGTCTCTCTCCACTCCATCCTTCCCCAAAACCCCAAGTACTACAAGAAGTGGTATTGACTAGGACATAACTTAAAATTTCTTTTTTTATACCAGTGGTTTTTTTTTCCAGAAATTTCTAAGAAAGCTAAAGAAAGGGCAAGCTCTGCAGCCTCTTTCTCTTTGTACTTTGAGATTCTGAGGCCCGGCAGGTGCCTTGTGCTGCGACATTCCATCCCTTTCCTGGTTCATCTCAATTCACCTCCTACCTCTGGCGCCCATCCGGCTCCCCTTCCCACGCTGTTCTCTAACAGAAGCTCTGGATTTTCCAGAATTACCACAGGAATCTGGAGGGGGCTGGATCCGCTGTCAGGGAGTGGGACTTCCCAGCCAAGTGTGTTCCTGCTACTCCTGGGACACACTGCCGTGTTTTTCTTCTGTAGCAAACATTCCAAAGACTGTTGCAAACAGGACCATACCCAGCAAACACTCACAGGTATTGAGGAAAAATCTTTATATTCATGACTGTCCACAATCAAGGTGTTCCCATACTGATCCATCATTATTGGAATGATCTGTGAGGACAGTTTTGACCTCAGTGAAGAGGAATCCACAGACTTTTAGCAACTAAGGATTGGCTAATGTGTGCTGTGTCTCTTTGGCCTTGTTGGGATCAGGCTGGGGTATAGACAGGGAGTGGCCAGGCTGCTGTCAGGACAGGAGAGGAGGAAAAGCAGAAGGCTGCAGCCAGCCACAGCCAGACAACACAGGCACCTGATGGTCAGCAGCTCAGCTGCAGTGACTTGTAATGTACAACATCACCAAAACTGCAGGAGGTGTAGAAAATATATTGCATAGAGCTAAGTAACAAAATAGATATTCCACATCGAAAAAGAAAAAAAAATACTGCCAAGATCAAACGCTGTATCTTTCTGAATAAAACAAAATAAAAATAATAAGCATCAGTGAGAAGTCTTAAGAAAAAAATGTCCTGAATGTATACTGTGATCTTCGCAGTAACATGGATCATAAGATGCTTACAGTTAACCAGCTTTTAAGCAATGCTGATTTCTAATGCCTTTGCTAAGAAATGCCTTTTACTGGCTTTGACATCATTTGGTGTGATAGGAGAATTCAAAGATATTTGAAGGTCTTTGAATTGTCTCAAAAACTCACTGAGAAACCTGCATTCAGTGTGAGGGAAGATCCTCCTGCTTTAAGAAGAACTTGCATAAATATGGCAGCAGACAAGGTGTTAGGATGAAGCTGAAAGGAAAAACCTCCATAGAATAGAGTTAGGCCTTGGTTAATCATGCCCCTGTATGAAGGGTAAGCTGTGGGGAGGAGCCTGGCTGCTGAGTCCATTCCTAAGAACTCATCGGATCCATGTTCAGGAGGAATGAAAGCATACGCAGTGTGGCCACAGCTCCGTCTGTTCCTCTGCCTTGCATAGCACACTGGGTAGAGTTGGTACACTGGGATGCATTTGGAGGGACTCTAGCAGTGGGTTAGTCTAGAAGGCCACTCAGGTGAGGCGTTCACAGCACGGACACCCTCCGAATAAGGGGGCTTTGATTTTCTGCCCATCTCCTCCTGGTTTGTCTGGAAAGACAAACCAAGGTGTTCGTTTCTGTTGGTAAAAATAAATTTCATTGCTCAGGTAGTGAGGTTTATTCAAGCATATGCCCCGATTTCTTAGATATTGACTCTAATGAACTTCTAGATTGAACAGATATTATTCAAGAAAGAGCTGAGCGTTGGGTTCTGAGCACCGTGTTTCAGAACAAGCAGCTCCGTGTGTGCAGCAACTGCGTCTCTGGGGTAAAGGCAGAGCAGCGGCCCGCCTTCTGCTCTTCTGGGTGCACGCGCCTATTCTCCCATGCTGAAACTTCCTGTCCTCTCTCATTCGCGGCTCAACGTCTATTCTGAGAATCCTCTTCCCTCTAAACTAGCAACAAATTAAACACAGCCCATTATTCTCTTTGAAAACTAGTGCACAATCCTGATTTGGTTTAAAATATTTTGTTGTCATTATTGCCAAGTACAATGGAGACAAAAATTGCTGAGAAGAAGTAACATAAAAAAAAAACTCCGTAAAAATTATCTGGCCAAATGCTTTAGGCATTAGCTCCTACCTTTCGGGATCAATGGCTCTGAGAATCTATTCTTGATTATTCTGGGCACTTAGCTCTTTACCAGAGTCCCGCAAATGCTTTCTGTAATGCGTCAGAGAGCTAGTGTTTTAGGATTCACAGGCAGGTGGTTTCTGACAACTTCTGGCCTCTGCTGTTGTAGCACAAAAGCAGACACAGCCAATATGCACATGAACAGCTGTGGCAGTGTTCCAATAAAACTTATTCACAAAGGTCGGCTGTGGGCCAGGTTTGGCAAGTGGGCCATCCTCTGCTGAATCCTGCCCGAGCACAGAGGAAGGAGATTGTGCTCGACGTCACCGGCAGGGCTTCATGGTGATGGTCTTCCCTGCCCAAACCCACGTCTCAGTCTTACATTCTCAAAGTTCGTTATCATTTGCTTCCTTTTTTGCCACCACTGACTGCTTCTGAACTGTGTGCCAGGTCCTGGGCTGGTTTCTGTAAGCATTGTACAATATGACATACTCGTGCAACAGCTGTGGGAGACAGATGTGTTGATCTCCACTTTATAGATGAGGTACTTCCAGCTCTGGAAGGTTAACTAACCCCACGAAAGCCACAAAGGATCCAGCTCGGCTGAGAATCTCACCTGCTCTGTCTGCCCCCACCACAGCTAGTCTGGCCGTGGAAGCTGTCTCCAGACATTAGTAGACAGCCCTGGACACTGGATGTCTGCTCTGGGGACAGGTTTGGGGGCACATAGTAACCACCACCTTGGACATACTGAATTTGAAAATGCCTCTAAGATACTGGATGCATCAAATGCTTACATTTTTCAAATTTCATTTGCAAGAAACTGAGAGGACATGTCCTGAATGCTTGTGTCTGGTGTTCAAGTCATGGTGTTAGGAACGTGAGAGACTTCCCTCATGGAGATGAATTTTATTTATTTATTTATGTATTTATTTATTTATTTTTGAGATGGAGTCTCACTCTGTTGCCCAGGCTGGAGTGCAGTGGCATGATCTCAGCTCACTGCAACCTCCGCCTCCCAGGGTCAAGCAATTCTCCTGCCTCAGCCTCCTGAACAGCTGGTTCTACAGGCATGCGCCACCACACCTGGCTAACTTTTGTACTTTTATTTGAGATGGGATTTCACCATGTTGGCCAGGCTGATCTTGAACTCCTGACCTCAAGTGATCCACCCTCAAGTGATTCGGCCTCCTACAGTGCTGAGATTACAGGCAAGGGCCACCACACCAGACCAAATTTCATTTTAATCAGGGCCCTCTTTATTAAAGCTATACTAAATGTCCAGCCTCATTTAAAGAAAAGAATGCAACCAATTACAATAAAGACTTTATCTCACTTTCTCTAACATATTATCTTTATTTTTATAAAAGTTGAAAGGCTTCCAAAGGAAGCTCGCCCTGTCTTTGCTCGGGGCTTCTGGTCGTCCGATCCCGGGTGAGCCACATTCCCTCCATGAGCTGGCTGCGTGGTGCTCCACACTGCAGTGGTGCATTCCTTTGAGTTGGTCAAACAGGGTACAAATCAGAGCTGGCTTCTGATTTGAAGGTGTTTGACTTTCTTTTCAACCAGCACGTGCTTTAAAGAAATGCACAGTCCCTGGTTATCCTAATGAATCACCCTGTCTCGGGAATAAAAATGCATCACACATATTTAGCCTGATATTTGTATTGAAATGCATTGAGCCCCTGCCTTCTAAAATGAACCACAAAACACATACACGTAAACCTCATTTTGATTCCATGCTGTTTCATAAGGTAATTTGTTCAGGCACTCAGATCTGGCAAGAGTCTCTGAACACTTGGTACATTTAGCTTCATTGAGTAACCCCAACTTCTATTCATTTTGCAAATATAAAAATGCATACCAGTAATTTATAAGAAATTTTTGTGAACGTATGACGCCTTACTTTTTAAACGTGTTTGAAATCTCTGCAAGGACAACATTGTCTCCAGTCACTAGTAACCCAGCCCCACTGATACACATCCATTTTAAAATTAGCATTTTGTCATTAAAAAAGAACATATTAAACATGGAGAGAAAGCAGTTGTTCTTATGTCATGAGCAGAAATAAAGAGGAGAAAAACACAGTATAGACAGAATTTTATTATTCCTACAAAGTTCACAATAATAAAAGAGGGGGCAACAGATATCACTCATTCTAGAACAGTCTGGGGCTTATGTATTATACCCTTCTCATGCCATAATGCAGTCATGGCAGTTGCTAGTGTGGAAAGCAAATCCTCCTCCTAGTATCTCTGATTCCCTGGTCTGTAGTATCCCACGAGCACATTGCATGTGGTCCACGGAGCACAGAGAGGGGGTGTCCACGCTGCCGGGGATCCATTGCATTCTAGGCCGAAACACTTACTCTCTTCAGTTAGAATCACACAGAGCTTCTACAAAACTACACTGTGAAACTGCATTCTCTGAAGATTAATGGAGTCACTCTTGTCTTAGATATGAAATATAATCATCAATAAATAAAAGTAGATGATATTACAGAACACGAGGAAATTAGTAGCTTGTTTTCCAATCATAAAAAGGTTACTGCTATGATCCAATCTATTATTTTCAGTAGTAATGTAATGTGTCCAACTGGAGTATTTTCTCATTGGGCTGAGTGACTTAAGATTCCTCTAGAGTGGTGTGACCTCTCCTTAAAGAAGAGTAACAGCTGTTAATGATTCAGAACTTCGGATGAGAACAGGAGTCTTTCTAGCAGCAAAGGCCAGAAACAGCATGGAAAACTTCCCTCCTGCCCTCCCCCAACCATGCAGAACCCTCAGAGTCCCCCAGTGCCTGAGAGAAGGATGCTGGTGGGAATAAAGCAGGGGCGAGTGTTTCCTAAGGTAACATTCAGAGGCTTTGTTGTTACAACTGGAGAGGGATGGCCAGTGAGCCGGACAAAGACCACAGAAAGCACTTCGTGCCAAATATGTAACTGGACGCAGAGACCATAAAGGTCAGGGATGCCTCTCTGGCCCCTGGCGAGCCAGCCTTGGAGCCGCTGTTGCCAGGTAGCCACCGCCTTGTGCCGTTCTCCAGCCATCCTGCCCGCCTGAAAAGCATGCAGTGCTGACCCACTTACTAAAGGGCTAGTGTGTGCAGTTTTTCTTCTAGCTTTTTGCCCTGAAATTGTTATTCAGTTGCCACTTAACATTTTATCTGATTCCATCTTTAATATGTGGTTGACTGCAGTACCATGCTATTACTCAGAATGTAGTTCTTTCCAACTTCAAAGTATCTTATCATCATCAATTGAGATTAACACCTCTGTGAAATGTGTTACAGAATTATTGCGTTGATTTTGTTTGCTTTTTGCTAGTTGACTCCCTTTTTCTTGTTATTTCATGCATTTTGAGCATTTCAATGATTTCTTCCAGCTGCCTAGTACCTATTTCGAGGACATACTGTGGTATTAATGTAACTTGAATGGCACAAATTGTTCTCATGTTCATGAATGTAACAAAAGTCTTAAACCACATTAGTGACTTTCAGTCTGTATTGTCAACTATCCTGAACTCTCTTCAAATAATTCTCACAAATGCTACTGAGAGCCCCTGATAGAGAAAGGTGGCTCAGAGGTGAGTCCATCATGGGAGGCTTGGAGTCAGCTCCTGAGAGGGCTGAGTAGAGCTTGCCTTCGACTGAGCTGTGGAGAAACCGTTTTCTATACTCACAGCATCTGCTCTGTTGAAGCTTCTTGTTAATATGCCCCTCACAATTCCATGTATGTCACCCAAATCTGACATGACAACACCTGCTTGTCACCGTGAGATCTTGCTGTTGTTTCTCGTGAAGGAGAAAGTATGTCTGCGGAGCATCCCAGGGCATAAGTGAGAAAAGAAGCAGCTGCACTGGGGATGGACCAGGAGGCAGAGGCCCCTCATGTAATGTGGGGAACGTGCCCTGTGCACCTGCAGAGCCCACCTCTGCACGTGGGTGCCATGAGGGCTGTGCTGGGATGCTGGGTTACCTATGAGTTCCCCGTTTAAGCTGACGCTGTGGCACTCGGTGCATCAGATGGCATCTCTGCACTCTCGCTGGCCGATGGCCAAGCTGTTGTTGAATGGCCGCCTCCATTCTGCCCCGCAGACATGCCACCACTAACTGGCTGGCATCTGGGGCTGATTCTGTATTTAGAGAAGAGGAGGACGTGTTGCCATGGGGGAGTTGGCTCCATTGATCTAGAATCTCATGGTGGTCCTGCTGCACAGCTCTCAGGACAAGCACCAGGATTAAGCACTGCAGAGGAGCCCTGGCAAAGGCTGGGATAACCTCATTTTATGTGACCAAGGATGATTAATTTTTCAAATTTGGGCCCATGTAGAGGCCATTGTAAGTATATTTGTTTCATTGCTGGATGGTTGCAGCGCTGAATATTTTTTTTTACCCACGTGCAGAGATTTCTTTGAAAATTAGAGGGAAACATGCAGGCTTTCTCTGGCACATGTAAGCATGTGGAGGAATTTTCTCAACCTCCTCTTGAGGATGGTGTCCATGGCAACAGAAGGCTGTTCTGTGAAGGAATTCTCAATTAGCGCTAAATACACGCATGCTGTGTCTCCTACTTCCCTGCACAGAGCACTCACTTTCACAGGGATTTCAAGGCTTTTTTTTTTAAGTGTTATGACATTATATATTAATATAATTTGTTTTTAAGCTGCTTATATTTATTAAGCCCAGAATTTTTATATAGATCAATATTCTACTGGAGCAATATCTTGGCTATTCTAATAGGTGTGGGCTGAAGTTAGAGACCAGATAGGGATGAGAGTGCTACCGAGATGCAGGAAATCCAGGCTCCATAGTGACTTCAGACCATTGATTCCACCCATCCAGCACTCAGTGCTTCACGGATCAAGTTAATTAGATCTCTATCATGTTTTTATGCAATATAGAGATCTAGTTAACTTTATACACACACACACACACACACACACACACACACACACACATTCCCAAGAGGCATTGCCAAAATGGAGAGTGTAAACAGTAGAACGGTGTAGCAGACAACCTTTTCTGTAATAAGAAAGGTAGAATGGGAAAATCTTGGGAAGGATCTGTAAACAACAAAGAACAATATTGATATGTTTAAGAGGGCTTGGAATTCGGCAGATGAAATTAGAAGGAAAAAAGTCTTTCCCTAGTAGATCCCTACATATGTTATAGCTTTAAACCATGTAAACAACTTACCTATAAACATTTGAAAAGAAAATTTACCTATGTTCCATTAGTGGTTCTTGAACTAATTATTAAACTATAATTCTCATAACAGTTTGGAGGGATCAAAATGTTTGATATACAAACATTTATTAAGCACCAATTATGCACATGGCAGTTTGCCAGTATCTTGCCAAAACATATATAATTTCTTACATAAAAAAAAGCTCAGAAGGCCACAAGAAGCCTAAAAATCACTCTAAAACAGCTTCCCCCCAGTGGTATAAGTAGGGGACTGCAGGGATTTGGAGGAAGACAAGGTGACAGCCATGGTGGAGATAAGGAAGGTTTCTGAGATAATGTATTCAGGAAAGGGCATGCCAGCAAGATGAAAAATGTGTGCTTAATTTGTTCGGCAATCAGAAACCACTGAAGTGTTTGGAATGGAGAAACCTAATCATAGGTCCTGCTTTTCAAGAAAGGTTATGACTGGTGATCCCTTTCACATAAGGTAAAACAGTAATAGCCGCCATTTTACAATTTATAGAACAGATGCTATTTCAAGCACATTTTATGAAGTACTTTAAATGCATTGTCTCTTCAATCTTTACAACACCTCTATCAATGGATAAATGGATAGATAGATGGATAGGTGGATGGATGGGTGAGTGGATGGATGGATGGCTGGATGGATTAATGGATGGATGGATGAATGGATGAATTGGTGGATGAGTGGATGGGTGGATGGTGGATGAATTGGTGGATGAGTGGATGATTTGATGGATGGGTAGAAGGGTGCGTGGTTGGATGGATGGGTGGTTGGGTAGATGAGTTGATGGATGGATGGGTTGATGGATGGGTGGCTGGGTTGCTGAGTGGATAGATGGATGTATGCATCCATCCATTTAATAACACATAAATGGATAGATTGGTGGGTGGGTGGGTGGTAGATTGATGAGTGGATTTAATGCCTGAAGTAACTCACAGCTATTTTATTATTAAATCTTTATTTTGCGTATATTTTAATGGGGTTCCAAAGGGTTAAGCAGCCAGCATACAGTCATGTGAATGGCATATGAGAGAGGAAGGACTGGGTCCATGATGCTGAAGGTTTCATGCCTCACCACGTAAGAGTTAGTGCTGGTGAGATCTGCCAATTGGTGAGAAAAAAGTATCTACTACAAATAGGCATTTAAAAAAAAATATGATGTAAAATTCACTTTCTCTCAAAACTTATCAGGAAATATGTATATAACATATAAAAATCAATCAAATTTAATCAGAATTTTTTAAGATTGCAATAATTCTAGGTCAAATTCAATCAAAGCTCAGGCAACCAGGTTGAAAGAGAGGAATCCTTGCCATTATCTGATCTAGAAACAAACTGCTTATTTGAGGAGTGATAACTCTGCTACAGGTGTGAGTAAATTCTGAATATTGTTTTATTATCATCTGTTTATTATTATCTACGTGCTATTCTACTTATTTTTACCATCAAAATGTGGAAAATATATTATTAAATTAGGCCAGTATTAAATCCAGTCTTAGTTTCAATGTGGAGATAGAAGGATGTCTGTTATATATGCACCCCTGCCATGAGTTTTGAGCCCAAATTTTATTAAGGAGACCAGTGAGTATGGCTTGGTTGAGAAGAAGCAGGATGATGTCTCACCATTACCCAGGGGACTAGCAGAAGAAAGGGGAAATTTTTCTTCCAGGATTTTGAATTTAAACCACTTAGGGGAACAGAGAAGACTTCACTACAAAACAAAACTGAAAGAAATATTAATAACTCAAGAACAAGATTCTCTGTGGAGACCAGTGTCCATGGACAATGGGCACCTCAGTGGGTTTGAGTGTTATTTCTGATGACATCAAGGACTAGGTTCCCAAGAAAGGGTATCGCCTCCTCCTACCCACAGAAATACACATCAGTAATATGTGGGCCTCTGGGAACTCAGACACAAATCTGGAAAAAAGGAGGGCTCAGTGGGTTGGGAGACCAAAATAAAATTTAAGGTAAAGTTTAGAAAAAAATGTTACTATATTTGCACAAACAAAAAAGACAATAGGATTCCCATCTTTGGTTATTCTCTAGAGCCAAGGGTGATTATATCTGATGATCCCACCCTCACTGGTGCCCGCTTCTGTCCTTGAAGTTTATTCTTGCTTTTTCTCAACCAAACCATACTCACTACTCTCTTTAAAAAAAACCCTGGCTCAAAACTCCTGCCAGAGATGTATAAATAACATACATCCTTCTGTCTCCATATTGAACCTAAGATTGGATTAAATGTTGACTTAAGTTTAATATACCTGCCACACTTTTGGTAATTGACAAGGAAAACATAAATGCAACCACACACAGACAATATAAAACAATATATTGAGGATGGACAGGGTGAGGATGGACAAGGCCTATGGCGCCCATTCCCACTCAACAGATTCTGCTCTCTCTGTCAATCATAAGTCTTTCAGAATAGCCTAGCCTGTATGTTAATAATTGGCAAGCCTCCCCACTCAGAGTTACTGGAAGAAAACAAATGGTATAACTTAAGCTACACTTCTTAGTCTTAATGCGATTCTGTGAAGATAACGGAATTCATACCTTAAAATGCGTGGCTGTACTATTTGACTTGCAGCAGAAGTACCTTTTCACGTCTTCACGGTATCTGGTGATCTTGGAGTTGGTTATGGATAACAGCTATACTGTTTTCACTCTTTGTTAGGACATTTTAACCAGAGCTTAAAATGAATCAAAAAGGATGTTGCTAAGTAAATGTGTGTACCTCTACCTTCTCACCACATTAAATAGCAATTAGGTTTTGAGACCCAATGTAAATAAGTGTGGTAATAACATTTCTTAGAGAAGGACCCAGAACGGCAAGTGCTGAAAATTTTCTCTGGGAAGCCTTTTAGTCTCTGTGCTGTGTCTCTTAAGGGCATTCCATTAGGAGACCTGTTTGCCATGAGCCTTTCAGAAACTTTTATGAATTAGCCCTTAGTTTCCTAATTTTCTATCAGCCCATTTTTCTTAAATGAGAAAAAAAAAAAACAAATGACATTTAAAAATTGAAGCATAAACTCCCCTGGGAAGACTGAAAGCTACATGTTCTCTTTTATTTTGTTGCACACACACAGATGATTTGCTGAGAGTCTGAGAAAACAAAATCAGTACATGTGTCAGCCATGTTGCAGCAGCAACTTACATTCTGGGACTGATCATCTCAGCCAAAGAAATCATGTTGTTAAAAAAAAAATGGACAAAAGAAATACATTTAAGACCTTTGGAAGAAGCAGGCAGGGCTGATCTGCAATGCATTTGTCTCTGTTTCCACCTCCCTCATGCTTTTAATGGGCTGCCTAGCGGTGCTTGTGCTACATTCTGTGCTCCGTGCTGGGCTGGGCTTGCTTCCTGTGGATCCAAAACCTATTTCTGTCTCTCCCCACACCTTTTGGGAGGTGCAGGGGATAAAGTTGTTGGTGGGTTGTCCAGCTCCCAGGATGGTCACTGCAGACCCCACCACCTATCTTTAGAAGCTCCAGACTGCACTTAATTTCACCGTAGGGTGTGGCACAAACACAAATGGTTTACAGACCCTGTTTTCTCTGCTGGCTGCTGCTTCTGACATGACTGAATATCTCAACCATAGCAAACTAGTCTGTCACATCAATGTTTGTGTTTCTTTTTTTCTTTTGTTTGCTTTTACAAAGGTTAACTGGGAAGTTGATGGGCCAGGAAATTCTTTGCTGTGGAGCTGCCCCCTGCCCTGTGTCTGCAGGGCGTTTAGCAGGACCCCTGGCCTCCACCTGCTGGATACCAGATCACCCTCCTCCCTAGTGTGACACCAAAAATGTGTCCAGACATTGCCAAATCCTCTCTGGGAGGCACGATCTCCTACTGGTCTAGAAAACAGCCAAACTCATGGCTCAGGATAATCTAATGCAACAAATTATTTAAACTCTGCCTTAAGTTAGTTTGTTGAACATACAGTGTTAAGAACCAACACTGTGTGACTTAAGACAGGTGGTACTTGGGTTTAATCTCCACATGATCTTATTCAATGTTCAGACCCTTTAAAAAGCATAAATTATTGGTGTTGTTGAAAAGACATCTGTCTCCTGAAAACTAAGTTGACTTATAAAAGCCATGAGGAAAGAAGCCTACAGGAACGCCTAAGCAATCTGTTAATGTGCTGCAGTATGATCTACACTGTGTGTGTGTGTTTGCATCACTACAAAGGAATATCTGAGGCTGGGTAATTTATAAAGAAAGGAGGTTTAATTGGCTCATGGTTCTGCAGGTTGCACAAGCATGGCACCATATGCTCCTGGTAAGGGCCTCAGGAAGCTTCCAATCATGGTGGAAGGTAAAGAAACAGGCATTTCTATATGGCAAGAGTGGAAGCAAGAGGGCAAGCGGGGAGGTGCCACACTTTTACACAACCAGATCTTACATGAACTCAGAACAAGAACTCATTCATCAACAAGGGTATGGGACTAAGTCATTCATGAGAATTCTGCCCCAGTGATACAATCACCTCCCACCAGGCATCACCTCCACCTGGGAATCATATTTAAACATGAGATGTGGAGGAGGTACACATGCACACTACATCGTATACCCGATGAGCACTGATGACTCATCATATACCCGATGAGTACCGGCAACCATGACACTGTGCAGCCAGGATGCTCCCCTCACATCCTTGCCCTCCTCTCGATCGCTGTGAACTTAGGTAAGTCTCATGGACACAGAGATGCAAATTTTCACCACGCATCTCCATCGCTTATTTGGGTCATTATGAGGTGGAGTTTCCACTGTGTAAAAACCCTCTGTCAACTCCACAGCTCTGTACAATAACCGTGTGTTGTGTTACTTTTGCTAATCTTGTGTGTGGCCTAATGAGATGAGAAGATGCATGAGTGCCCTGTGTGCCCTGCAGAAGCCTGGCCTCTACTTGAGAAGATCACGTGTTGACAGGAAGAGGAAACTAAAGGAGTTAAATGACCCAAAGAGCCCACAGGAAGAGCCTGCGGAGCACACACCTGAGGGCCAGGGTGGGACCAGGCTGAATGCATGGGTTCCAGGGGCTGCAGCAGTCCTGATGGTGATCACAGACACAAGAAAGCTCACTCCAGCCTCACTGCCGTGTAGCAAAGCAGGAATCAGAGGGGAGAAGCAGAGGGAGTTCCTGCTGCAGCGCCTCGGTCACCTGGGAGTCCCACGGAATAGAGAAAGTGCCACGGAGCAATGAACACTGGGTTTAAAGCAATGGGAAGGAGGCCAGGGAAGAGGCTGGGGAGGGAGGCTGGGGGAGATGGTGCTCCCTGTGGTTGCAGGGAGATTGGAAGAGGTGGCAGAACAGAGGTTAAGGGAGACTGGGACCACAAGGATGAAGGACGCTGCAGCCTGGCCGCCGCTGGCGTGAGAGGAGCTGGGCCCCCTAGCCCACACTGTGAAGACGACACTTTATCCTGATGCTCCCATGTCAGTCTCACAGGGCCCCAAAGCAAGATGGGGCAAATGGCTCTAAAAGGAGAAGGTTCTCAAAAGAAATGGACACGGCAGACTTTTGTTCAAGAAGAGAACCCTGGGGCCTCTGCCTGGGAGCGTGGCCTCGGTATTCTCAGAGTGCCTGGCACACAGTCCATCCTCAGGAAGGTGAGCTGGGGGTAGGATAACTCCACACTCTCCACACCTGCAATGCGGACTCACCCCTGAAAGGAACAAAAGCAGAGATACCTGGTGTCTTCAGAGAGCCTTTCACCAAGGCTCCTCATATCAGAATAGACAAGGGGGTGTTTACTGCATTTTGTTTTGGCTTTTTAGATGGCACTATTTAAAGTTAGAGTGCACAGAATGAGGCATTTTGGTTATTTGGAAGATCTCCCCTGAGTTGACTTGGATACGGGAGACATTTGTAAATAGCATGTCTAGGAACCTGAACAACCTGAAAAGAATGAACTCATGTTTGATATAGACCACCCATGAGAAAGAAGAAAGGGGAGGCAAGGCCAGACTGCTGCCTCTGAAAGGGAGCAGAGCGGGGGCTCCTGTGCCCTCCAAGGCTGCCAAGCACAGTGGCCCCCACAGCTGTCTGTGTGCATGTCCCTTGCACAGCAGGAATATTGTGAGCAGCAAGTGAGAGCTTCGTGGCACCCTGGACAGACCTGCCTTGGGTGACTCAGTGAACAGAAAAAGGAAAGAAGAATAGAAATCCTGGTTCAATGTCTCTTTCTTCTGATATTGCAAAAATAAAAATCACTTTTTAAATATTCGCTGTGGTCATTCTTTTGTGATGAAGAAAGTGCAATGATAATTGTTAATAAAAATTTTAAATTATGAGCTCAATTATTAAGCATGCGTGAACCATGTGTAAAACCCACAGGTGGGCGCCACAGACCCACCCATGAACATCCCACGCGTGTCCACGTTCACCAGGGCTCCTCCTCAGCGGCATCTGGGGCCCAACTCGCAAAGCAAAGCTCTGCTCCGCCCCTCTGTGCAATTCCCCCTGGGCATGATAGTCAGAGGACGCCGTATCTGACCACAGTTCCAACCCAAGTATGACAGCTGGACAGAGTAAAGTGCTGAGTGTGAGCGGTCAGGGGGTGCCCGGGGCGATGAGGAGAGCCGTGGAGTCACCACACAGACCTGATGCTCATGTATTTATTCAGGTGAGGATGGTGGTGTCCTGTCAAAAACCCTTTGGCCCATAGATTGCAGAGAGAAGCCACAGGCAGACACTCACAGATGGAAAACGACTGCTCTCCTCTCCTCCTCACTGACTTAGACACAGTGAAAACCAAGAATTCCTTGGTGTAGTGACCCCCCGCGGCCACAGGTGGGGGCTCGCAGGATAGCTCCCCTGATGTGAGGTGCTGACACTGCTTCTGGGGTGTCTCCAACCCAAGCAGGGTCTTGTCGGATAGCATACGCTTAATTTCTTATGACGCCACAGTCCTTGTGTATTCAGGGCCTACATGACCCTTTTCATAGAACTCTTGTAACAACAATGCCCATACTGAGGAGCATTGATGATACCAGGCCCTTGCTGGCTCTCCAGATAAACTCAGCCTCACCTGGAGAGAGAAAGGAGAGTTGGCAGAGGTGGGATCAGGTGGCCTGGATGCTGTCCTCTCTGTTGTCTGCATTGCTGTGTCCCAGAAAGCCCCTTTTCCCCAGGGACTAACGGGAAACTCAGCCCTGGCTTCTGTCACAACTTGGGGGCACCCCCTGGGACACAGCGCTTCTCCCTCTCCACTTCTTGGTCTCTGTTTTTGTCTCTACTAAAGTCTAGGAGGTTTTGTGACATTTACATTGTCTGATCATTTTTTGATTACATAGCAAAGCAAATTTGAGACCCCTGCTGGACTGGGTTCCTTGGAGACACGGCTCGCTTGAAGGAGCAGCAGGTGACAACAGGGCTGAATGCTAGACATGAGAACTTTCTAGTTTCTGATAATCTTTTTTTTATATACTTTAAGTTCTAGGGTACATGTGCACAACGTGCAGGTTAGTTACATATGTATACATTTGCCATGTTGGTGTGCTACACCCATTAACTCATCATTTACAATAGGTATATCTCCTAATGCTATCGCTCCCCCCTCCCCCCACCCCACAGCAGGCCCCGGTGTGTGATGTTCCCCTTCCTGTGACCAAGTGTTCTCATTATTCAATTACCACCTATGAGTGAGAACATGCGATGTTTGATTTTTTGTCCTTGTGATAGTTTGCTGAGAATGATGGTTTCCAGCTTCATCCATGTCCCTACAAAGGACATGAACTCATCATTTTTTATGGCCACATAGTATTCCATGGTGTATATGTGCCACATTTTCTTAATCCAGTCTATCATTGTTGGACATTTGGGTTGGTTCCAAGTCTTTGCTATTGTAAATAGTGCCGCAATAAACATACATGTGCGTGTGTCTTTATAGCAGCATGATTTATAATCCTTTGGGTATATACCCAGTAATGGGATGGCTGGGTCAAATGGTATTTCTAGTTCTAGATCCCTGAGAAATCACTGCCACACTGTCTTCCACAATGGTTGAACCAGTTTACAGTCCCACCAACAATGTAAAAGTGTTCCTATTTCTCCACATCCCCTCCAGCACCTGTTGTTTCCTGACTTTTTAATGATCGCCATTCTAACTGGTGTGAGATAGTATCTCATAGTGGTTTTGATTTGCATTTCTCTGATGGCCAGTGATGACAAGCATTGCCAAGTCAATCCTAAGCCAAAAGAACAAAGCTGGAAGCATCACGCTACCTGACTTCAAACTATACTACAAGGCTACAGTAACCAAAACAGTATGGTACTAGTACTGAAATAGAGATATAGACCAATGGAACAGAACAGAGCCCTCAGAAGTAATACCACACATCTACAACTATCTGATCTTTGACAAACCTGACAAAAACAAGAAATTGGGAAAGGACTCCCTATTTAACAAATGGTGCTGGGAAAACTGGCTAGCCATATGTAGAAAGCTGTAACTGGATCCCTTCCTTACACCTTATACAAAAATTAATTCAAGATGGATTAAAGACTTAAATGTTAGACCTAAAACCATAAAAACCCTAGATGAAAACCTAGGCAATACCATTCAGGACATAGGCATGGGCAAGGACTTCACGTCTAAAACACCGAAAGCAATGGCAACAAAAGCCAAAATTGACAAATGGGATCTAATTAAACTAAAGAGCTTCTGCACAGCAAAAGAAACTACCATCAGAGTGAACAGGCAACCTACAGAATGGGAGAAAATTTTTGCAATCTACTCATCTGACAAGGGGCTAATATTCAGAATCTACAAAGAACTCAAACAAATTTACAAGAAAAAAACAAACAACCCCATCAACAAGTGGGCAAAGGATATGAACAGACACTTCTCAAAAGAAGACATTTATGCAGCCAAAAGACACATGAAAAAATGCTCATCATCACTGGCCATTAGTTTCTGATAATCTTTTTTTTTTTTTGTACATTGTTTTCATTTTATTATCACAGCATGTTTGTGAGAAATACTTTAAAATTCTTCAGCCTAAGAGTAAAAAAAGCCCCCCCGCCCCACCCCCTGCTCCGCTGTCAGTTTTCTCCCTTCTGTGTCTTGCATACTGGCTCATTGACTTTCTCCACTCCAGGTATCCTAACATCTTAACAGTCTCCTTGCTGGAAAGAAATCTTCAGTGGCATAATCTTTTTTAAAAAGATTTGGGATGATACATTTGAGGGAGACAAACTCTAATGAAAACGCTCTTTAAGAAGGTAGCAAAAATAAAATATTTTTATTATGCTTTTATTATTGTCAGTTCATCCTCTGTATTTACAGATTTTATGTCTGTGAATTTGCCTGCTTACAAAAATGTATTGTAACCTGAAAATCGATGCTTGTGGTGCATTCAAAGTTACACACACACCCATGTGGAGAGGCAAAAGCTTGAGCTGCCCAGCACACACCTTCAGCTGCTAAAGGGCAGGGCGATGCCCGGTCTCCTGACTTCAGCTCCATACCATAAACAAGGGTCTTTTTCAAGGTCTGGTTACTGCTCTGTGTGTCACTTTTTGGTGATTTTGCTGCTTACAACAGCCCCCAAGTGCAGTGCTGTGGTTCTGTCTAGTGTTTCTAAGTGCAAGGAGGCTAGGATGTGCAGCACATAGAAAAATACGTGTGTTATGACTTCAGGCAGAGCTGCAGGTCCATGGCCATGAGTTCAGTGGTGATGAATCAAACATACATACCTTATTTCATTGCACTTCCCTTTACTGTGCTTCACGGATCGTGTATGTTTTATAAATTGCAGGTTTGTGACAACCCTGCGTCAATCAAGTCTATTGATGCCATTTTTTCCAACAGCACTTGCTCATGCAGTATCTGTGTCACATTTTGGAAATTCTTACAATATTTCAAACTTTTTTATTATCATCATATCTGCTTTGGTTATCTGTGATCATTCATCTTTGATGTTACTATTGTAATTTCTGGAGGGCACTGCAAACAGCACCCATTGGAGATGGCAAACTTGATTGATAAATGTGTGTGTTCTGACTGTTCCGCCAGTCATTCTTCTATCTCCCCCTTCTAAACTGACCTCCCTATTCCCTAAGACAAGCATATTGAAATTAGGCCAACGAACAACCCTGCAATGACCTCCAAATATTCAAGTAAAGGAAGAGTTTTATGTCCCTTATGTTAAATTTAAAGCTAGAAATGATTAAGCTTAGTAAGGAAGGCATGTTGAAACCTAAGACAGGTCAAAAGCTAGATTTCTTGTGCTAAACAGCCAATTTTGAATGCAAAGAAAATATTCTTGAATGAAATTAAAGGTGCTACTTCAGTGAACATAAGAATAATAAATGGAACCAGCCTTATTGCTGATATGGGGAAAGTTGTAGCGGTCTGGATAGAAGATTAGAGCAGCCACAATATTCCCTTCAGTCAAAGCTTAATCCAGAGAAAGGCCCTAACTCTCCTTAATTCTACAAAGGCTGAGAGAGATGAGGAAGCTGCAGAAGAAAAGTTTGAAGCTGGCAGAGGTTGGTTTATGAGGTTCAAGGAAAGAAGTCATCTCTGTAACATAAAAGTGCAAGGAGAAGCAGCAAGTGCTGATGGAGAAGCTGCAGCAAGTTCTCCAGAAGATCCAGGTAAGATCACTGATGAAGTTGGTTACATTAACAACAGATTTTCAGTGTAGATGAAACAGCCTTATATTGGAAGAATATAAGCCATCTAGGGCCTTCAGAGCTGGAGAGGAGAAATCAATGCCTGGCTTCAAAGCTTCTAAAGACAGGTTGATCTCTTCTTAGGGGCCAACACAGCTGGTGAATTTAAGTTGAAGCCAATGCTTACATATCATTTCAAAAATCCTAGGGCCCTTAATTGTTATGCTAAACCTACTCTCCTCTTGCTCTATAAATGGATCAACAAAGCCTGGATGACAGCACATCTGTTTACAGCATGGTTTACTAAATACTTCAAGCCTACTGTTGAGACCTACTGCTCAGAAAAAAAAGATTTCTTTCAAAATATTACTGCTTATTGACAGTGTGCCTGGCCACCCAAGAGCTCTGATGGGGATGTGCAAGGAGATTAATGTCATTTTCATGCCTGAAACACAACATCCATTCTACAGACCATGGATCAGGAGTAATTTCAATTGTCAAGTCTTATTATTTAAGAAATAGCATTTTGAAGACAATAAGTGCTATGGATAGTGATTTCTCTGATGGATCTGGGCAAAGTCAATTGAAAACTTTCTGGAAAGAATTCACAATTGGTGATTCATGAGAGGAGGGCCAAATAACATTAACAGAAGGTTGGAGAAGTTGATTCCAATGCTCATAGATGATTTTAAGTTCACCCAAGACTTCAGTGGAGGATATAACTGCAGATGTGGTAGAAATAGCAAGAGAACTAAAATTAGAAGTGGAGTTTAAAGATGCGACTGAATTGCTGCAATCTCATGATCAATCTTGAATGGATGAGGAGTTGCTTCTGAAGGATGAGCAAAGGAAGTAGTTTCTTGAGACGGAATCTACTTCTGGTGAAGATGCTGTAAACACTGTTGAATCAACAACAAGAATTTAGAATATTACATAAGCCCAGTTGATAAAGCAGCAGCAGGGTTTGAGAGGATGGACTCCAATGTTTAAAGACTTTCTAAGGTGGTTAAAGTCCTATCAAACAGCATCATGTGCCTCAGAGAAATCTTTAGTGAAAGGAAGATGTGGAAATAGTTTTCCAATAGAAGTTTTCCAATAGATATGGAAAACTTCATCGTTGCCTTATTTAAAGAAATTGCCACAGCCACCCAACCTTCAACAACTGCCACCCTGATCAGTCAGCAGCCATCGACATTGAGGCAAAACCCTCCACCAGCAAAGAGATGACAACTCCCTGAAGGCTCAAGTGATCCTTAGAATTATTGAGCAATAAAGCAATTTGAAATTAAGATATGTACATTTTTAGACATAATGCTATTGCACACTTAATAGACTACAGTATAGTGTAAACATATCATTTATATGCACTTTTTTGGAATGAAAAAATTGTGTAGCTTCCTTTATTACCGTATTCCCTTTATTGTGGTGGTCTGGTGTGAGCCTGCAGTATCTCTGAGGTATGCCTGTATTAAACAGGGTGTGTTTAAACAGAAACACACATAAAACAAGTTTATGTTTTGATTGATTGACAAAGATGTTGTGAGCAGAGCATCTCAGGAAACTAACCCTGCATTTACTCCAGGAGCAATGGCTCAGAATCCTTCATTTCTGTTTGCTCTGACTTTATAGGATGTGACTCCCATGAATAATGGCAGCAGACTGTGTATGATACCTGCAGAGGGATGGGATGGGGACAAGCTTGAACTCAACATAGATTCTAACTCAGACTATCCCACCTGTCTCATTTAATGTTTGAAGGACAGGAACTGCTGTGTCTGGTGTGTTGTGTATATTATCTCACTTATGTTCACAGGGACTGAGTGCAAGGGTGTTATGACATATTTTCACTGCCAGGAAAAGGTCAAGTGACTTGTCCAAGGCTATTTAATGAATCAGTGGAGGAGAGGAGGAGATAGAGAGGGGAGAGAGGAGAGGAGTGGATGAAAAGGAGAGAGACAGAGACAGAGTCAGAGACAGCGACAGAGACAGAGAGAGGAAGATAATAACTGAACCAGGTCTGTACCTTCCAGCTCAATTTCCTCCTCCTACTCTGTGCTATTAACCTCCGTCCATCTGTATAATGAGAAGATTGGACCAAATGGTTGCACAAAGTCCTTGCAGCTCTTATATTTCTGAATCTCTGCTGATGTTTAAGACTTTCTGCACACCCCATATAAATGACAGTCATTTTCCAAGTCCTCTCTAGATCCCACCTCTCAACAGTCCTTCATGAAACACTATCGAGATTTCTGTTTCTTTCATGTGTGTAGCTTTATTAGGAAAGACCTAAGAAGACAGGAGAGATGGATCTCCTGAGGCTCTGCTCCTCCAGCCATTCCCTACCCCAGGCATTCAGTGCTTACAGCAGTTTTCGGTACAATAGCAAACACTTTGTAAAGCCCTTCTGCAGTACTTCCTGAAGGGTGGCGGTGCAGTTTTCATTTGCAAGCCTGATTGTACCTGGTGTATTTAAAATGAGATTGACATTGCCTTAACAATAGAGCAAATAGATCCCCCAAAATTGCTCGAAGTTAAATTACTTTAGACCTGACCCTCTTATTGTAAATTCCAAATAACCGCACATTTCATATTTTCCTCCATGTGTAAAGCCAGAGGGCTCCTTTCTTTTTTGTGAAATCAGTTTTTGTAGATCTGTTCTACTGATGTATCTAACAGTATTAGTATCCCACTGTTTATCATATTCATTATTTGGTAAATGTCTTTTAAAACTTAACAGAAATGATACAACTATTTCTTTTAACAAATTTACTTTTTAAAAAAGCAAAAAGCAGGAAAATGTTTTTTGGTAGGATTCAGTCTGTATTTGTAGGATACTTGAGAGTGCTGTTTTCTTATGGTTTGATTTTAAAAAATGAGACAGGCTCTATGCTTTTGCTTTTAATAGGATACAAACCTCATAAAACTGGTCGTAATTGTTCGTTCAAATTGCTGACTGCATTCTTTCTTTAAAAGTATTATTCAGGTTAGAAGCATGGCGTCTCTTTGGGTACACTAATCTGTATTGAAGCTCAAGTAGAGGAAAATTACATATTTTTTATACTAGTACTTAGAACTAGCTATCTTTTTTTTTTTCCAGTAAATCAACCCCTTTTGAATCAGACCCGTTAGTGCAGGTTGGACGCAGCTGGCCCCGCTCCCACAGGCTCCATCAGCCTCATCCACCACCAGTGCCTGGGATTGTCTCACTTCAGGGCCCAGGGGAAGGACTGGATCCACTGGTCGCTCTAGTGATGCCCAGGCCAACAGCCTACTGTGAGTTTAGGGTCATGAGCACAGGCCTCACCACCAGGACTGCAAACACCTCATAGAACACTGTCTCTTGAGATAGGAATCCTCACTGAATTCCTCAGGCTTCTGGTTCTGTGTGTGACATTTCCATGGAGGAGAAGGGCTCATGGTTTCCCACTGGTGCCAGTGCTGCTCTCCCAATGCATTTTATTTTCCGTCTTCTAGAGAAAGCGAGTCAGTCATCACCTTCTCTTCGGTGATGCCCATGCCAAGTCAGAGAAGTCCCCTTCACACACGGCCTTTCCCCTGTGGTCAGGCAGCTATCACACTGTATGTGGCTCAGCTCTAGTGCTGTAACGAGCCACACTCATGTGCCGCTCACCATGTGCTGGGCACTCTTCTCTGTGCTGTTGGCTGCATGACCTCTTGTTGACCCCTCCTAACCATCCTGCAAGTTAGAGATTTACACTCGTGTGTTACAGAGGGAGAAACATGCTCAGAGAGTCTGACCAACTCAGCCGTGATCACAAAGTGGATGCATGGTCAAGGCAAGGCTATGGAGCCCCAGTAGACCACGTGTGGTGTTTATAGCGAATGGTTCCCATGTTAGCAAGCTGTCACTGGCCCGTTCTGTGCTTAAAAGCCATTATAGATTAGTTTTGAATGTCATGGTCTTTTGTTTCCTTTTTCTTTTGACTTGATCTATTTGTAGTAGCTCTTCCCAGAGAAGCACTGGGTTAGTCCCTTGTCAATGAGTCGTGTTTGGATAATAGGAACTACATTCAGTTCATGGACAGGGCACATGGCGGTTGTTAAAAACCAAGACTAATAAGCACAAATCATATTTTATTTAGGACCAAGCTCTTATTTAACAGATTCTAAAATACTTTTGAAAAGCCAACCTTGCCGAAGCTGTATGAGATGTTTCTGTTAATTAATGGAGCCCGCCAATTTGCCAAATGCTGTGTGATCCCCTCAGCAGCATAGATGAACCTGCAGGGCCCCTCCTGGGTGTCCTTTCAGGGCTGACCTCAGAAGCCTGACCCTAAAGCTTCACTTTGCCTATTACCTGTGGCACCCTAGCCTTTCTCCAGTGATAAGAAATTTCCCAAACAAAGAAAAAGGGAAGAACATTAATGGCATTAAGAGTTTTGTAAAACATGCACATGAAGGCTTTCAGCTTATTTGGCATTGCAAACCTATCCTTTTTTTAAAAAAAGAAGACAAGCATAGCCTACCCAGAACTCATAGTACCTGGCCTCTACCTGTAATCAGGGGGACTCCCGTAATGCACCCAAGACTGAAAGAGAAACTGAAGGCAGCGGCAGGCGGATGATAAACTGTGGGCTCTGACCGTGGTGTCACGGGGAGTTACGTGTGGAATCCTGGTTGCAGGGGACAGTGGGGTCAGCCTGGGCTGACATAATTCATCCTTCAACTCAGAGGGCATTGGAGCTTGGGAAGTCAGGGATATTTTCTCCTAAGACAATGCTGTTTGGCTTCTTTTTCAGCATAATAAATTGATTTTGCTTTGAGAATGCTGTGGCCTGCATGAGGTTGGCAGGGGGCATCTGAGGGGCAGGCATCCCCGGAGCTGTGAGGCAGGAGCAGTGGCGCAGGTGTGGGACACCAGCTGAATAAGAACTTCAGGAGGAAAAAGAAGAAGCCAAAGGTGTCTAACAAATAAGGAGAGAATCTTCCTAAGGGGAAGTTCCAAGAAACTACGTAAACAAGCCCTTTGTGTGAGATCCAATCAGCAGAGAGCAGCTAAGAGAGCGGAGGCCTGGGGTTCGGTCACCGGGGCTCCTTTGCTAGCCTCAGAACCAACAGCAGGGCAGGCAGAAGCCAGGGACCTTCAGCTAAGGGGGTGATAAGGCATGGAGGTTGTCAGGATTGCAGAGTGATTCTATGTGTGAAATGTCTCAGGTTTTATTCATTACAAAGTGAGTACAAATTAAAATGGTAGAACAAATGGGTATGATGGCAAGCTGCAGGCTTTTTTCTGTTCCGAGATTAACTGCCTATTTTTCAACTGTTGGCTTTAGTGTTTCACCACCGCCTTCCATAACTACTATGTACAAGTATAAAATGAATAGTATTAAAAATAATGTTTAAAGTAATGTAATTATACAAATAATTTCAGTTTAAATGCATATTCCTTATTATGCAGATTGGTTTAACGGCCCCATACTTTGATGGAGTGCTCCGTTGACACAATGTTGATCTTTGGTGCTATATTATCTAGATTATTTAGCGCATCTCTTCCTAACAGCATGTTGCCTTACTAAAGAGTAAACTGTGAGGTCTGGCCCTCCATACTCACTGTTCCCTTAATTTCAGTCTTCTTTATCAAGACAGAGGCATGTTATAAGCAGGAAGACCCTAAGAAGTGAGATCACAGTGATGTAGTCCTTCATTTTTCTTCGAAATCAGAATGAGATCCAACAGAAACAATAACCATTGTTTACAGAATTTTTATAAGAAATACTAGCGGTAGGTTGAGATTCCATTCCCTTCTCCCTGGGTCAAGCCCACCTATGGAGGGGCTGGGAGAAAAGGGAACACCCAAACGCATTCTTCATGAAAAGGAGGGAGTCTGTGGATCAGGAAACCGAGTGGGGACAGAGGGGCCTGAGAGCGCGGTGTCTCAGAGAGAGGTGCGTGTGGGTCGATTCCAGCACCCCATGTGGAAGCCAAGCTGCTTCAGCATCTTACGATCTGGGCTCCAGCTAGGGCATAAAACAGTAGGACTGTGTGGATCAAATTCAATTTTGCCAACATTATTGAGTGCTCATTATGTTCCAGGCAATGAATGAAGCACTGGGGATACTATTATGAATAAGACTCATTCTGCTTGGGACTTTGAGAAATGTATAGGGCTGAAGAACAGGAACATAAACAACCGTGACAAATGGCAGAGCATGACAAGCCTTTGGGAGGTATCCCACAGGTTGATAAGAATCCAAAGAAGGAGAAACTATTCTGGGGGTGGGAAAGGGAGCAGCATAGACTTAATGTAGAAGGGTGCATTTGAAGCAAGTCTTACGAGTTGAACAAGAGTTGGAGAGACAGAGAAGCATGAAGGCAAATTCCCAGGAACGTGCCTGTGAACACACACAAGATGGAAATATTTGTGCCAAATAGGGACAGGTGTACTCAACTGCTTAGACAGTGGGGGTCTCTAGAGGATTTGGGGCAGGGGAGTCACACAGCCAGAGCTGAGTTCAGGGGGCTTGCCTGAGCACATGTGCAGAATAATCAGAAAGCCAAGAGGCATGCAGACAGCTCCAGTGCCATCATTTAAAAATGCGCTCTTGGAGAAGGTGGAGACAGCTGATGGAGAAAAGAAACTGTGCAGATAGGAGGGCCTGCAGAGTTTCACCATGAGAGGGCAGAGGTGAAAGGAGAATGCATGGTCAGAGAAGCTTCCTGACCACAAAGTCTGATGACCACAGGGTGGGCAGAGCTGCTTAGAGAATTGGAGGGTGAGGAGGGCTGGCCAGGGGATGCAGCCTTGGCCTGGTTGCCTCTGATGGGCTTTGTCACATGGCTGCGCTGAGTGCACATCTGTCAGATAATAACCAGTGTTTCCTCCTCCAACGTTTACACCAGGTTATACTGTAGATGATTGTTTTGCTAATTCATTCCTTTCCCAATTAAATCCTTGTATTCATCATCTATGTCTGTGTAACAAATTATACCAGTACTTAGTTGCCTAAAATAACTCATTTAGTATCTCACAGTGTCTGTAGGTTTGGGATTCAGGCCTGGCTGGGCTGGATCCTCCCTCATAGGGTCTCTCACAGGCTGCAGCCCATGGTCACTTGGGACCTCAGTTCTCTCGGGGTTCCAGCAGGCCGATTGCCTCCTGGTTTCTGCAGCGACTGTTGCCAGGACTCGGTTTCTCTGAGGCTGTGGATGGAGGTGCTGCCCCTTGCTGGCTGCTGGCTGAGGAGCCCTCTCCACTCCTAGCCCAGGGCCAGTCAAAGCAAACACAAGGGGCAGTGGGGTGAGGACCTGCAGGGGAGCTCTCAGTGTTTTCTAACCTGATCATGGGAGGGACATCCCATCACTTGTTGATGTATCCTGTTTTTCACACACAAGGCAGTCATCCGGTTACACCGAAGAGAGGCATGACCAGGAGATGGGGTAAGCAGGAACTCTGGAAGAGCTGCCTGCTCCCTTCTTTAGGACAAGAACTGAACTTTCCATTCCTTATTAGCCCTCTCAGTCTATACTAAAATGAGTATGGGAAGTCATCAGCACATGGGCTTACTGATGGAGTGGTCTCCCTCCCCTCTAAGAACTGAACTTTCCGTTCCTTAGTAGCCCTCTCAGTCTATACTAAAATGAGTATAGGAAGTCATCAGCACATGGGCTTACTGATGGAGTGGTCTCCCTCCCTTCTAAGAACTGAACTTTCCATTCCTTGTTAGCCCTCTCAGTCTATACTAAAATGAATATAGGAAGGCATCAGCACATGGGCTTACTGATGGAGTGGTCTCCCTCCCTCTAAGAACTGAATTTTCTGTTCCTTAGTAGCCTTCTCGGTCTACACTAAAATGAGTATAGAAAGTCATCAGCACATGGGCTTACTGATGGAGTGGTCTCCCTCCCCTCTAAGAACTGAACTTTCCTTTCCTTGTTAGCCCTCTCAGTCTATACTAAAATGAGTATAGGAAGTCATCAGCACATGGGCTTACTGATGGAGTGGTCTCCCTCCCCTCTAAGCTCTTTTATTCCCCCGGTTTCCTGCCCACATCCCTGGCCCCAGTGCTGATTCTTTTTTCTGTTCTAATCAGTCCTGCTCCTCTCCAAAGTGTCAGATTTCTCAGTCCTCTTCCTTGTTGCTGGTCTGAAAAATTGTACGATTCCAGATTCTGGTTAAACCGGTTTCCTATAGAGTGAATCGCCTTGCAGGAAAGGTGGCTTGCAGTGGCAGTGGATAGGCTTTTGGCCACTGTGACCTGATTAATTCAGTCACTTCAGACTGTGTGGTAGATGAGCTCCTGGGCCCTGCAGGCCTGTGTTGGTCCCACCTGGAAAAAGGTGAAGACAGCTGTGACAGCGGGCTGTGGGATCTCTGCTCATTGGGGCCATTCCTGCGCATGTGCAGGCCATCCTGCTGCCAGCTGTATTGCATATCAGGAAATGTAACTGGTTGGCACCACTCATGAACCACCTGATTGCTACCCAGGGCAAGAGCTGAGTGGGGGATTTGCATCTACAAGTGAGCACAGGCGTAAAGGGTTGAGAAAAGCCGCAGCACTTAGGAAGGGCAGGTATTTCTTCAAAGCAAAAGTATTCCAACTGGCTTAGAGTGCATTGCATTTAAAACCAGTGAAGACACCTTCCACATCATCCCTAGCAGTGACATTGGCAGCTTTCTAGGTGTGTGCAAGCTCACAGCTTGTGTGCACCGGTCTCTGGGTTCTCATGGTGACTCACTTTTCAGAGCCCATGCTGAGGAATCACAGTATCCCTTCCACTCCTTTCAGGCCCCTTGAGATGCATCTTGATTGGGAGGAGAGAGCAGGGTTGGCTTACAAGATGCCAGCATCTGCCTGATGTTCTTCTGTTCTAGTCAGGCATGAGGTCTTGGGCGATGAGGAGATTGCTTAGGGAGGTGGGCTATGGTGTTTGTGCTGACCAGCATATCTGAAAGCCACTGGTTTTATTCCTAATCATGCAATAGTCTTCCCTTTACAACTTGGGAAATTTCAAAGAGGTTGCCTTGTTTTCCGAAGGGTTTATATATATCCCCAGTAAGAAGCTATGCTATGTGAACAGCATTATGATAAAATTCCAGTGCATTACTCCTGGAACTCTGTCCCCTCACTAACATGGCTATTGATTTTTTAGTTCCCATAAAACATTCTCACATGATGATTCTATTATTATAAATGTTACAATGTTATATGCCACATTTGGAGAAAAAAACAAACATTCTCAACTAATGGCCATGGAATGCCAGTCAGAGCTTCTGATGTGTGGCTTGGCTTAAGGCATGTGACAACTGCCCTTGTCACCTACAACAGCATCACTTGCTCGTGTAAAACTTGAAGAAATGAGACTGTTTTTCAGTGACTCTGAAAAAGATTAACACATGAATTTGACTTAACTTTTATGGTACTAAAGTTCTCCATAACTTCAAACAATGTTAGTTCAATCCCCACATCGACATTTCCTTTGAAAGCTTGAGCAACTGAACCAAGCCAGTACATCTCAGTTTCTTCATTTGTAAAACTGCCCCAGGTGTTTCCATAGCATTTTATATAATGCTGTCTTATGCTATACACACATAAGTTCTTTGTATATGTATGTAGTGTGGTGTAGATAGTGGTAGATCCTTTCAACAGCCCTACTGATGGATGCTATCATTCTATCAGCCTTTTTGATCCTCATTCCAATTATGCTTTAAAATAAACTAAGGTTGCTGGGTGTGGTGGCTCACACCTGTAATCCCAGCACTTTGGGAGGCCGATGCAGGCAGATCACGAGGTCAGGAGTTCGAGACCAGCCTGACCAACGTGGTGAAACCCTGTCTCTACTAAAAAACATACAAAAATTAGCCAAGCATGGCATCGCGCACCTGTAATCCCATCTACTCAGGAGGCTGAGGCAGGAGAATCGCTTGAACCCAGGAGGCGGAGGTTGCAGTGAGCCAAGATCACACCACTGCACTCCAGCCTGGGCGACAGAGTGAGACTCCATCTCTAAGTAAATAAATAAATAAATAAATATAAATAAATAAACTAACTAAGGTATGAAGAGGTTAAAAAGAATAACCTCTGGGACTTGCCTTGCAGTTTCCTGCATTTTTTCCAGAGATCTTTCCAAATGAAGCAGGACAGATTTTCAGTACATGCTTGTAAACAATTGAATGACATGATGAAGAATGAGAGGGCAAATTAGTGAATAAATGTTCTAGCAAATGGCTAGCAGGAAGCAATAGAATAGAGTATATTAATTTACTTTGAGAGCCATTTGGCCCTCTAGTTCCACCATGCTGAGTCCCTTAATAGTCATATCAGTACCATTGAGAAAGCAATTTGGTCAAGCATGCAGAGATTTCTCAGGGAGGTGCATTTGCCAAGAGGGAAGTAGGAGTCCAGAACTGCCACCCACTCCTGGAACATTTATACAGCCGTTAATAAATTTTACAAACTAAATAAAACTGAAGATGCAACTAACAGGAGAGGGGGCCTATTTTCCCTTTGCTCTCTCTACAGAACAGGAGAGACGGCCTGTTTTCCCTTTGCTGTCTCTACAGTGGAAGTCCATATTTTTACCCTTAATTGAGAATTATCTTACATATTATAAAATTCACCCATTTAAAGTTCATAATTCAATGATTTTTGGTATATCCTCTGAGCTATGCGGCTATCACCATATTCTAACTTTAGAACCTCTTCAACACTCCAAAAAGAGACAATGGACCCATTAGTGGTCACCCTTGATTCTGCCCTCCCAGCAGCCCTTGACAGTTACAGTCCACTTTTTGTCTCTGTGAATTTGCCTATTCTGGACATTTTACATAAATAGAATCAAACAATATGAGGGGTTTTGTTGATACCGGCTTCTTTCATTTAGCATAATGTCCATGTAGACACATTTTCATTATCTTAGGAGTGAAATTGCTGTGTCACATGTTAAAGTTATGTTTTGCATTTTGAGGAATGGCCAAAATTTTTGTCAAAGTAGCTGCAATATTTTATATTCCCACCTGCAATGTATGAGAGTTCCAGTTTCTCCACATCCTCACCAACATTTGTTCCTTTCTTTTCTTCTTTTCTTTTCTTTTCCTTTTTTGCAATAGCCACCCTAGTAAATATGAAGAGGTATCTATTGTGGTTTTTATTTGCATTTCCCAGATGACAAACTGACAAATGATGTTCAGCATCTTTTCATGAGATTATTGTCCATTTGTAGATTTTCTTTGGGAAAATGTCTATTCAAATCATTTGTACATTATTAAATTGTATTGTCTTTTCTTATTGCTTTGTAAGGATTATTTGCATATTATGCATACAAGTCCCAAGTAATATATGTAATTTGTAAATATTTATTCTTGTTCTTTTTGTTGTTTTTCCATTTTCATGATGGTGGCCTTTGTCAGATCAACTTTTTAGTTTTGATTAAGCTAAACTTATGCGTTTGCTTTTTTTTTCTCTTATCCCTTGTGTTTTTGGTGGTGTATTTAAGATGCCGTCACCTAACCCAAGGACACAAAGACTTACTAATAGGTTTTCTTCTAGGAGTTATATAGTTTTAACTTCTACATTTAGGCCTTTGATACATTTTGCGTCCATGTTTGTATATGGTGTGATACCTGTCCAACTTTATTCATTTGTATGTGGATACCCAGTTGTTCCAACACCATTCATTAAAAAGACTTGATTTCCCCCATTAAATTGTTCTGAAACCCTTGTCAAAAATCAGTTGACAATAAGTGAGATGGTTTATTTTTAGATTCCCCATTCTATTTCATTGATCAGTATCTATCCTTATGCTGGTACCATCCTCTCTCAGTTACTGTTTGTTGTTTATTTATTTATTCACTTACTTGTTTATTTGTAGTAGATTTTTAAAATCCAGAAGACTAATTCCTAAACCTATTTTTTTTATTCAAGATTTATTTTCTTTCTTTCTTTTTTTTTTTTGAGACGGAGTCTCACTCTGTTGCCCAGGCTGGAGTGCAGTGGCGCAATCTCGGCTCAGCTCACTGCAAGCTCCGCCTCCCGGGTTCACGCCATTCTCTGGCCTCAGCCTCCCGAGTAGCTGGGACTACAGGCGCCCACCACCATGCCTGGCTAATTTTTTGTGTATTTTTAATAGACACGTGGTTTCACCATGTTAGCCAGGATGGTCTCAATCTCCTGACCTCACGATCCACCCGCCTTGGCCTCCCACAGTGCTGGGATTACAGGCGTGAGCCACCGCACCAGGCCAAGATTTGTTTTCTTATACTGGGTCCTTTCATTGTCATGAAAATTTTTAAATCAACTTAGCAATTTCATTGAAAAATACTACTTAGAATTTGGATCTGTAGATCAATTTGAGAAGTATTGCTACCTTAATAATGTTAAATATTCTGATCTGTGAACATGTCTTTCCATTTATTTCAATCTTTAATTTCTTAAAACAATATAATATAGCTTTTAGTATACATGTCTTGAACTTCTTTTGTTAAATTTATTTCCAGATGTTTTATTCATTATGTCAATTTTATTAATGAGCTTGTTTTCTAATTTTTATTTTTGTATTTTTTATTCTAGTTGTTTTAGTCCATTTGACATACTATAGCAAAATGTCATAAACTATGTGGCTTATAAAAAACAGAAATGTATTTTGCACAGTTCTGGAGCCTGGGAAGTCCAAGATCAAGACACCAGATTATTGGGTGTGTGGTGAAGGCTCATTTCCTCATAGGCAGGCATTTGTCTTCTCACTGCATCCTTACATGGTGGAAGGGCCAGGGAAGCTTTCTGAGGCTACTCTATATGGGCTCCACCCTCATGACCTAATCACCTTCCAAGGACCCCATCCCTTAATACCATTACCTTGGGGGTTAGAATTTCAACATATGAATTTGGGGAAACACAAACGTTTAAATCATAGAATTCATATGCAAAATACAATTGATTATGGTGTACTGATATTCTACCCTGCAAATGGGCTGCACTAATTTGTTAGTTCTGATAGCTTTATCTATTAAGGAATGTGGGATATTGATGTCTCCAGTTATTTTTATTGTCTATCCCCTTAATTTTATCAGAATTTGTTTCATGTATTTTGGAGCTGTACTGTTAGATGCACATATGTTTATAATTGTTATGTCTTCTTGACTCATTGAACCTCTTCTCATCATAAAATATCCTTTTTTGCACCTAATTTTGAAACATTGTCTTCAGTCTTTTGTGTCTGATACTAGTGCAGTCACTTCAGCTCTCTTTTGGATATTGCTTGCATGGAATATTTTTTCATGCTTTTACTTTCAAATTATTTGTGGCTTTGAATTCAAAGTGCGTTTTCTAGAGACCATTTAATTGAATCATGTTTGTTTGTTTGTTTCAAATCTATTCTCTGCCTTTTGATTGGGATGTTTAATCAATTTCTATTTAATGTAATTATTGATATGGTAATTTTACACCTACAGTTATGCAGTTTATTTTCTGTATATCTTGTGTCTGCTTTATTCCTCTATTTCCCTATTTTTGCCATATTCTTGTTAAAAATATTATTCCTGGTATAACCTTTTAGTTCCTTTGTTGTTTCTTTTAATAATTTTAATTTTTCTCTCTCATTAATTTCCCTGGAAATTACAGTTAGCTGTTAACTTGAAGCAACCTAGTTCAGACTAATACTAACTTTGTTTCAAACATAGTTAAAAACTTTGTTACCATATTCTTCCATTTCTTCCACCAATTTTGTCCTATTATTGCTATACAAATTACTTCTTTATACCTTATAAGCTATTAGCACAGTTTTATAATTATTGATTTCTGCCGCTGTCTTTTAAAACGTATAGAAGAACGAAAGCATTACAAATGATAAGCTTATACCATCTTTTATAACATCTATGCAGTTATCGTCACCACTGCTCTGTATTTTCGTGTGGTTTTGTGTGTTCTTTCATTTCAGCGTGAGGGGCTCCCTTTAGTATTTCTAAAACGACACGTCTTCTAGCAATAAATTCTCTGTTTTTATTTATCTTGGAATGTTTTAATATTTTTAAGAAGAGTGTAGCTAAATAGAGAACTTTATTGATAGTCTTTCAACTCTTTGAAGATGTCATCACACTACTTTCTATTCTCCATAGTTGCTGATGAAAAGTCAAGTAGTAATTTTATTGACTCTGCCTTGTAGTCACTTCAGCTCTCTTTTAGTTATTGCTTGCATAGAATATTTTTCCATGCTTTCACTTTCAAATTATTTGTGGCTTTGAATTAAAAGTACATTTTGTAGACCATTTAATTGAATCATGTCTGTTTGTTTGTTTCAAATCTATTCTCTGCCTTTTTATCTTGCAACTTTCAAAAAAAATTTTTGCCTTTGCCTTTTGTTAATTTGATCCTGATATGTCTACATATAGATCCATTTATGTATATTCTACATTGAATTCATTGAACTCTTTAATTGTGTAGGTTAATATGTTTCATCAATTTGGAAAGCTTTCAGCCATTATTTCTTCAAATAATTTTGTCCCCCCTTTTCTTCTCTTCTTCTGAATCTCTCATTCTGTATATAAGGATAGAGTTAGTGGTGTCCCAGAGATCTGTAAGGCTATCTTCATTTCTGTTCTTTTTTTTCTCTGTCTCTGAGACTAAATACTCTCTATTAACCTATTTTTAAGTTTTGGATTCTTTGTTCTTAAGGGTCAAATTTGTTATTGAGCTTCTCTAATGTACTTTTTATTTCAGTTATTGAATATTTCAACTCCAGAATATTTATTTGGTTATTTATTTTATAATATCTATTTCTGTATTGAAATCCTCTACTTGGTGAGGCAAAATTGCCATGATTCCTTTGAATTTTTCAGACAGTTTTCTTTAGTTATTTAAATGTATTTATAATAATTAGTTTAAAGTCTTCACCAAGTCCCAAATCTGAGCCCTTTCAGGGACATTTTCAGTTAACTTTTTTCTCTCGTGTGTGTGTGTGTCATACTTTCCTGTTTCTTTGTATCTCTCATGCTTTTTGTAATGACAACTGGAAATCTTTAGGTAATATGTTATAGCAATTCTGGTATCAGATTCTTACATTCCCCAAGACTTGCTGTTGTTGCTAGATTTTTGTTGCTACTAGTTTAGTTTTGTTTTCCTTGTTGCTTCTTATTTTTTAGTAACTTTCCTGGTAAAATTCTGGAGATTCTGAGTATTGTGCATTGTTTGGTTACTGATTCCTCTGGTACCTTTTTTCTTTTTCTTTCGAGTTCTTGGAGCTTGTAGTTTGTCTGTTTATTGGTTAGTTTTTAAGGCCTGGCTTTGTAGGTATTATGCCTGGGTCAGGATAAGTTAGTGGTCGGCCAATGAATAGCCAGAGGATTTTATTAAATGCCTTTCCTGAACAGCTTCTACCATCTGCCAAGGGGATCTATGTGAGAAGGCGTTGCCTTAAACTCCTGGCCCTTTCCAGGAGGGCTTAACTCTTAATCCATGCTTGTAAAGAGCCTCGGGGTCACCCAGGAATGAGTGCCTGGTGCCTTTCTTTTCCTGTCTTTCCTGGACATGCACACAGCCTTGTAGATTCCCAAGAGTGTGAGAGAGTTTTCCAAAGTTCTCTGTGGTTGTCTATATTCTCTAGGATTTCTTTATTCAACTCCCAGCCAGGCTTCTGTTTGTCCCAGCTGAAACCACAGCCTTGGGCAGCTGGGATGCTGCCAGCAGTTTGCTGTCTCCATGATTCCCTGAAGGTAAGTCTTTCCCTCACTACTGTGCCCACAGAGTCCAGATTTCCTAAGAGCTGCAATTTCAGATAAAATATTGACTGTGCTCTGAGGACAGTGCTTTTAATGGAACTCCAAAACCCATCAATTCTTTTCCTTGTTTTCAATGTCACCGGCTTTTAGCCGGGATGAAGAGGGGGATGGGAATGGCCCCAAATTAAAAAGTCACACTCATCGTTATCTCAAAATCCAGTACTTTCCAGTTTCTCTTGGGTGAATAATTTTCATTTTAATCTGTGGCTTTGATTAATTGTCATATTCTGAAGTAGTTGATTTTATTGTTTTGCCAACCCATAAGCTTTTTTAATGCTCCAGATTTTCATGATTTTTAACAATGTAATTCATAATATATTTCAGCTGCCTTTGAACCATATGTAGTTGAATAACATAATCTTATTCAGCAAAGTTTTGTTCATCCCTCCTCCAATGATTCTTACAGTTTGAAACTCACAGTTGAGTACTTACAATGACATGTGGCCTTACATATCTGTCAAATTGTGATAGACCTCAGTCTTCCACCTCCCTACCAGAATGAACATTCCTCAAAACCTCTCGTTCATCTTAGGGTCTTTTCTTACTTCTACAGCCTCAGATGGCAACTCTTAACCTAGGGGTCCAGATGACTGTGAATTTGCTGGAAGACATGCACATGGTGAGGGTGTCAGATGTGTGTGGTACATCTTCCACCCATCAAGAGGAATCATAGCTTCATCAAATTTTCAAAAGAAAGACCCACAAAAGGGTAGAATCCTCTCTAAGAACGTCTATCACAAGGAAAAATAATCCTTTCTTTATATTTCCTCTGCCCCAAAAAGGCCGATCACCATGCCATCTGATAAACAGTCTATGGCCTGTGATCTCCATTCCCTCTGCTTCTTTCTGCACTTTGCATTCAGGCTTCTCTCCTGAAATGCTCTCTATCCAGGGGAGTGGTTGAGAGTGTGGACTTGGGCTTGACTCCCAGGTTTGAAACCCAGCTCTACTACCCGTGGGATTGTGAACATGTTTCTTCACTTCAGAGTGCCTTATTTATTTATGTGTAAGGTTGTGATTCGTCTATAAGGATCGTAACTACTGGTACCTCAAAGGGGTTGTTGTAAAGATTATATAAAATAGCACCTATCACAAAATAAGCCCTCAGTAAATGTGAGCTTTTATTATTAGATCGTTTCAGGGCTCAGGTCTCCAAATGTCCTGAACAAACCCCTGCATGAGATCAAAAGTTAACAGACTGACTCCTAATGTTCTTCTTCAACTGAGTATTTTTTTGTTCATCAAAACCAACATCTCATTCTTTTGGGCTGTTTCATCTCAGTCCAGAAGACTGGACTGTTTAATCTCATGGTCATTTTAGCTCATGTCCACCTCTCTAGCCTTGTTCAGTGTGCTCTTTCTTACTGTATTGACACCGTATTTCATTTTTGCTTTTAACCATATCCCGTTGGGTGTGAATTTCTTCAAGCCTTCACTGGTATTTTTTTAATCCCCCAAATGGTCTTCATTTAACTGGTATTTTAATTCTGTAAATTGATATCTTTTTCTCTGGAATTATCTACAATTTATTGTACTTACCACTCCTTTTGTAATGCACTTCTTTGGTAAAGGTATGAGCACATCTAATGTGTGTCACACTAAGCTCAGACTCACAGTGGATGTGTTAAGGCAGCCAGTCAGTTTGGTTAGAAAACTTCAGTAGAGTGTCTTTTCTATTGATTAAGACTGACTAGGCACAATTTAAAAGGAAGAATACAACTTTTGTGTGAAACCAGAAATAAAAGTGGCATGTTTTTTTTAAAATCAGTTAGAAAAAGGATCTTTAACTGACCCAGGCTCTGGAAGGTAGAAATTTCTCTATCACTGCCCATAGAAAAGTTTTCTAATAAACCACACAAGTGAAATTATTAAACAATTGATTTATTTTATTTATGTTTCTCTTAACATTTTCAATAGAGCCAGCTCAATAAACATTCATTGAATGATTTCCTCTTGCTAGGCCTTGTGCCTTGCATGGAGAATATAAAATGACCATATACAGGGCCTCGAGAGTCTTGTGGGTGAGACGGGCAATTCCTGCAGAAGGCAGGTGTACAGTAAGCCAGGAGGCCAGAGTGCTGAGGGTGGAGAAAAGCAAGAGCTGAAGCTCTTGCCTGCAGCCCATGAGGAACAGGGAGAAAGTTAGGCGGCCTTCCTTGGAAATGGAGGGACACCTAAGCTAAGTGTTGAAGAATATGTCCGATAGTGGGAGGGAGAAAGAACGCTCCAAGAGGAAGTCAAACGTGGACATGAAGGTGAAGGGAGCCTCACAACACAGAACATGCAGGGGTTCCTTAAAAGTGGGAGTCACCGACATACAACGTCCAAGATACGCACTGGCAGGATGCGGAGGCGAGAAATGCCTGTAGTCACACGACGAGAAACTTGGACTAGGAGCCGAGGACCTTAGATTTATTTCTTCTGCAGCCAATGGGAACCCAATAAAGGTCTTTAAGTGAGGAGAGACTTCATCCTAATGTTGATGCCTCTCTCTTCCCCGTAGGAGAGAGAGGAAAGCCTCTGTAGAGCCATCAATGTTAGGATGAAGTCTCTCCATTAGGATCAACATCAGGATGAAGTCTCTTCATTAGGATGAAGTCTTCTTTCTGTAATCTTCTTACAGTAAGAGATACAGCAGGCTGGGGAGCAATTAGGTGGCCCTTCTTCTTCTAGTGAGAGAAAGTTGGGGGCAGGACTAAGGCAGTGATGGGGGGATGGGAGATGAGATGGTGCAGAAATATAACGTAAGTATGAGAGTGAGGGAGGGGGAAGAAAGATTCATCTGTAATGTTGCCATGGACTCAATGTTTGTGTCCTCTAAAAATCCTTATGTTAATATCCTAACCTGTAAGGTGATGGTATTAGGAAGTTGGGCCTTTGAAATGATTAAGGCATGAGAGTAAAGCCCTTATGAATGTCATTAGTGCCCTTATGAAAGAGGCCCCAGAGAGCTCCCTCCCTCCTTCTGTTGTGTGAAGACACTGTCTACAAACCAAAAGCAGGCCCTCAGCAGATACCAAACCTGCCCAAACCTTGGTCTTGGAGTTTGCATTGGTCCATTTTCACACTACCTGAGACTGGGTAATTTATAAAGGAAAGAGGTTTAATTGACTCAGTTCCACATGGCTAAGGAGGCCTCAGGAAACTTACAATGATGGCAAATGGTAAAGGGGCAGCAAGCAGCTTCTTCACAGGGCAGCAGGAGAGAGAAGGACGAGTAGGAACTTCCAAACACTTATAAAACCATCAGATCTTGTGAGAACTCACTCACTAGCATGAGAACAACACTGGGGAAACTGTCCCCATGATCCACCACTTCCTACCAGGTTCCTCCCTCAACTCCTGGGGATTACAATTGGAGATCGGATTTGCGCGGGGACACAGAGCCAAACCATATGAGACTTCCAGCCTCCAGAACTGTGAGAAATAAACTGTTATTTGTAAGCTACCAAGGTTATGCTATTTTGTTATAGCAACCAAAATGGACTAAGACAAACATCTCATGCATTTTTTCTGGCAGAATTGAGGACAGGAAGACGATTCTGAGTGATGGGGCAGTGGGTAATAATTTGCTCAGGTCTTAACATGGAACCTTTGAGGCAGCTGTGAAACTTTCTAGTAGATAACTTTAGACATTTGGATTCACAAATATGAAATTCATTGAAGTGCTCAGCATACATTTAAGAATTGCCAGCACATAGGTGGTAGGCAAAATCCCACATAGTGGTACTGTTTCCAAGAGAGAATGATAATGGCTTATAAAGACAGTAAAACGTCAGAGAACAACAGCTTTCAAGAGCCCACCAAAGACATATAGACAAGGGCTCTGCCGAGCACTGCCTTAGGAGTCAGCAGAGAGCGGCTTTCAAAGACGGGGTCATTTGAATCATTGGGCTCCTCTTTCAAGGGAAGCTTGACACGGAGTCTTTTTTGAGGATGATGTCATGACATAGAACCCAAATGTTAAAAATCTATATTTACAATTCCATATATTTATCTTCCTGCCACAAGTCTCCACCTGGATGTTCCAGATTTATCTCAAAATCAAATTGTGCCAAACTAAAATCTGCTCTCCCTCCTCGCCCACAGCTCTTCAGTGCCTCTGGTCTCTGTACACCTCTGTTCTCACGCCTGAGCCTGGTTTTAGGTCACGATCACCTCATGGCTGGGTGGCTGCAGTAGCCTCCTAATTAGTTTGCCTTCTTCTAGACGTCATTCCCCTTATCAATTCCCCCATTCCAGCCAAAGTGATTTTCAAAAAATGCAAATTATATCACCTATCCTTCCATACTTTAAAATCTGTCATGGCCTGACTTTCATTAGGACAAAGTTCAAATGTTTCTTCCCACCAGTTTATTTTTGGCTATTCCTACTTTCCTCTTATGTCTCAGTGTCAGTATTAATTTTTATGAGATTCCTCTCATCAGTGCCCCCTCAAACTGAGAACTCTTGTCTTTCCAAGGTGAGCCCATGGCGTCCTGAGCTTTTCTGTATTGTAAGGACATTTATCGTATTGTATGGTACTCATCCAGTTGTTTGTCAATATCACACCCCAGACAGTAAACTTGGTGAGTACAGAGTCACATTTTGTTTCCTCTTTTTTCCCCTGTGCTGAGCTCGTAGTAGAACACACAAATATTTGGTGGATATCTGACCAAATTAATGAATCAGTGATGATTAAACATTATCCTAATCTCATTATTAATGGAGGTCTGTACATTTTTATTAACCAGTAGCTCATATTACTATTTTCATTTTAAGGTAATAGAACTACATTTCTTTAAAACCTTTCAGAACTCCAAATTGGCTTTTCCCCAGTTAGTCAGGATTTATGAGGCTTTATTACATATTAACATTTTTTATTTCCATGGTATAAATCAGAAAGCCCCCAGTGGGTCAGGATTTATCTGTACATTGTATTCTACAGCACCATTCCCTTTTATTTTTTAGACTTCACCCCATATCCTCTTTCCCCACTATTATTAACACAGCTACTAGGATAATCATTCTTACCTTGTATTTGTATCACTTCATTCTTTCTAAGGTGTTTTCATAATTTTTGTCTCATTTTATCTTCAAAATAGGTCATTAGGAATGCAGGTATGTAGACACTTCCCACACATGAATATTCAAATCGATATTAAATGACTTTTCCAAGGACACTCAAATAAGTAATGATGTACATGGAGCCGATATTGATGTCCTGGGCTCAGTCCAGTCACAGCCCTTTGTCTTTTTCTTAAAATGAATATTTACATCAATGATTTTTTACTTATTATCAAGTGAATAAATTATTATAACTGATGTTGCCTGCTTTAATATTTTGAATTTGAGAGACATGTCAGGATTTGCTGAATGCATGGTGTACGTGACACAATAAACATATGTCCAGACAAACACAGTTGTTGGTTCATCTTGCTCATCAGGGTAAAGCGAATTGGGTCAACATCAAATCTCAAAAAGGGTTTGCAACAAAAGTCAAACCTCAGTATCAAGCCAGAAGGAACTTGTTTAGAAGTTCTTCCATGTCCTGTCATTGCTTTGGGCACTCAGTCATTCCCAGTAAGGCTGTGAGCTGAGAAGCAAGAGTGGCTTCCCCCACCCTGAGCGACCCCACAGCACAGAGCCTCCACGTGGGGTGAGAGGTGGTGTCGCAACGCAGGTTAGACAGTTGGATGGATAGACAAATGGCAGGGTGATGGCAAAATGGAAACATGGGGTAGATTACCTTAACAGGAAATATGAACTTTCCTTTTGCAAAAAAAGTAGGTAAGAATGATAAATTTACTATTACAGCTAATCTCTCTTACTCAAATTAGGTTTTTCCTATATTTTGGGGATGTAGTAGAAATGGAACAGCAAAAAAGGATCAGCTAGATTTTTGTTTTATTTTTCCTTGCTTAGTGACAAATAAAAACCGAATATATTTATGGTGTACCATGTGATGGTATCTCATTATGGTTTTGAGTTGCCTTTCTCTAATGACTAATGATGATGAGCTTTTTTTCATATGTTTGTTGGCTGCATAAATGTCTTCTTTTGAAAGTACCTTAAAAAAATTTTACAAGAAAAAACAACCCCATCAAAAAGTGGGCGAAGGATATGAACAGACGCTTTTCAAAAGAAGACATTTATGCAGCCAACAAACATACCAAAAAAAGCTCATCATCACTGGTCATTAGAGAAAGGCAAATCAAAACCACAGTGAGATGCCATCTTATGCCAGTTAGAATGGCGATCATTTAAAAGTCAGGAAATAACAGGTACTGGAGAGGATGTGAAGAAACAGGAACGCTTTTACACTGTTGATGGGAGTGTAAATTAGTTCAACCATTATGGAAGACAGTGTGGTGATTCCTCAAGGATCTAGGACTAGAAATACCACTTGAGCCAACAATCCCATTATTGAGTATATACCCAAAGGATTATAAATCATTCTACTATAAAGACACATGCACACCTACATTTATTGTGGCACTGTTCACAATAGCAAAGACTTGGAACCAACCCAAATGCCTATCAATGATAGACTGGATAAAGCAAATGTGGCACATATACACCATGAATACTATGCAGCCATAAAAAAGGATGAGTTCATGTCCTTTGAAGGGACATGGATGAAGTTGGAAACCATCATTCTCAGCAAACTAACACAAGAACAGAAAACCAAACACCGCATGTTCTCACTCATAAATGGGAGTTGAACAATGAGAACACATGGACACAGGGAGGGGAACATCACACACCAAGGCCTGTCAGGGTGTCGGGGGCTAGGAGAGGGAGAGCATTAGGAGAAATACCTAATGTCAATGACGAGTTGACGGGTGTAGCAAACCACCATGGCACATGTATGCCTGTGTAACAAACGTGTACATTCTGCACATGTACCCCAGAACTTAAAGTATAATAAAAGAAAAAAAAATGTTGCCCAAATGTCAAGGAGTTTTCTCCTTGTGTGTTTTTCTAAAAGTTTTACTCTGCAGCCCCAGGCTTAAATCTGCCCCAGTCCCAGGCTAACCCCAATAGCCACAGACTCCAGGCACCCGTGGCCTCAGATAAGATGAATTTTAAAATCAGATTCATAGAGGGAAATGTTCTTATCCTACTTACCAAGGAAGGGTAATAATAGCTAAGTAATTGTGACTCCCCCTCCCTTTCTCTCTTTTTCCTCCACATACTTGAACTTATACATATGAAAAAAAAAAAAAAAAAAAAAAAAAAAAACAAGAAGAACACAGGTGTCTGTGTCCAAAAAAAAAAAAAAAGCCAGTATTACTGTTGGATCATTAAAATAAAATCATAATTTTTATCTTCAGATTATTTTCATATGATTTTGTGTCATTATAGATGAGGGAAATACTATTATCTTTCAGATATTTTCCTTAAGGTGAATTGTTTAGCAATATGTTTATTTACAAAGTGAGTAATACATTACATCTATATTTATTGAGGATTTAAATGATGGCATTTCAGAATTTTAGCTAATATGGAATGTGCAGGGAAATGGTTTACTCTCTTCCCGTGAATTCTTTGCAGGAAGCCAGTTGTGAACTGGAGGGTCCCTGGCCTGGGTGTCAGGACAGGGAGGGTCCGGGTCTCATCTTGCCATGGCTGACCTGCTCTGTGACCTCATCCCAGTTTGTCTATGCACTGAGTTTGTTTTCCTGGAGAAAGCTTCAGCCACTGCAACCTCGGACTCTCCTTTCTGCTGGGGGAAGCCCTCTATGGAAATGTGTGCAAGTAGGGCTCTGCTGGCCAGGGTATCAGCTCCTCATGTCCTCAGCTCATCCCCACATTCTCCCTGGGTGGCTTCTAAAGTGTCTCCTCCAAACCCCTGGGACGTCAGCAATCACCATGTAAAGTTCATTGGACCAGAAGATTCCTCAGGTTCTTTCACGTGTGAGCAGGCCCCGACACCATTATCTTGATAGGAAATTAAACATCTAGGATGTTGTCACTTTTTATCTCTCCAAAATTTGGTATTGTCAGACTTCAAAAAACATTGTAATTAAACGGCAGGGGACAGTATCTCATCTGGGCTTACTTTCCATTTCTCTGACAAATAATTGTTGATTATTTTTCCATACACTTGTGGTGTATGTGTTCCCGCTTGTGAAATGCTTAACATTTTCTGCACTATCTTTTATTGTGTTGAGTATGCTTTTATTTATTTTTAATGCTTTATATATTCTTCATGTAAATCAAAAATATATCTTCTTCCAGATTATAACTTGACCTTCCACTTTCCTTAAGATGTCTTTTGATGAACAAATTTTTAATATTAATATTTTCAAATTAATTCATCTTTTCTTTTATAGTCAATGCTATGGGGGTCCTGTTTATTTTTCCTTACTCCAAGGTTTAAGTACATAGTCATCTATGTTTTCTAGGAAGAGTTTTACTTTAGTTTTATGTTTTTGTTTTTGTTTTGGTACAGACAGGATCTTGTTATGTTATCCAGGTTGGTATCAAGCTCCTGGGCTCAAACAATCCTTCTGCCCTGGAGTTACAGGCGTGAGCCACTGTGCCTAGACTTAAGGCTTAGTTTTTGATATTTAACTCCTTAATCCATCTTAAATTTTCTTTGCATATGATGTGAGAATACAGTTCCATCTTTTGTCAGTAATCATTTTTTTCATTCTACTTGTTAAGGAATATATGTATTTTTAATCTTGTGGCATACTTTCTCTATTCCGAAGTCTCCTCATGCAATATTCATAGGCCTATTGACAGGTTTTTATTCTATTTTATAGATTAATTTCTGTATCCCAAGTCAACACCACATGGATTTAATTACTACAGCTTCAGAATAATTCTTAATGTCAGGTAGAACTACCCCCCTTTCCTGATTCTCCTTTTTACAAATGTTGGAGATATTCCTGACCCTTTACTTCTTCGTGTACACCTATAAAGCTCCTTGTAAGTCTCATTTGATATTTTGATTGAAATCACATTATCTATTGGAGAAGAATTGAGACCGTTACCATATTAAGTTTTCCTAATCACGATGTGGTTTATCTCTCCGTTGATTCAGGCCTCCTTTAACATTTCTTAATAAAGTTTTGTGACTTTCCCTCTAGAGGCATCACACACCTTTTGTTAAATGTGTTACTGGTTTTGTATTTTCTGACCAGATGTAAATGCTTTTCTGAATGGCTCCTCTGCAATGACACTGACTCACCCTGACTGCCAAGGCTTCCTGAGCTCCGCCATCTGGTCCAGATATTTCTTGGTCAGTTCTTCTGAGGACAGGATGGAGTAATAGCAAGGACAGGACAGCGGCAACTTTTCTCCTTTCCCCCATGCTTGCAAGGGGCAGCTACCTGCCCCTGACCAGGTCACCTCTCATTCCTCCCCATGCCCCACCCCTGTTTTCTTCGTTTCTTGGCATTGCCCCCATAGCCTCTCCTGGAATTGGTCTTGCTGTAGAATCAGTAGTTTGTAGGTCAGCACTTTGGTAAGAATGAGAAACAAATATTATTTAAATTCACAACAAATGTACAGAGAATATTTATGAGCCATGCTATTTTAATGATGAGGAAAGTGAGGTTCACAAAGGCCAAGCGAGTGTCTGTGATCACACAGCAGGGAAGAGGCGGGGCTGTTCTTGAGGGTCTGTGTTCCTGAAGACTGAGATGCCAGGGGTTCCTGCCTCACTGGAAGTTGTGCTGAGGTTTATAAGAATTAATGTTTATAAAGTTCTTAGAACACACCTGGTGCCCAGCAAGGACATATGAACTTTTCTATTATCATTACCGTTCCTCTGTGCTGATCTTATTTAATAAGAGAAGTAGGATGTGGATCTAACCTAACATGAGATATAATTCTGGTGCCACATTAGAAGAAGTTTAAAAGTGTTTGATATTTAAAGATTATAGATCACTTTTTTTGGAAATTGAAAGAAGGTATTTGAGCTGGGCTTTTTTAAATGAATAAAATTTAAACATTTAGTGGGAAGGGCTGGTGTGAAAAACGTCATGAGGCAAGGAGACAGGAAGACACACTTTTTTTTGCAAAAGGATAAATCATTCCTAGAAAACATCAGAATTTTAGTTTTCTTGCTGTTATTTTATGCCCAATTTCTTCTTTCTGTTTTAACTTCCAACTTTGGTTCTAGATGCTCTGTGTGTGTGTGTGTGTGTGTGCGTGTGTGTGTGTGTGTGTGTGTGTATAAAAGAGAGAGATTGATATGCCCTAGGAAATTATTAAGTTCCAAAATTAGCAGCATTTTTATAAGTTAATTAAAAAGTGTCATCTGCTCCAAGTAGGTGAAAAATGCACATGATCATATTGGAATGGGAGGCAGCATGGAGACACTGCTGTTCTGAGTGCGAACTCATTGCAAGGAAGCAAGACGCTCACTGAGAAGTGCGGGGTAGACATGTGCTCCCTTTGTAGAATCTTACAGGAAACCATGCCGGGTTACTGAGGCTGGTAATTTCAGGTTAGGGGAGGGTGATTAAAATGGCTACTCGGGATGAAGAGTTTAAAATGATGAGGAGTTTGAGGCAGCTGATCAATTTAATCAAAGTGCAATTGCTTTGGGAAGGACTGCCTCTTTGAAAGGATTAATGCATACAGCAAGGTAACAGAGGAGATGTGCTGTCAAGGTTTTTATATTGCTATAAATTCTAACTTTGAATATATTTGTGACTTTGTAGCCATTAATTTGGGGTATTATAATTATTTTAAAATTTTTTTAATCTTTGATTTGAATAGTGTAGCTATAACTATACTACTATAATGTGATGAGGTTTTAGAAGTACATTTGATTTTTTTGTTTGTTTTCTTTTTTTGAAACAGGATCTTGCCCTGTAGCCCAGGCTGGAGTGCAGTGGCACTATCATGGCTCACGGCAGCCTCAATCTTCCGGGCCCAAGTTATGCTTCTACCTCAGTGTCTTAAGTAGCTGGGACCACAGGCGTGTGCCACCAAGACTGGCTACCATTTTTATTTTTCTAGAGATGGCCTCTCCCTATGTTTCCCAGGCTGGTCTCCAACTCTTGGTCTCAAGTGATCTTCCCAACTTAGCCTCTCAAAGTGCTGGGATTTCAGGCAGGCACAAGAGTCACTGTACCTGGTCATACACTCATTTCTTAATTTTGACTTTATTACATCTAAACACCAAAATACTTTAATCAGGAATCGTTTCATATTTCATAATGAAAATAAATGAGGAAAAGTTATTTCATTGAAAATTTTACTTTCCAACAAGCTTTTCTGAAATGTATTTTTATTTCACTAAAATAGAAATATCTGTCTTTTTCTACATTAATTCTATTAGATATGTTATATGTTTCATAATATTCTCAGTGATTTCATCTAAACAGTTGAAGATTGTCAATAACTTATATTGTTTCTAATTCAGAATTGTATAGATTATTGCACTGAAAAAACTCACAAAAAACTCCCTGAGCAATATCTTAAAGTCTCCTCTCTGTACACAGATACTTTCAGTCTCCCTCAGGGAGGTCATGATAATTATGTCCTTGATGTGTTCATCCTGGGAAACCTACACCGTATCTACATTTCAGGATGTCAGAGTCCTTCCCTCCACCTGATCTTGAAAACTTCACTTCCCCATGTTCTCCTGGACAACTTCTATCCTGTTAACAACTGGAAATCATCAAACCTTACTGTGATGGTGTGGACTCCATTTCACCTGCTGTTAGGACACAGTCTCCCAAGCAAGGTACTCAGGGGGTCTGAAGCTAGGTCTTGAGCTGGCTCCAACTCAACCAGGTCTAGGCACTGACCTCGTGTTTGCCCCAAGTGGCTTCTGGGAGTGAAGAGGAATAATGTGAAGTCTGCCCATCGTATGTGGTTTCACACTTGCCATTTTCTATAGCCCCTTTCTCTGGGCTTCTCCCCTCCTCAGTTCTGCTGTCAATACTTAAAGAATACAGATATCACATACAAACTGACCTGTGTGTCTAAAGAGCTTAGTTTTAAATAATGGGTATTAAACAACCTTTTGTTCAAGGCTCTCTACATTAAATTTCTAGAGATTCTTATGTGTCCGATCTCATGGCATGAATATCTAGTGTTAACATCTTTAGTGTAGACAGCCTCAAGCAAGGAGACCTGTAGAGATATGTTAGGAATTATCAAGGAAACGTGGTTTTTATGTTGTTTGTTTTGTTTTTTTTGAGACAGAGTTTCACTCTTGTCACCCAGGCTGGAGTGCAATGGTGCAATCTCAGCTCACTGTAACCTCTACCTCCCAGGTTCAAGCGATTCTCCTCCCTCAGCATACCGAGTAGCTGGGATTACAGGCACGTGTCATCACTCCCAGCTAATTTTTATATTTTTAGTAGAGACAGGGTTTCATCATGTTGGCCAAGCTGGTCTCAAACTCCCGACCGCAGGTGATCCACCCACCTTGGCCTCCCAAAGTTCTGGGATTACAGGCGTGAGCCGCTGCGCCTGGCCATGTTCTTTTTTTTAATCCAAGTTCATGTCATCTGGCTCAGAATCCAGTTCTTGGCTGTATGCTCTGGGGGCACAGGCACCCCTAGTCAGGAGCCCAGGAGGCAAAGCACACAAAGACCCCCGACAGGTCAGAAGGCCCCGCCCATGTGAAAAGGGTTTCCAGGAGGCTTTCTAATGCTGTCTTGTTAAATATGAACAGATAATGAAGATCTCTAGATGTTCGTGCAAGCCCTGTAATATAAAAAGGACCCAAACAAACAAAAAAGAAGAAAATAAAGACTGTTGAAGAGAAACAAAGAAGTTATCATTGACTTTGTCTGAGTCACAGAAGAGAAGCTACATTGGGTTTGCTGAATGAGAACACATTTATTTTAAGTAGAAGAAGGAGAAGATGAGTTGAATCACTAAGAGATCACTTAGAAATTTAAAGATGAGTGTTGAAATTTAAATTTAAAAAATCTCACAAGAGAGGTGAGAAGATAAAGGAAATCTGATTAGAACAAAATGGCAAAGGGATGGAAAATAAGATTGGAGGGTCTGTCCAGCTCCCGCAGGACCATTGGCTGAATCGTGTAAGTTCCAGAAAGAGATCAGAGAAAATGGAGAGAAAACAACCACTGAAGAAAGCAGGGAAGACGATGGCCCTTGAAAAGCTGAAGGATATGTCACATGATGGGAGAAAACAGATCTACACACCCCCTCATTCTTGGGAAATACTAAAACACTAGAAGCAAAGAGAAAATTATGACGACTCTGGGCATGAGGGTCTAGGGGAAAGGATTCAAAGAATCCTCAAGAGGTAAGAAGACGAGGGAGAAACGCCATCAGACCTCCAGGGAAGTTCTCTCTCATCTAGACTGTTTTGCTCAGACAAATATTAGTTGGGTGTCAAGACAAAAATAGACATTTTAACATTGAGGAATCATTAAAAATCTCCCAACAACCTTTCCATAGGAAGCGTGGGATTATGTCTTCCACCAAATCAAACAAAGAAACAGAAAACCAACAACAAGTAAATCAAGACAGAGGAAGACAGGGATGCAGCAAAAAGGAGAGAGATTACAAGAGATGGGGCAGGGACTGGGTGATGGCCAAGGGGCATCATTACAGCCCAAGCTTTCAAGAGAACCAGTGTGGACGAGGCCAGATGGGAGGACACGGACGGCTCCCTGAGACTTTACACAGAACACCAAATTGATACCTAAGCTGTTCTTCCCTAAGAAGAAGATAGGACGTAATTGGGAATTTGGGATAGAGTCATGATAAGTACATAGGACAGCGTGTGTACATGGACACAATTATATTAATTGCAGGGTAGTAATGTGCAGATAAGAAACATAGTATTAATGTGTGGTTCATCTGGCAATAGTCTCTTCATAGTTATGACAGTAAAGCATTTCCTAATAATCTCATGTATTGCCCAGTACAACCATGCTGGGGGCAGAAACTGTGAGAAGGGCTTGGGCGTGGAGCGCATTAGTGCACCTCCCTGTTCCCCTAGATGAGACGTGGAAGTTCAGTGCTTCATGATGGGAAACCGCGCAGCCCCCTGTGGTAGAGACGCATTCGTGTAGGGTCTGAAGGCAAATGCCAAAAGAAATGGCTAGAAGCGTTGAAAGCTTTCCCTCTGGGGAGCTGGAAGTAAGACAGGGATGGTATCTGGGGAACATTGTTTTCATAATCAGCCATGTAGAGGTATTATACCCCTAAACCATGTGTGTGTATGAGGTTGATGAGAACACACATCACCTTTTGAAAGACCTTTTCTTCCTGTTGTTCATTGTGATGGCTCACAGTTGCAGCCTGTCAGACCACAAGCAATCTGGAGCTGGGCTGCAGAATCTCTCAGGGTCCAGGATGAAGAATTTCCCAGAATCCAGATATCACAGGTCCATTGGGTGACAGGGAGCTGGAGTGAATGAGAGCGCAGTTACGCGTTTCATCTTTGGAAGAAGAGGGCATCAAAGTTCTTCAGCGTCCCTCTTCCCTCCATCCCTCTGGTAATAAACACATTTGGTAACTGACAAAATGCTCCTTCCCTGACATTGACAAATTCCCTGGGGTTCTCAAGGTTGTTGCAAGGGGGTTGAACAAAGGCACTAAACACAGCTGTTTCAATTTCTATATTTAGAACTGAATAGCATAAATATAGTTTTCATTACAAATAGAACGGCTTAGAGGGGCTCCAAATGGGACTCTAGCTTGCCAGCAGCTCTGGCAGTCACCAGAGGTTAAGCCCCTGTGCTGGCAACCCCGTGACTCGGCTCTGCACCCCTCAGCCACTGCGGCCCCCACAGCCAGGCTGCAGGGTCCACAGCTCCCTAATGCTGGGCCATGGACGAGTTAAACCACACATTTACAATGAGCCACTAGTGAAAACAAGAAGCATAAGGAACCCTGAGAATAAAATACAAACTAGCAAGGATCAAATCTGCCTCAAAATTATCTGTACCCACTCTCTAAGTCACGTCTATTAATCAAAACCTTCCCATTGCAGATCACTATTTCTCTGATTCTTTAAATGTTAAAAGGAAAAACAATTTACAGTAAAATGTATAACCAAATTAGCTTTTTATATATTAAGAATAAAAATCACTATTTATAATATATATATGGAGAAGTGCTTACAAATATCAGCCTGGAATGTTGTCTTCTACCTCATTATTTGGCAACAAACTTTTTTAAGAACCAAAAAAAAGGAAGGAGAGAGAGAGAGGGAAAGAGAGAGAGAGAGAGGGAAAGAGAGAGAGAGAAGAGGAAAGGAAAGGAAAGGAAAGGAAGAATAGAGAGGGAGGGAGAGAGGAAGTGGGCAAAGATGGGAGGGAGGGAAAAGGAAGGGAGGGGGGAGGGAAGGGAAGAGAAGGGCAGAGAGGAGGGGAGGGGAGGGGAGGGGAGGGAGACAGGGAGAGAGACAGCGAGAGAAGAAAGGAGAGAAAAAGTGAATAAACAAGTTTGGCTTTCTTTAGCCTCAAATGCAAAACTTTCAAACAGAATGTCATTTTATGCCTACTTTTCATTACAGGATATATCATTAAATTTCAGTCTGTCTCTTAATATATAATCTGTCTAAATAACTAAACATAAAGTAATAGATCATTCTTGAATTTTTGGACAAATAATGATTTTTTATTCACTACATAATTAACTCAAAATAAATTAAACAGCAAGTACCCTTGTTAAAGGGGGAAAGTAAAAATCTTTTTCATATATCATGAATATTAATAATGACAAAGTTAAAATGAATTTTATAATACAGCTATGAATAATTCATTGATCTACAACTGAGTTTGTACAATCACTTATTTGTTCTATACGATGTGAAAATGAGGAAATGGCCTAAGTTCCTGTGAAAGGGACCCTACAGTCCCAAACTGAAGAGCAGGGAGTGTCACCCCTGAAGCTGCAGTCCTTCCTTGCTGCCACGCTATCTGATGTGCCCAGGTGTTGTGGCTGGCCATGAGATGACAGATAGAAGTTTGTTAGTTTAGTTCGTCTTTGGTTCACTCATGAAATTGAGCAAACTTCAGTTCCACACATGCTCTATGTCTGCAGTGGGCCCAGTTCTGGGGTTTAGAATCTAATGGGCTCTGTCCCCTGCCCTGACGAGCTCGTGGTGGGGTTGGGGTGCCGCTTAGGAGATCTACAGTTACAGCATGGTATGCTAAATTCTCTGACAGAGTCAAGAGAAAACCATAACACAAGATGTGTTGCAGCCTCCAAAGCTTCCTACAAAACTCTTTCTAGGAAACCCACCACATTTTCAGTGACAGTCATCCGTTTATAATTATTTATCTATAGAACAATTTTTCTCTGTACTGAGGCCTTTCCTTATTCTTTCTTTTTTTAACTGCGATGATTCTGAAAGGTGAAGAGCCTACGACGCAGACATAATTAAGGACTTTCAGAGAGAAATTTTTCATAGAAATGTCACCCATGCATTGTGTGCCCCCTGCCGAACTGCAGTCCTGCGTCCGTTTGTGCTTTGGTGCAAGGCCTTTGGCAGGGACTGTGTGGAGAACTCACTGCATGCATGTCCACCCTCAGTGGGGATGAAGTGCCGCCAGCACTGGGCAATGCACCTGGTTCCAGGGGGCTCTGCTCATCAACACAAACGGAAAGTGAGACCATTGGGTGCTTCCTGCGGTGCTGTGAGACCGCCGCCGGGTGCTTACTATGGTGCCACGAGACCGTCGGGTGCTTACTGCGGTGCCCTGCATGTTTTGTGTTGCATGGGACAAGATGGCATGTGCTTTCATGGAAAGTCACTGGAAATAATAAAACAATCCTGCGAAAAGCAGTTGCGACCCCGTTGATGCCCTCACCCAGAGTAAGAAGCTGGGATGCTATGGCCACTGCAGGCCCACTCAGCCAGGCACCCTTTGTTCAGAGAAATGGGAACGGCCATTCAGTTCCCGCCAGTGTGGGTGACACGCAGACCTTTTGAGGAATAACAAGACCACTGTGTCTATAAGACTGAGTGAATTCTTCCTTCTCTCAAACAGCAGACATGACCCAATTGTCCTTGAGTTTATATAAACTGCAGTCACACTTAGGTATGGTTTCAATTCATATTCCACTTGAAGGTAGTAAGATCTATAGTTTTGTTGCCCCCATATGAATGAACACTTTCTTTAATCATCCTCAATCGCTTCTAAATATTGAGGGAATCCTGGGCAGAAACATACTAGAGTGGAAACAAGACACAGATGTCACTGAGAAGGAGCCTCACATCCCTGGGCTCATCTCTGAAGTAAGAGAATCATACCTGAACTGTCCTCCCCACAGGGGATGATGAAAACCCAAGAGAATAATGGATTTAAAATCATTTTGCAGAATGTTAATATGCCACTTTTACTACTGTTATCATTCCCCAGTGTTAGAAAAAAGACTTACTTAAAATGTTTTTACCTAATAAATTAGTGTTTATTCATTTATTTATTCATTCAGCATAAATTTGTTGATCATTAGTGTGTGCCAGGCACAATTCTAGACTCTTGTGATTTACAAATAAGTTAGATAGCAAAGTGTCTACCATAATGGAATGTAGCTTTTCCGTGGGGAAAGACAGAACATGAATGCATAAACAGGTATATACACACACATAATCCACAAGGGAAAATTGATGAATTGGATGTCACTAAAATTAAAACTTTTGCTCTACAAAACACTCTGTTAAGACAACGAAAAGACAAGCAACAAGGTAGCAAAAATACTTAGAAATCAAATATTCATCAAAGAACTAGTATCTAGAATATACAATGAAATCTCAAATTCAACGATTTAAAACAATGTAGTAAGAAAATGGGCAAAAGACATGGGCAGATAGTTCACTAAAGATGAAATTTAAATGTACATGAAAAGATATTTAATTCCATCAACTATTAGGCAAATGCCAGTTAAAACCATGATGAGCTGTCACTACATACCTAGAATGAGTGACATAAAACACAAAGAAAACACCAAATTTTGACTAAGACAATGAGAAACTGAATCACTGGTACATTGATCGAGGCAAAGTGAAATGGTATAGCCACTCACACCAGTTTGGCGTTTTCTTTTAAAGCTAGCCATGTAATTGCTGTATGACCCAGCTATCCCACTCTCAGGCATTAATCCCAGAGAGATGGAAATGTACATTCACAGTAAAACCTGCACACACATCTTTACAGAAGCTTTATTCATGGTAGCCAAAAACTGGAAATAGCCCAGATGGCCTCCAGAGCATGAAGAGTTAAACTGTGTACAGCCATGCCATGGAATACTACTCAGCCATTAGAAAGAATAAACTATTGATACAACCCAGATGGAAGCTCCAGAGAATTATGCTGAATAAGAAAAGCCAATCTGCAAGGTTTGCACAGTGTATGACTTCATTTATAGAACGTTCTTGAAATAACAAAACGACAGGAAACACTGATGAGTGGTTGCCAGGAGTTCAGGGTAGGAGAGTTGGCTCTGAAAGGGAAGGAATATGGGTGTGGCTCTGAAAGGAAAGAGGCTGGGCTTGGTTATGAAAAAAGATGGTGGGGGTGGCTATGTGCAGGGCAGAAGTGGGCGTGGCTATTAATTGGAAGGGGGATGGACGTGGCAATGAAAGACAATGGGGTGGTCATGGTTATGAAAGGAAAAGGATGGGCGTGGCTCTGAACAGGAAAAGGGTGAGTGTGGCTATGAAAGGGAAAGGAGTGAACTTGGTGATGAACAGGAAGAGGCTGGGCGTGGCTGTGAAAGGGCAGGGAGTGGGCGTGGTGATGAACAGGAAAAGGCTGGGCGTGGCTATGAAAGGGAAGAGGGTGGACTTGGTGATGAAAGGGCAGGATGTGGGCGGGGCTATAAAAGGACACAGAGGAACTCTTGCTCCTTCGGTGATAGTTATCTGCATGTTGACTGTGGTCATAGACACAGAAACCTACACTGGTGCTAAAATCGCATGCACATATATGAACACAAGAGAAGTAGGAAATCTGGACATCGGTGGGAGGAATCAATGTCGTTCTGCCTGTATGTGCTATGGTTCTGCAAAATGTTGTCATTGGCGGACACTGAGACGGGTGCATGGGATCTCTGTATTCTTTCTTCCAGCTGCATGTGAATCTACAGTTACCTCAAAACAGTTTAAAACCAAAATCTGTGTGATATAATCCCAGATAATGACAAATGCCGTAAAGAAAAACCCACTCATTCTCATTTGGGAGATTAGAGGAAGGGTGGATGAGGAGAAAGGCCAGCAAAACTTTGGCTGAGAACAGAGTGTGACTGAGAGCCCCAAGGAGCTTCCGCCTGGCTGCTGTTATTTTTGTTTTGCAGCTAAGCTGCCTGCTAAACATGCCGTTTAAGAGTTCATCCTGGGAATTCCATTACCAGTGATCACAAGCAGCATCTGTGACAGGGAACTGTGAGCAGCCAGAACCGTGGGTGCATATTCCTTCCTACCGCACCTGAAGAACTGGGAAAAGGAGGTCACTGACTCACTCACTCCTTACCTAATTGTTCTGTGAATCTTTACCTAGTGAGGACCTATTGTTAAAAGCACACTGTAGTTGGATGGATGGATGGATGGACGGATGGATGTGCACACACATTTAGTAAGCAGCAGCATCATATACCCTGCAAGGGCATTTAGCCTATAGTTCATTTGTCAGTGGCTTTTAAATCTACATCTCATAAATTACTCCCAGACGGGAATGCATCTTGGAACAAAGGTAGTCTCACCTCCAGCAATTACTCTAACTCCCCTTCCTCCAAGAGGGGTTCTCATGTTTGTGAGGGTGTGTCCTCACGCCTGGAGAGCCTGAGGGACCCAGGAAAGGAGCCAGGAGCACCCAAACTGGAGTATTTGGACAAGCAGCCCTGATGAGAGGCTGAAGGTGCTTTGCTGTTTCACCTGGGAATGGGAAGGGCACTCCTGACTCCATGATTTGTGAATGTGCGCCTGGAGAACAGAGCACGCTCCAAATAAAACCTTTCATTTTGTCCACAAAATTCTGTTTTGTAGATACTTATCACTTTAATGAAAAACCTGTCCCTCTCCTGACAATGATCAGTCATATCTGCCGTTGAGGCACTGGGACTGCGGCTGCTCCCACAGGAATGGCCTGATGGTCTCCAGGTCTTCCTCCTTGTTACCTTTTGTGAACACTGAAGAATAGAAAAAACACTTTTCCCAAAACAACGATGGACAACACGATGAATCTATAGAACATGCTAACAAGCTTAAAGTGATAGAGATGAATTTTTAGGATTACCAGTAGAGTAAGTCATTGTGTAAATTAACGTAATAATATTTTATGAAAGCAAAATATTATGATTGTTTTAAGCATAGTACTGGCAATATATTAGAGTGGCTTTGATTATTAATGTCCAATCCTACTATTTCTCAATCACTTGTTTTGCTTTATGTTGGTTTGTTTATAAGATTTATTTAAATTTGTCTATTTTTTGTCTTTCAAATGGTGAGAATTAACTTGCATTTTTATAAAACCACTATGTCGAATACCATTCCAACCTTTCTTAGTCAATTTAGTAAGTAATAGCTCAGAATGTGTTGGAAATAACTGTGCCTACTATATAAACATTAATCACAGAAGTTTATGCATAAGCCCCATTTTAAACACTATTTGGATGTTGCTTTATAGCTATAACAAATAAAAAATTTTAAATTATTACCCAAGATGTTGCATTTTGTTTTGCTTTTTAATTAATAACATGCTCTTGTAAAATCTTTTATGTGGAAATCACAACTTATTTGCTATCCTTTGAACTGAGAAGGACAAAAATACAAACACACATGACAACCCGCTGATGATATAAGCTATGAAATACATGTGCAGATACATCCCGTATGCTTCTGTAATTTGTTTCTACACATTTTGTAGTCTTAATACTTTGTAGACTCAATCATAAAAATGACTCTTTCCCTTAGTTTTATAAGAATATAGTTTTGTGTATTTTTTATATTACAAAGAGTAATTTCATTAATTTTCTTAAAAGGTTTTTCTATAAGGAATGATTTATTGGAAATTAATTGGGTGTGATACGAGGTTGTTGTCACCACCATCCCTCTCATCTTATCTCCATGCATCTCATCATCTCTTGTGTCTCATCTCCATGCATCTCATTTCCATGTATCTCATCTCCATGTGTTCATAATCTCCATGCATCTCACCATCTCCATGTGTCTCATCTTCATGCTTCTCACCTCCATGCACCTCATCTCCATACCTCTCATCATCTCTGTGTGTTCCATCTCCATGTGTCTCATCATCTCTTGTGTCTCATCTTCATGCATCTCATTTCCATGTATCTCATCTCCATGTGCTCATGATGTGTCTTGTCATCTCCATACATCTCATCATATCCATGTGTCTCATCATCTTTATGCTTCTCACCTCCATGCACCTCATCTCCGTATCTCTCATCATCTCTGTGTGTTCCATCTCCATGTGTCTTATCATCTCTTGTGTCTCATCTCCATGTGTCTCATCTCCGTGTGTTTCATCTGCATCTGTCTCATCTCCACGTGTCTTATCATCCCCATGGATCTCATCTCTGTGTCTCATTATCTCCATGTGTCTCCATATGTCTCATCATCCCCATGCGTCTCTATGATCTCACCTCTGAGTGTTTCATCTCCATGTGCTTCATCATCCCCATGTGTCTTATGGTCTCTGTGTATTTCATCTCCATGTGTCTCATCTCCTAGTGTTTCATGTCCATGCATCTCATCATCTCCATGTGTCTCATCTCCATTTGTGTCATCATCCCCATGCATCTCATCTCTGTATGTCTCATCATCTCCATGTGTCTGTGCACCCAGCGTGGCCTCATTGCCTACTTGCAGCAGATGCATTAAAGACCTGACAATCACGTCCCTCAAGTAGAGTTTTGCTTTTACTGTGAATATCAGCCTCATTATTCTGCCTTTTTGTTCTTCTCTAGAGTGGCCACATCTGGTGGAAGAAGAAAAAAATGTAGTTATTGAATTCAATCAAGTGTTTGCATCTTTCAAGCTATCAACAAAATTCCATCAAGAAAGGTTCCAGTTGGTCTCACAGACGTATGGATATCCGAGGAGCCACCTAAAGGTGAGGAACTCTATGTGGTATTAATATTTTAAGCTTTACATGCAGACAGGTGTTTTGCATATTTACCTTAAAATATGTTACTTTGAAAAGGCATAAATATAGGTTTGTGAATGAAGCAGCATTTTATTTGATAAAGAATACAACACCTCTTGCTTTTAATAAACAATTCAATATAAAGTCAGAATGTGTAATCTCTTGGTAAACATAGACTCAAGTAGCCTTCTGTTATCTAGTTATAACATCACCCAAAAGAAGAATTGATAAGCATACTAATAGGCCTGGTTCACCTTTCAGCAGTCATAGAGAAGCTCCCTTGTACAAAGCCCCTTTAAAATCAGATCCCTGTGTCCATTATTAGTTCTATTTTGGGATATTTTATATTTGAGGAAATTAAGAAGGTCATTAATTAGGGCCTGTTTTGCATTGCCTAGGGTTCCTGTAGGTTTCTGTCAGTTACTGTTGACAAACGTCCCTTGCTGCCACTGTGGGCTCTGGGAGTCATGCTTCTTGAAAAACTTCAGGTTATGGCCTTTTGTTTTCAAAATAATTGTAAAATACATATAACATGAAATTTACCATTTTTACAGTTTTCAAATGTGCAATTAGTGATATCAAGTGTATTCACATAGTGGTGCAATGGTCACCACCTGCCGTCTTCAGAACTTTTTCGTTCCCTAACTGAAACCCTGTCCCCGTTAAACACTACCTCCCCAGGCCTCCCCCACACTCTCTGGGTCCCAGCATTCTGCTTTCTCTCTCTGTGAATATGACCACTAGTCTTACCTCATGTGAGTGGCATTGTACGGTATCTGTTCTTTTGTGACTGCTCTCTTTCACTTAGCATAATGCCCTCAACATCCAGCCATGTCGTAGAATGGGTCAGAGCATCCTTCCTTTCTAAGGCTGAATAATAGTCCACTGTACATCTGTCAGTGGACACGTGTGCTGCCTCCACCTTTCAGCTACTGTGAATTATGCTCCTATTAGCTTGAGTGTAGAAATATATATCTGAGTCCCTGATTTCACATTTCCTGAGCATCAACCCAGAAGTGGAATTGCTGGATCATGTAGATCATATTTTATTTTTAATTTGTTCAGGAAATGCCACTCTTTTCAATAGTGGCTGCACCATAAAGTGGTGCATTATCGCCACAGTTCACAAGGATTCCAATTTCTCCATATCCAGGCCAACACTTAACTCTTTCCTGTGGTTTTCTTTTTTAAAAATAATAGATATCCTGATGGATGTGAAGTGGCATCCTATTGTGGTTTTGATTTGCATTTCCCTCATTATTAGTGGTGTTAAGCATCTTTCCATGTGTTTATGGGACATTTGCATGTCTTCTTTGGAGAAATGTCTAAGTCCTTTGCCTTAATCAGTTATTTGTTTTTGAGTTGTAGGAATTCTTATATATTATAGATATTAGCTCCTTATCATATATATGATTTGCAAATATCTTCTGCTGTTTCATGGGTTGCCTTTCACTTTGTTGGTAGTGTCCCTTGACACACAAACATTTCGTTGTTTTAAGTTTTGATGTTGCCCAATTTAGACATTTTTTTAACCTATACTTTGGGTATCATATCCAATCAATCATTGCCAAATCCAATGTCAGGAAGCTGATCCTTCCTATTTTCTTCTAAGAGTTTTATAGCTTTAGCCTCTGTGTTTAAGTTGCTAACCCATTTGGAGTTAATTTTTCTTTTTACAGGTTTAAGGTAATGTTATAACTTTATTCTTTTGCATGTGGGTATACTCTGTGTGTTGAAAAGACTGTCCTTGCTCCAATAAATGGTTATGGCACCCTTGTCAAAAATCATTTGACCGTATATGCAAGAATTTATTTCTGGGTTCTCTATTCTGTTCTACTGGTCTGTTTCTCTGTCTTTATGCCAGTACCACACTATTTTGATTACAGTAGCTTTGTTGTAAGTTTTCAAATCAGAAAGTATGAAATTTCTAACTATGTTCTTTTTCAATATAGTTTTGGCTATTTGGGGATCTCTTAACATTTACGAATCTTGCAATATATTTATTTTTGAAAAAAAAATGACCTTAAGATTTTGAGAGGGATTGCACTGAATTTGTAGATCATATGGCTAAGTTTCTTAATGAGACAGAAACAGGGTTTCTTATATTTTCTGGTAATGAATTTCTATATGCAATTTAAGCGTGTACCATGACCTTATTTCTGTTTGGAAAGAAAAAGTTCAGATTTTTACCTAGTTTTTCTGACCCTGGTATGATTAGTAATGAGCAATTACATAAGAATATCAAATATAAAGTTTTCTAAAATCTTCCCCAAAGATGAAGATGTTGTGTCTGTTTAGTTTCTTAAAAACTCAGCTTTGTTTTTAAGGCTTAATTCTCTAGCAGTAATTTTGAAGGCTTTGTTCTCTAGTAGTAATTTCTTAGGTAGAAAGTCAACAATGGCATGGGATGTTCCACCTAATCTCAGTGATTGAAGATACGCTGGTGTCCAGCGGTTCATTGCTGGACATGTTTCCTGGGCCGTATTAGGTACTCAGTCACATCTCAATGAATCCACAGAGGTCTGTGCAGGCTGTTGAGGAGGACCCAGAAGAGATCTTAACTAGGAGCAGAGGAATCAAAGAGGACTTTGAAGAGCAGATCACCCCAAAAGTGGATCTTTAAAGATTAGTTTATTAGATGAATAAATCTGGAAATGGCTGACTTGAGAGAAGAAAAATACAAAACTTAGAGATGGGAAGCATCAAGTAATGGACGTGGAATACTATTCAGTTGTCACGTACAGCTGCATGTTAGGACAAAGGGCTTAGCTCCCCATGGCTTAGGTTTGGTGTTTATAAAATGAGCATGGGTACTGTCTGTGTTCTGTGGTCCATGAGAGACAGAATGGGGTGTGGTTCTATTTCTTACCCTATCAGATGGAACGTAGAACAGAATGGTCCTCTCTAAGAAGTTGCATACCTCCTCTCAGTCCTTGAAATTGATGACTACTTTCTTTCACTCATCTGCCTGCCATCCTTTCTACCCCCAAAGTTGGATGTTACTGTATTCAACTTTCTGAATTCAATTTTAGTAGCTGTTGTGCAGTTTGTCCAACTGTAGACTCCAGGAATTGTTCTGCTAGTCCTACCCTCAGATTACAACTCAGAATCAGAAACACTCAGATGGAAAGGCCCTTAGCACCACCGCCACGGCAAAGCAGCAGCTGTTGCACACAACCCCAAGTCCCGCTACCTTCTGCCGCTCTCAGCTCTTCCCTCCCCTGCAGTGCTCCCCCTACCATGTGTCATCTTTTCTGTCTGCAGCAGCTTAGCTTCCTTTAGCATCTCCACTTAAGAAGGACTTTGGGGCTTGATCTTATGGGAGAAATAAAAATGCCATAGAACAAGATTTAGATTTAGGGCATTTTTCTGTCCTCGTGTGTCCCAATTAGCCACTGTGATTGCTGAGCCGTGAACACCTGTGGCGCCTCCGCAGCTGGTGCTCTAGGAAATCCAATTTCCCCTGAACCAGAGCCCAAAGAGAAAATCACACTCTGCATCCAATTTCCATGCTAAAGACTGTCCTTAAAATAAAATCAATATCTGTTTCCCGAAAAACTACATGAATTGTGTTCTGAATGGTGACTATTTTAAAGAAAAGCATATCGTGTCCAGAAGGAGAAATCTGCTGAAATAGCTCCAACTCTGTAAATCTATATTCTTTGACCCTTTGAAAGAAATATATTTAAAACAGTGAGCAAATGTCATCAGGTAGTCCTGAAACTGCCAGCGATCACTTGTTTTTGGGCAAATCTCTACAAAAAATTTGTTCTTTTTTTTGTAAAACAGAAGTAAATGGTCAAGTGAGATGGATATCATGAACCTAATGTAAACTACAAAAGATGATAATAGCTGCTAATCATTTATTAAGCATCCACTCTGTACCAAGCTTGGTTCTAAAAGTGCCACTCACCATGTCTCATTTCATCGTCAAAAAACCCCCTATGAAGTTAGTACTATATACATATTTATATATATATATATACACACACACACACGTATATAAGTTTATTTTCACAATACTGATAAAGACATGCCTGGGACTGGGCAACTTATGAAGAAAAAGAGGTTTAATGGACTCACAGTTCCACATGGCTGAGGAGGCCTCACAATCATGGCAGAAGGCGAAAGCCATGTCTTAACTGGCGGCAGGCAAGAGAGAAATGAGGACCAAGTGAAAGGGGAAACCTCTTATAAAACCATCAGATCTCATGAGACTTATTCACTACCATGAGAACAGTATGGGGGAAGCTTTCCCCATGATTCATTTATCTCCCACTGGTCCCTCCCACAACATGTGGGAATTATGGGAGCTACAATTCAAGATGAGATTTGGGTGAGGACACAGACCCAAACCTTGTCTATCTGTCTATTTATCTATCTATCTATATTCATAATTTATGTTAGGAGAAAATTAATATACAGAGAAGTTAAATAATTTGTCTAACATTACACAGTTAATAAATGACACAGATGGGATTCAAATTTATGTAGGCATTTTAACTTCCAAGCCAATGTTGTTAACTACTGTGAACTCACTCTACTATCTCTACAAAGCCATATGCAGGTATTATACATTATTATTCTTGTGTCTCTCTGATAACCGTGTATAATATATATCACTTGTGTGCATAGATAATGTACTATGTGTATATACACACAGAGAACTTGTGGAACTGCTAGGTTGCTACCAAATCAAATTGTTTTGCTTTAATGACTCAGTGCCGTTAATATAACTTTATAGTCATCATCCTCATACATGTTTCCCCAGAAAGCAACCAAATAATTTTGAGTCTTGCTTTGTCAAGATCCTCCTTAACTCATGGAATAATGCTTTTCAATTGTTTTCAGAGTGATTCATTTGTGTTGCTTCTATCATAATTGTTATGATTTCATTAAAACAATGTTTATTGCAATGTGATGTTATAAAATATTATGGATAGTTAAAAATAAATAAAATTGTTTGAGCTTTTATTTTTCTGGACTGTAGTTTAAGAAATAGTAGAAATTTGCATTTCTCATGACTTGTGTTATCAAAGTCACAGGCCACCACCCTGTAGGAGAGTAGGATGCCAAACTACTGATCCCTGTCCTCCTATTCCGGAGTGTGGTGGAAACTGCAAATCATGGCATCTCCTTCCTCCTAACTGAGGACAATTACCTGAAGTCAGGCGACACCCTGATGGAAGCAAAGTTGGAAAATAGGATATGTGGTTCAGGACCATGGACCGCTTAGGGGGATTCAGATCTAAGGGGCAGTCAGATATTGTCAAGGGATTTAGACACCAGGGGTCCACCTAGGAGGATGGGAGGCAGGAGATTGCCAGAGATGAGTTTCTCTTTGCTTTGCTGAGAGTCCTGCTGTAGTTAGTGGAGTCAGCGCATGGACCACCTACCTCTGGTGTGTGGCACAGCCTTATAGGTCCTTCTGGGGGCTGTGTGAGCTGAGAGGTCCCAGCGGTGTCAGGTGCCCCACAGGTCCATGGAAGCTTCACACAAATGGATTTTCCACAAGAGAATTTCTAAGCTTGAATGCCCTTGTTTCCATTTCCCCTTGGAACAGAAGTAGGAAACTTTCTAAGCCTGAAGTTGTCAAGCAAGCACGACATTTTGCTGGAGCTACACAAATTCACATAAATCTCAGGAAGAGGTATCAGTTTCTGACCTCATCAGAATTCTTTTATAAGTTTTATTTTATTTTTTTTCTGGTCAGGGCAGAAGGGATTGGAAGACCGTGGAGTGGGCTAAAGTGGTTCCTCAGATTACTGGTACTAATGGTTTTGAATATCAGACTGCATCAGGCTCTATCCCCGCTTCACAAAATGAGAAGCAGTAACACGGATGGAGGAGGTGCTTGGTGCACAGTGTCTGCATTAAAGCCGGGTCTGTGCCTCCAACAAGCTCACAGTCCAAGGTCTGACACACTCCACAGTTTATGGACAGCCCCATGTCTTGAAGGAGGTACCTCTACAAATTCCCTGGAGACAATTTTTCTTCTAGAAGCCTGGAAAGAAATTTGTGTTCTGCAGCCTTTGCTGGGAAATGGTACTGTGGTGGTTTAAGCTGGATACTTTGTTCACTGTTTCGTATTTTCTCCTTAGTAGTAGTTTACATTATTTCCTTGAGTTCTAATTTTAAAAAGATTATATACCATCATATTCATAAAAATTTACTATTGTTAGTATGTTTGGAGAAGCATATCCTATTTAAATAACTAGCAGCATCTTCCATTTAAGCTTGTTGTATGTAGACTTCGTTGTCTGCTTAGATCAATCATCCTTCTTAAATGTAGTTAGCCAAATTTTTATCATGAAAAATCGGTGTTGAGCTTTTAAATTTTCTTCCAAAAATAGAAATGTGTGAGTTTATTCAATATGCTAAGCCTCATACAATGTATCTCCCAGAGAATATTAATGTTTAGTAATACATAATCTTTCTTTTCACTTGTGAAGGAGAATTCTCATGTACCCACATTCCATAGAAGGTTCTAGAATGGCCACTGGGGGTACACTTTGTTAGGAGGAGCAATTCGCAGATGTATCATTTTCATTAGTCTTGTGGACAAAATTCTAATTTGACCAGGATAAAAATCATGTTAGCGTTAATATCATAGGTATCTTTCATAAATAAATAAATCCAGCGTAAAATCTATGGGTGGGAATTAATAGAATATGGCCAAGTGAAATGAAGAGCATATTTAGGTCCATGTAAGACATTAAACTTAAACATAGATACTGCAGAAATGAAATGAATAAATCTTGCTGAGTCAAAAGAACGTTCAAGACAATGTAGAAAGGTGGAAATTTTAGTGCAGGTATTGTTTTAATATTGTACTAATAAATAAGAAATTACTTCATTAAAATATAGCATAAATGGGTAAACGTAGTGGCGTATTAGCATATTAAATTTAACAAATAAAAATATTAACTAAAAATGGGCAAAGGATATGGAAGACAATTCAGAGGAGATAAAAATGAATTTGACATCAGAAAAGCTGCTCAAACTCATGACACCATAACTTCCAAGTGGAGTCACTAAGTCATGGCTTTCTTTCCCTCTCAGTGGACAGTAGACAGGCAGGCTGATAGCAAAGTATTGAAAAGTATGGGTTATAGAAAATAATTAGCAATATCAATGAAGCTCAGAAAGGGTGTATCCTCTGTACTAGTAATTCCACTTCTAGATATTTAGTGTACAAATATTTACACACAGGAGAGCAAAGTAGCATTTATAAATAGACAGCCAGTGCAGAAGCCAAGAGCATGACCTCTGACCACACCTGCAAGAACCAAGTGTGGCTTCACCCGGGACGAGCTACTGGTCTCTACCTGCTGTGGTTTCCTTTTCTGTATGCCAGGAATAATCACAGTATTTATACCTAAGACAGTTGTGGTAAAAATTGATTGAATGAGTGAAAATGGCACTTGTCACTTAGCAAGCATTTTTGTATTAGAAATGTTGGCTATTTTTATTGCATTCATTACAAGTCTTGTTTATAAGAACAAGATTCTGGAAACAAATATTCATCCATAGGAGACTGGTGAAATAAATCATGCTATATTCATGTAATGGAGCATGATAAATTTGCTTTTTTAATGAAGGAGATTATATAAACCTAGCCCAAGATATAATATTAAACAAAATGTACAGGGTGAAAAAACCATGCATGTAATGTTATGATTTGTGTATTATAAAAAGCATGTATGTATACGTAGATGCTTGTCAGTGCATTGGACTTCAGAGGAAGACCACAGGACAGGTTGTCTCAGAGGGAAGGAATTAGGTGCCTGGGGGGAGAAAAATTGCTTTTCATAGTATATCTCTTGAAGCTTTAAGAATGCTGTGCCATGCATATGTGCATTCCTTTTTAAAATAAATTATTCATGTTTATATTCACCACATATTCACGGAGAGACCATGTGCAAGTCAATGTGTTGAATCTGAAAAGGGTCCCAAAGATACAGAAGACGACAGCGGCCCTGGAGGAGCTAAGGACCCCACAGCAGGTCAGGATGTGCACCCTGGGGATGTAGCTAAGACAGACCCATGGAGGACCACAGGGAGGGAGGGTTAGAGCCATATCATTGGTGGCAAACATAGGGACACCAGGCCCTTGGAAAGAAGAAAGTTGGCCTGGAGATCCAAATAGCTTTATTGAATTTGAGAGAATAGTGTGGAAAGAATCTTCCACCAGCTGAGCAAAGGCACTGAGGCAGAAAAATATAGGTCCTGTGTGAGAAAAAGGCAATTTGTCTAATTTCTAATGCATTCACAGTACAACTACATGAGCAGAGGATAGGGAAATTGGGACATTTCATTGCTGGGAACTTATTTAAAATGCTTTGCATGCTCTCTTAAGAAAAAATAAATAAAATATGAGAGGGGTGAGCAAAAGAGGATCCCATCCACAGGCTATGAGGTTATTCATTTTATTTTTCTAATACAGTTTCATGAGCAGGTGGGTGGTTTTGATGATGCTCTATGAATTATTCAAAGCACTTGCAGACAGGAGTTTTGGCCCCTGCATGGCTCTGCAGGGACACCCCTCCCAGAGCCTCTCCCACCAGGCCTGCTGCAGGAGGCTTGCTGTTTCAGCACCTTAAGGAAGGGCAGGCAAAATCAATCGCAGTGCAGCAGTCTGCCTGCAAGAAGCCTGCCCCAGAAACTGTGATATCTGCACAGTGATGGATGAGGCTCATATCCTTGTCATTTCATGGGAGATTTACATGCATAACTCTCATTAGTGCTAATGGGAGTTTCTTGCATAAATCTTACATGCAGGAAGGTGAGAAAAACACAGTTTTCTTTTATTCCTCATAGACTTTCTGTTCAAGCCTTCATTCCTTCAGTGTGGGGGCTGCCCTTGGTCTATTATCAGGTACCTTGCACTTAAACTGCCATTGCTCCTCATTTACATGGAAATGGACCATAAACAGGGTTCTGAACTCACATGTTTAAACACCTCCTACTTGTGCCATCATCCTTGCAAGCACAGATATCCAATTAGTGCAACTGATCCAACAAATTTCCATGTGTCAGTTGTACCTGCTGTGAATGTCATTCTGTTCAGTGATAACAGGGCTTGCATCCCAAAATAGAGGTAGGGGTTGAGGCATCGGGAACACGGAGTCCTTGTTGTGAGCTGAATTATTTTTAAAGTGACTACAGACACCAATCGCTTTTAAAGTGCTGGCCTGTATACGAAACCAGGGTTGGGTTTTGGGGGAAGAAGGCTAGCCATGGCCCCCATCGCCCAATCACCATCTCTCCCCAAGATGGTTAATCATGGGTCCGTTTATACTATCAACGCAAATATTTAGAAAGACCTAGAGTCATTTCAAAGAAGACGTCTAAGATTCTAAGAAGGCTTTGTCTCAGGCTGCATCTAAGAGGAGAGACTCTAGCATTTTCAAAAGCCCGTTGCAGAGTTTTGTGCTGTGGTTCGAATGCATGTCATTTTCTTGTCCCATTGTACCACGATCAGAACTTCTGGGTGTCTGTTGCTGGGATGCAGGGAGTGTTGGTGCAGGAATTTGATACTCTATGGGCACACCATATCTGCATTTGCAACTTTACGCTTATGTAACTGCTGATAAAAGTTTATCTTGATAACTTCAGATATAGTTAGCTGTGACTGAGAGTGATGAGTGTGGTGTATCGTGACAGAAAGACTTTAATTGTAACTAAAATTGTGCAATGATTTATAGACAAGTATGAACAGTAGGTACTGTCTTGCCATTGTATATATCTATTTGTGTATGGCTAACATGGGAGTGCACAGGGACCTGTATCTGAGTAAGCCAAGACAGGTTAACAGAACATGTATGTACATTAATAGGAAAAGAGAAATAATAACACAACCACTGTAAAACATTCACCCAGAAAACTAATACTTTAATCAGTTAAATTAAAAATGAAAGAAAAGTACCTTTTGAACTCTCTCCTTACTCATTTTTTTTCAAAAAACAAATGTCTGTTTGATTGAATTCATCTCTGTCAGCCAAAATGATAAAAATCGTGTCTTCTCTCTAATCCATCAAATTCTCCATCAGTCAAAATTTTGCCTTATGTTTAATAGAGATTATTTGTAAATTAATATTTATTTTAGTCATGGTATGAACAATTTGAGAAGTTTTTATGTACCATATTCATGCATTCATTCACTCATTCAACAGATATTCCTGGGTTCCTCCAGGGTAGCAGGCCTGCTCCTGATGTGGGCAGCACTGGAGGGAGCAAAATAAAGATGCCACCCCTGAGCTCAGGGCAAGGAAGGGGGTGAAGGGAGCCAGTCACCCATGAGTAAGACATGGACCCATTGGGGGAGGAGGCCACACAGACAGTGGGCACAGCTCTTTCAAGATGTCTTGCAGGAGTGTCCAGGAAAGAATGGAAGGGGAACTGGAGGCAGTTGTGGCCGGGACTGTCCCAGGGGAGAAAGCACCGCGTTTATGAACTTGGAATAATGTAATTAAGTTAACAAACACATTGTAGGGTGTGGCTGCAATGTACAATGACTTTGTGTGGTTCTGAGGCCCCTTTTAATTTCTGCCATTGGTGAGAACTGATAACAACATAACAAGAAATTTCATGGCATTCCCATTGTAATTTACTGTTAATCGAAGGTAATATACTAGAACAAGGTTTCTGGAAAATAAATGAATTGTGTGACTACATTTAATACAAGGGACTAGGTGGCCGAGGCAGGGGTCAGGGATTGAGGGCTCAAGAGTCCTCAATTTTGGAGGAATCATCCACAGGGCATAGAAGCCATCAGGAATCTTTGCAGAGTGATTTTGGACATGATAGCTGTGAACCAGGGGCTGAAACCCTCAAAGAACGTGGGTGAGGTCCCCGGGCTTGGGGCCACATCAGGGTGTCGCTTTGAGTCTTAGATGAACTGAGCTTCACAGCTGACAAGTTTTAGGGAAACAGAGGAAGACTGGTCCAGAGTCCAAGAGCACACGTGCCACCCCCGGTGCAGTGCTGCTGGCACCAGGTGAGGGCTGCCGGAGCCAGTGTTGGGAAGACCCTGCCTGCAGGGAAGAGCAGGGGGGAAGGGCAGAGGGGAGAGAACATGGGCCTGGGAGGCTATCGCCTGCTGTCATGACATCAAGAATGAGGACAGGTGTGGTGAGAGCTGGATGCATGCCGGGCGTTTGAGGCTTAGAGACGAAGGGCAGATGCCTTGCTTTGGGAACAGATAGAGCAGAGCAAAGACCACATAGTGGCTCCAACCTCAGGGTGGGTGACAGGGAGGCCGGGACCATTGGTGCAGGGACAGGGCCTTTGTGTGGTTCTGAGGCCCTTTTAAATTTCTGCCAATGGTGAGACCTGATAACAACATAACAAGAAATTTCATGGCATTCCCATTGTAATTTACTATTAATTGAAGGTAATATATTAGAACAAGGTTTCTAGAAAATAAGTAAATTAGTGTGACTGAATTTAATACACATAGCATTGCGACTTTGAGCATGGAAATAATATAATTGCTTAGGATTAATAAATATGCTCCGTATCACAAGGCTTATTTGAAATTGTTTGCATTTGTCAGGGTTCTTCAGAGATCCACTCAAAGTTGCAAGACAGATGCTCTTCAATTTATGGTGGGACAACTCCCTAACAAACCCAGCAGAAGTAAAAAATCTCATAGTTGAAAATGCATTTAATCCACATAACCTGCCAAATGTGATAGCTTAGTCTCACCTGCCTTAAACTTGCCCAGAAGATTCGTATCAGCCTACAGATGGGCAGAATCATCTGGAGACAGAGTCCATCTTAGAGCATCTGGGGTTCATCCTCAGGATTGCGGGGCTGCCTTTGAGCTGCCCAGCCCCTCGAGAGGGTGCCCTTCCCTTGCCACTGAATGTCTCTGGCTTTAAACAGACTTACAAGAAGCAGGAGACACTCTGTGCTATCTACCGTCTTGAAAACAAAACTCTACTTCTAAGATTAGCTTAAAGATGATTTTTTTGGTAAAAGAGCTAGGGGTGTGGAGAGATGCTCCACAAAACTATTTCTTTATGGGACTTAGATTTGTAGTACAATCTCACTGGAAGGAAGAAACTTTTCTACAGAGAATCTTTGAGTTCAAAGGTTCTGTATATGATGGTTAAAGTAGGAAGATGGTTGTTATTAAAGATTTTGGCTAGATACAGCTGCAGATGTCTGACTTTAAAACCATCTGCTTAAGCTGCAAGATAGAGGTACCAGGCCCTTCCCTTCTTTCCGGAAAATCCATAATGAAACCAGAGAAATTTGCCTCCGGTGAGCAAGCAGAGGCAAAGGTCCTCCTGGGGCCGGCCATGGGGGACGGGCTCCTTCTGCAGGGAGGGAGATACCTCCAAACACTCTCTGCCCCAGAAGCATGAGGAGCTGGAACAGAAAATTTTTCTGATGTTTGGTCATTTGATAAGAGACAAAGAATATCTTTGTAAAACGAAAAGTAAATATAGCATGACCCAATCTGCAATTAATTCCAATTCAGCTTGCAAAGCACTGAGCAGCTCTTGGGCGGCTACTCTGAGTAGACCAAGACCCAGCAGGGTTCCAACTTCTCTCTCCCCCAGTAGCTTCCCATCTAGAAGGTGAACTTTTTCAAGGGAAAGAAGGCAATTTCCTTCAAGTAAAACACTTCATGTTGGATTTGCAATTGACCTTGACAAGACTCAAATGTGGCGATTTCACAATCTTCATCAGCTTTCATTAATAGTACAATTATGCCATATAATTTAACTTCCACCTTTCCCCAAAGCTGTAACTTAATTCAAAAGTTCAAGTTACCTCAAGCAAAATTATTAATGCACCAGTAATATATTTTTATATTTATCTGCTAAGTAACATTTTTCTGGATAAAATGTCAGGTAGTTTGCAATTTTACGTAAACACATTTTTATAAACAAATGTATCTTTCCAGAAAAGGCAGTGTAATAAAAGAAATTATTTTTCACCATGAGTTGTCCTGTTTCTCTTTTTGCCTTATTTGAGTGTTCCTATTTTTCTGCTTTCTAAGCACATTGGTTACTATGGAGATGGTGTCAGAATTAGCAATTTCAACAAATGCAAGTAGAAAAGTAGAAACCAGTTAATTATAGTTTTTTAACCTCAAATTGATATAATAATAAATGAAATTTTAAAAAATACACTTAATAAAACTACTTTTACTTCAAACTTTTAAATAATTACCCCCAAAATGACCAGCCCCCAACAATGATCCATTCTTCAGAAATTGACCAAAAAATTAAATATTGATGCTTTTTCCAAAATATCACATGTTCGTAATTTTCCCTGAAGAGTGGCCAAGTGTCTAATTATAAGGGCATATTTCAATTTCCATCCAGAACTTAAAAATGTGGATAACAAATTTACTTATAATTAATTTTCCTGCCTGAAAAGTAATTTCCAGCTGCATATGATAAATACACATTGCTCTACGAGGGAACTTCTGGAACGGGGACACCCTGGGTTTGGTCAGGGGGTCGCCTGCACCAGAGCCTCACACTGACTCCACAGAGCAGACATTCTCAGAATCGAGTTTTAAAGATTAATCTGCATGGATGATTTCTGTCCCTCCCTAGTTCCAAACTTTCCATCCTGTAGCCAAGGAAACTTGTCATAAGGACAGGCTGGATATGTACATTGCATGTACAAGAATGTATTGGGCACACGTAGAAATTCAGTCACTTATCAAGAATCCAGAGTACACGTGTGCTCAGCACAGTGTCAAGTGCTGAGGACACATCACTAGTTTCCAAATATACAGCCCTAGGAGGATTATTAAACCAGAACACCAGGACAAATGAAATGAGACTGAAATAGTAGCCCTGACACATATCGCCAGCTGTGATCAGCACATATTAAGATGGATTCCTAAATGCTGAGGGGATGTTGTGCAAGAGTCCATTCCTAGCTTCATTTCCCTTTCGCAGGCCCTCACGCATACACCTGTAGGCATGCCCTTTCTATGACTCTATCACGTGTTGTCCCTGCCTGTTTGTCATGTCTGTGTTCCCTTAGCCACCTCGCTTCTTGCAGCCAGGCATGAATAAGGGTCTCCTGGTTTGATCCATCTCACACACTTATACCTGCAGCCATTCCACGTGGAAGAGTCTTCCTGGCTCCTTCCCAAGTGTCATGTCCCTAGTCACACTCCGCTGAGTAAATTTTAAATGGAGGAAGCATGAGCGGGCTGATGCAGGCATGCCTGTGTGAGCTCAACTTCTATGCCCAAATGAACTCATCCTATTCCTCATCAAAACCCATCACCAGTCTTCTGTTAAAGTTGTCTATCTTTGATTTTGTTGATGGGTGGAGAACCTGTGACGTTCAAAGTCATATCCATTCTTTATCGTCTATCATGTTTTTCCTGAGCAATTCACACCTTTTCACCTTCATAAATTCACCTTTGAACATTCCTGCAAATGGTAAACTTCCCTAACAGTCAGGAAACGGAGGTTCTGACTAATTTACTAATTTATTGAACTGAAGATTTGTCCATAGACTACATACATCAAGGTCATATGTAGATTTTTTTTTTTTTGAAAGTGGGTCTCATTCTGTTGCCCTGGCTGGAGTGCAGTGGTGCAATCATAGCGCACTGTAGCCTCAAATTTCTGGGCCCAAGCGATCCTCCCACCAGGGCCTCCTGAGTAGCTGAGACTACAGGTGCCAGTCACCATGCCTAGACATAGGTAGAATGTTTATAAAATAGTCATTGTGAGATTGTGAGGGTCAAATACCACAATACATGTGAGAGAGTGTTGTGAACCATAATGTCCCCATGATTATTCCTTATCAATATTGGGGAAAATGCGCTCCGTGAGATTCTGTTCATTCCCCCGGTGCTTGCTGACTGCCTTCCATGTGCCAGTGCTGTTCCACGTACCGGGAAATTAGCCACATAACACAAGGAGCTAGAGGTGACAGTGCCTCATCGGCAGAGAGGGTGGTCAGTGGCTAAACAGTCACAACCCAGTGTGCCAGGGCTGTGGCGAAAGGAGCCACGAACACCGAGGAGGAGGGACCAGACCCTAGGGGAGGCCCTGGAAAGAGTGATGCCTGAACATAAGAAGGGCTGAGTTCAGAGAAGGGTGAGGGAGCTGCACATATGGGGAGCTGGGGTGTGGGTTCAGGATGGCTGATGTCCAGCAGGGAAGAGGGTGTGTGAGGGACAGCTGGACACATCAACCAGGGCCTCACCACCTGTGACCTTTCCACATGCCAGGGAGTTCGGATTGGGTTCCAGAGTGTACTGGAACCCACTAAAAAAAAAATTCTAAGCAAACAAGCAACGTCACATTACTTCTGACTGATGACTACACATAAAAAATCGATTTGAAGGGGAGATATTTGGTGGCAGGAACAGCAACTAGGATATGCTACAGAAATATTGACAAATAAACATGGCGTCCAGACAAGATGAGCCGAACTGGGCCAGTGGAGAGACGCCAGGGAGGCAGCGCTGGCCAACCATTGAGTAATGGTTGAAGGAGGGTGGTGATGGCAGGAAGGAGAAGTCAGGGGAATCCAAGCACCTGGCTTGATGTTAGATCTGATGGTGTCATTCACTGATGTGGGGAGAAGATAATGGGGTCACCTGAGAACAGGGTGAGATTCTACTCAACCAAAGACACACTTAAAATTGTATAATGTTGGATTTAAAAGACAACCCCAAACTCTAGCTATGGAATCCAGTTATAATAAAATAATAGTGATAAAAAGGGGCATGATTTCTAACAAAGTCAATCTTAAACAGTGCAGGCCATTCTAATAGTCCCGTGAGAGGCACACATCATAAAATAATGCCGTTTAATTCAGCGAGCACGTATTGTAGTCCCGGTCCTATTGCTCAGGTTTCTGTCCAAATGAACCCATGCTACGTCTGCATGGAATGCAAAGTTCACCAAGACATAGCTCCTCCTCTCAAAGAGTTTATAACCTAGTAAGAAAAGCAAGACATGGACACAACACAAGTGTTCATCCAGGCTGTGCAGAGTCGGTGCTGGGAGTTAGGGGAGGTTACACAGTGATTTGAGGATTCAAAACTATAGTTTTGAATGTATAGTTTTGAAAACTGTATATTTTGAAAAACTGTAGTTTTGAATATATAGTTTGAAGTGTGTAGGGGGTTTTTTTTTTGTTTTTTTGTTTTTTTGGGGGGGTTTTGTTTTGTTTTGTTTTGTTTTTGAGACGGAGTCTGGCTCTGTCTCCCAGGCTGGAGTGCAAGTGGCACAATCTTGGCTCACTGCAACCTCCACCTCCCGGGCTCAAGTGATTCTCCTGACTCAGCCTCCCAAGTAGCTGAGATTACAGGCATGCACCACCATGACCAGCTAGTTTTTGTATTTTTAGTAGAGATGGGGTTTCGCCATGTTGGCCAGGCTGGTCTTAAACTCCTGACTTCATATGATCTGGCCACCTTGGCTTCCCAAGGTGCTGGGATTACAGGCATGAGCCGCCGTCCCTGGCCCAAAGCTACAGTTTAAAAAAAAAAAAAAAATCAACTGAATCTGATTACTTGTTTTCCTGGACAAGAGAACCACCATCATAACTGGAGAAATAAATGATTTCAAGTCTCATTAGCAACAGCAATACCCCAAAGGGCGTCTCAGCCATGCTCTGTGCTGGGTGATAGAGATTCAATGGGAAATAACGTGGGCACTTTCCCAGTTACCGTAGAACTTAGAAAGGTTGGCAGAAACCAACAGACAGACACATAAAACAATTGCATGTTGTAATAAGAATATCGTGCAGGCAGCAAACAGTGTGGTGAGGAACAAACGAGATGGCAAATTTAGTCTAAGTGGAGTGATTTGGAACTGCTTTTCCAAGGAAAACCACAGCTAGGCTGAGGCTTAAAGTAAAGGAGTCAGCCCTAAGCGGGGGGACTATTTCAGGCAGAGGGAACAGGAAGGACCCTCGGACACTGCTGAGCCAGGTGTATTGGGAGAACCAAGGGATGCCTCTGTTGTTGCATCACTCACTGGCTGGCATCAGGGAACAAAATGAGACCAGAGACCAAGGAAGGAGCCATGTCCTGCAGGGCCTGGTGACAGGCACAATGAGTCTTAAATTGAAGTGTGGTGGAAGCTACTGGTGACTGCAAAACAAAAGGCTGCCAGGGACATGTTTATGTCTTAAGTTTGATGCTTAAACAGATTGGAGATTTGAATGCCAAGGTGCTGGAATGGCAGTGGAGAAACCAATTAGAAAGCAGCTGCATTAGTCAGGTGAGCGATGATGTAGCTCAGACTATGATCATTGCATTGATCAACAAAAAAGAATTCAAGATATGTTTTGAAGATAAAATCATAAAGACTCAGTGATATGGGGGACTGAGAGGAAGGAAGACTGAAGCGTGGCTGCCGAGTTTCTGCCATGAGGAGCTGTGTGGATGGGATTCTATTGCCTGGAAAAGAAGACATCAGAGAGTGGAGATTGTGGGGAGAAGTTACGAGCTCTCTTCTGCACCCGCATTGGAGGGTGGAGATTGTGGGGAGAAGTTAGGAGCTCTCTTCTGCACCCGCATTGGAGGGTGGAGATTGTGGGGAGAAGTTAGGAGCTCTCTTCTGCACCCGCATTGGAGGGTGGAGATTGTTGGGGAGAAGTTAGGAGCTCTCTTCTGCACCCGCATTGGAGGGTGGAGATTGTTGGGGAGAAGTTAGGAGCTCTCTTCTGCACCCGCATTGGAGGGTGGAGATTGTGGGGAGAAGTTAGGAGCTCTCTTCTGCACCCGCATTGGAGGGTGGAGATTGTTGGGGAGAAGTTAGGAGCTCTCTTCTGCACCCGCATTGGAGGGTGGAGATTGTTGGGGAGAAGTTAGGAGCTCTCTTCTGCACCCGCATTGGAGGGTGGAGATTGTGGGGAGAAGTTAGGAGCTCTCTTCTGCACCCGCATTGGAGGGTGGAGATTGTTGGGGAGAAGTTAGGAGCTCTCTTCTGCACCCGCATTGGAGGATGGAGATTGTTGGGGAGAAGTTAGGAGCTCTCTTCTGCACCCGCATTGGAGGGTGGAGATTGTTGGGGAGAAGTTAGGAGCTCTCTTCTGCACCCGCATTGGAGGGTGGAGATTGTTGGGGAGAAGTTAGGAGCTCTCTTCTGCACCCGCATTGGAGGGTGGAGATTGTGGGGAGAAGTTAGGAGCTCTCTTCTGCACCCGCATTGGAGGGTGGAGATTGTTGGGGAGAAGTTAGGAGCTCTCTTCTGCACCCACATTGGAGGGGGGAGATTGTGGGGAGAAGTTAGGAGCTCTCTTCTGCACCCGCATTGGAGGGTGGAGATTGTTGGGGAGAAGTTAGGAGCTCTCTTCTGCACCCGCATTGGAGGGTGGAGATTGTTGGGGAGAAGTTAGGAGCTCTCTTCTGCACCCGCATTGGAGGGTGGAGATTGTTGGGGAGAAGTTAGGAGCTCTCTTCTGCACCCGCATTGGAGGGTGGAGATTGTTGGGGAGAAGTTAGGAGCTCTCTTCTGCACCCGCATTGGAGGGTGGAGATTGTTGGGGAGAAGTTAGGAGCTCTCTTCTGCACCCACATTGGAGGGTGGAGATTGTTGGGGAGAAGTTAGGAGCTCTCTTCTGCACCCGCATTGGAGGGTGGAGATTGTTGGGGAGAAGTTAGGAGCTCTCTTCTGCACCCGCATTGGAGGGTGGAGATTGTGGGGAGAAGTTAGGAGCTCTCTTCTGCACCCGCATTGGAGGGTGGAGATGGTTGGGGAGAAGTTAGGAGCTCTCTTCTGCACCCGCATTGGAGGGTGGAGATGGTTGGGGAGAAGTTAGGAGCTCTCTTCTGCACCCGCATTGGAGGGTGGAGATTGTTGGGGAGAAGTTAGGAGCTCTCTTCTGCACCCGCATTGGAGGGTGGAGATTGTTGGGGAGAAGTTAGGAGCTCTCTTCTGCACCCGCATTGGAGGGTGGAGATTGTGGGGAGAAGTTAGGAGCTCTCTTCTGCACCCGCATTGGAGGGTGGAGATTGTTGGGGAGAAGTTAGGAGCTCTCTTCTGCACCCGCATTGGAGGGTGGAGATTGTGGGGAGAAGTTAGGAGCTCTCTTCTGCACCCGCATTGGAGGGTGGAGATTGTTGGGGAGAAGTTAGGAGCTCTCTTCTGCACCCGCATTGGAGGGTGGAGATTGTGGGGAGAAGTTAGGAGCTCTCTTCTGCACCCGCATTGGAGGGTGGAGATTGTGGGGAGAAGTTAGGAGCTCTCTTCTGCACCCGCATTGGAGGGTGGAGATTGTGGGGAGAAGTTAGGAGCTCTCTTCTGCACCCGCATTGGAGGGTGGAGATTGTTGGGGAGAAGTTAGGAGCTCTCTTCTGCACCCGCATTGGAGGGTGGAGATTGTGGGGAGAAGTTAGGAGCTCTCTTCTGCACCCGCATTGGAGGGTGGAGATTGTGGGGAGAAGTTAGGAGCTCTCTTCTGCACCCGCATTGGAGGGTGGAGATTGTTGGGGAGAAGTTAGGAGCTCTCTTCTGCACCCGCATTGGAGGGTGGAGATTGTTGGGGAGAAGTTAGGAGCTCTCTTCTGCACCCGCATTGGAGGGTGGAGATTGTTGGGGAGAAGTTAGGAGCTCTCTTCTGCACCCGCATTGGAGGGTGGAGATTGTTGGGGAGAAGTTAGGAGCTCTCTTCTGCACCCGCATTGGGAGGGTGGAGATTATGGGGAGAAGTTAGGAGCTCTCTTCTGCACCCGCATGAAGTTGTGGGTGTTCATAGAGATGCCGAGTCGGCTGGACATAACTTTGAGGATATGCCTGAATTGTGTCGATACCGACGTTTTCTGCTTAGCTCCTTTCCCTTCAATGTCCCTACGACTTACTAACCAGCTTCTTAATCAATAGGGATTTAATGAGAAAAATGAAGTGACCTGTGTACAGTAACGAAGCTACTTAGTCTGGAGTCTGGAGAGAACCCAGGCCCCTAACTCCCACCCTGGCATGTTTTCATTTCTTAGGTTCTGGAAATTCAAGTGCATTTATTTGTCGGAATTGAGCTGACCCTCTCTGTAATGCACCCCTTCTCATTACCATGACTTGACTCTAGAGTGAAATGCACCTGGGATGTGGGAAAGCATGTGGCATCGCAGCCCCACCACAGAAGCTCCTGACAAGGGCACAGCCAAGGCACAGTGCCATCCTGTCCCCAGGGGCCGTTGGGGCTGCTCCAGGCACCATGTCCTTCAAACATGTCTGAATGGGGACAAAACAGCTGGGGATTGCCAATCACCGTCCCTGGAGAGTTGATTTAATAGATTCCCCTACTCCACCCACCTCTATTAGAATGTAATGACCTCAAATCAAATTTCGTGAGCAAGGTGAAACCCAGATTTTTTTTTTTTAATGTTTGTTCCTGATTTCACCTTCACATATTGCAGAATGATTTTCCTCTTAAAGCCAAAGTTCTTTTCAGGGAGTAGCATTGTAAGTAGACTAACCTGGCGTGCCCCCAGGTCCCATCCTGAGTTCTGCCTCGTTGCCATAGGATGAGAGGCACTGGCGAGCGGTGTGTATAAGGCCCTCCTTCTCGAATCTGCTCTGGGCCACAGGATGAGAGGCACTGGCGAGGGGTATGTGTAAGGCCCTCCTTCTGGAATCTGCTCTGGGCCACAGGATGAGAGGCACTGGCGAGGGTGTGTGTAAGGCCCTCCTTCTAGAATCTGCTCTGGGCCACAGGATGAGAGGCACTGGCGAGGGGTGTGTGTAAGGCCCTCCATCTAGAATCTGCTCTGGGCGACAGGATGAGAGGCACTGGCAAGGGGTGTGTGTAAGGCCCTCCTTCTAGAATCTGCTCTGGGCCACAGGGTGAGAGGCACGGGCGAGGGGTGTGGGGTGTGTGTAAGGCCCTCCTTCTAGAATCTGCTCTGGGCCACAGGATGAGAGGCACTGGCGAGGGGTGTGTGTAAGGCCCTCCTTCTAGAATCTGCTCTGGGCCACAAGATGAGAGGCACTGGCGAGGGGGTGTGTATAAGGCACTCCTTCTAGAATCTGCTCTGGGCCACAGGGTGAGAGGCACTGGCGAGGGGTGTGTATAAGGCCCTCCTTCTAGAATCTGCTCTGGGTCACAGGATGAGAGACATGGGCGAGGGTTGTATAAGGCCCTCCTTCTAGAATCTGCTCTGGGCCACAGGATGAGAGGCACTGGCGAGGGTGTGTGTAAGGCCCTCCTTCTAGAATCTGCTCTGGGCCACAGGATGAGAGGCACTGGCGACGGGTGTGTGTATAAGGCCCTCCTTCTAGAATCTGCTCTGGGCCACAGGATGAGAGGCACTTGCGAGGGGTGTGTGTAAGGCCCTCCTTCTAGAATCTGCTCTGGGCCACAGGATGAGAGGCACTTGCGAGGGGTGTGTGTAAGGCCCTCCTTCTAGAATCTTCTCTGGGCCGCAGGATGAGAGGCACTGGGGAGGGATGTGTGTAAGGCCCTCCTTCTAGAATCTTCTCTGGGCCACAGGATGAGAGGCACTGGGGAGGGGTGTGTGTAAGGCCCTCCTTCTAGAATCTGCTCTGGGCCACAGGATGAGAGGCACTGGCGAGGGTGTGTGTAAGGCCCTCCTTCTAGAATCTGCTCTGGGCCACAGGATGAGAGGCACTGGCGACGGGTGTGTGTATAAGGCCCTCCTTCTAGAATCTGCTCTGGGCCACAGGATGAGAGGCACTGGGGAGGGATGTGTGTAAGGCCCTCCTTCTAGAATCTGCTCTGGGCCACAGGATGAGAGGCACTGGCGAGGGTGTGTGTAAGGCCCTCCTTCTAGAATCTGCTCTGGGCCACAGGATGAGAGGCACTGGCAACGGGTGTGTGTATAAGGCCCTCCTTCTAGAATCTGCTCTGGGCCACAGGATGAGAGGCACTGGCGAGGGGTGTGTGTAAGGCCCTCCTTCTAGAATCTGCTCTGGGCCACAGGATGAGAGGTACTGGCGAGGGGTGTGTATAAGGCCCTCGTTCTAGAATCTGCTCTCGGCCACAGGATGAGAGACATTGGCGAGGGGTGTATATAAGGCCCTTCTTCTAGAATCTGCTCTGAGCCACAGGATGAGAGGCACTGGCGAGGGTGTGTGTATAAGGCCCTCCTTCTAGAATCTGCTCTCGGTCACAGGATGAGAGGCACTGGCGAGGGGTGTGTGTAAGGCCCTCCTTCTAGAATCTGCTCTGGGCCACAGGATGAGAGGCACTGGCGAGGGGTGTGTATAAGGCCCTCCTTCTCGAATCTGCTCTGGGCGACAGGATGAGAGGCATTGGTGAGGGGGTGTGTATAAGGCCCTCCTTCTAGAATCTGCTCTGGGCCACAGGATGAGAGGCACTGGTGAGGGGTGTGTGTAAGGCCCTCCTTCTAGAATCTGCTCTGGGCCACAGGATGAGAGGCACTGGCGAGGGGTGTGTGTAAGGCCCTCCTTCTAGAATCTGCTCTGGGCCACAGGATGAGAGGCACTTGGGAGGGGTGTGTATAAGGCCCTCCTTCTAGAATCTGCTTTGGGCCACAGGATGAGAGGCACTGGCGAGGGGTGTGTATAAGGCCCTCCTTCTAGAATCTGCTCTGGGCCACAGGATGAGAGGCACTTGGGAGGGGTGTGTATAAGGCCCTCCTTCTACAATCTGCTCTGGCAGCTTTGCTGTTTGACCATGGGAAAACCCACTTCATCTCTCCAGTTAACTAGACCTTATCTGACACTCCATCCTGAGCACCTCTCCCAGCCCTCTTTCATGCAAGCTTGCCTGTGGCTTCATTTCCGTATCACAGCCACTGTGAATTCAGAAAGATTTTGGACAGCTCTGAGCATCCAAGGTGCCCTGAATCCCAGTGATGTTGACATGCCACATCTCTAAAATGTGCAGAGAAATAAATTTTAACTTCTGAAGTTAAAGAGTTGTTTTGCTGAAATTAGAGTAAACATGCTGTTTTTGGAGCTGGTGATGAAGGGTGCATAATTTCAGAAAGCTGTCATGCACACGCTTAATACAAACGCAAAATAAGTATGTCCTCACAATGTGAGAAACCAGAAACTAATGCTTTAGACAAAATTTAATACGGACTTTATTAAAACCCGAATCAATTTTAAGAAGTGAAAAACAATTAGACTGAGTATATATGAGCACCAAATTTTACAGTCATTCTAGTTAGAAGTCAAAATAGGACCACTGGCTGCACAACTAAAATGATTACACATCATATCAGTGTGGGCTGAGACATAATTCCTTGTCACCTGTATTGTACTTACAGGCAGGTTTTACCAAATTAACAAATTTGGTCTCAGGAAACTATTGAAGAAAACTGCATTTGTCACTCTTTCATAATTTGTAAGGATATACATTCAGCTTACACATACATTTCTAGTAAAACCAAAAATAAAGTATCTAAAATTGACATGTTTAAATTATAATGAAGTCAACTGCTTTCTCTTATTTTTAAAAAATCTTAATCACTCATTACAATAGCTGGCAAATAATAGGCATTCAATTTTATTTAGAGAATAAAAGAGTATACACATAACAAATGAACGAATGAATGATAGTTAAGAATCAGATGCTTTAGAGACAAAACAGGAATCTAAATTTAAAACTTCACTTATATTTAAAACTCCTGCCTGTAATCCCAGCACTTTGGGAGGCTGAGGCGGGTGGATCATGAGGTCAGGAGATCGAGACCATCCCGGCTAACATGTTGAAACCCCGTCTCTATTAAAAATACAAAAAATTAGCCAGGCGTGGTAGCATACGCCTGTAGTCCCAGCTACTCGGGAGGCTGAGGCAGGAGAATCACTTGAACCCAGGAGGCACAGGTTGCAGTGAGCTGAGATCACACCATTGCACTCCAGCCTGGGCGACAGAGCAAGACTCCATCTTAAAAAACAAACAAACTAAACAAACAAACAAAAACAATTCCTCATGCCCATCACCAGGCTCTACAGGACATGCCTCCTTCCTTGGTCTCTGGTCTCATACTTTAAAATACACTAAATTGTACATTAGCCAGTTGTTGCTGTAACTGGAACTCTATAAGAAGGTAAATTATTCTCAGGAGCCCTTACATTACAGGTAAAAAAGTTATATAAATTATAAGATATGCAAATAAAAATGGCTAAATATTAGCTATTATTTTTTGACTTTGACAAATATGGTTTTGGTCCATATAGAATGATATGCAAACAATGATAAAATGCCAATAACTTTCTAAATTATATACAGACTTTTCAGTTAGTAATTTTGAAGGTAACATTGAATATATTTTCAGTGAAATACAACCTGGATTATTGTATGTACATAAACCTAATTTCAAATCCAAGTCATTTCATGTGTGGAAAGCTATACTGTGTGTGTGTGTGCAGATGTCTGTATCTGTCATATGCACATCGATACGGCTTTGCTGTGTCCCCACCCAAGTCTCACCTTAAATTGTAACAACCTGCAAGTGTCAAGGGTGGGACCAGGTGGAGATAATTGAATCATGGGAGTGGTTTCCCCCATACTGTTCTTGTGGTAGTGAATAACTCTCATGAGATCTGATGGTTTTATAAATGGGAGTTCCCCTGCACAAGCTCTCTTGCCTGCCGCCATGTAAGACGTGACTTTGCTCTTTCTTCATCTTCCGCCATGATTGTGAGGCCTCCCCAGCCATGTGGAACTGTGAGTCCATTAAACCTCTTTCCTTTATAATTACCCAGTCTTGGGTATGTCTTTATTAGCAGCATGCGAATGGATGAATACACACAGGCATACACATGTGTATGGACATGAATATGTTAGACAGTCACGAATGTCATTCACTAGTCACTTTAGCCCAAATATTTGCCTTGTGTAATTATAGTTCAATAAAATATTACCTTTCTCTTTTTGATACATTTAGTCAGATTCTTTATTCTGAGTTGTTAATACCAAGATGCTAAACTGAAGCTTTTTAAAAAGTTCTGTAATACTTGAGTTTAAAAGAATTTTAAAAAGCATTCATCCTAGTACCTAATTTATAGTACGGATACCGAGGCTTAGAGAGACCAAGTGATTGTCTCAAAAAAGGTGTCCTTTAACCATCACTTCCTCACAGAAGCCCCCCAATGTGTCCCCCTCATTTTCCTGGTTATGATGTTCCCCTTCTGGGCCTCTTAACAACGAGTTAATGAATGTTTTTTCCTTTGCGTCTCCCATTGGATGGTAAGATCCTTGAAGACATAAAGTGCTTTGTCCTGATGTCCCTAGTTCCTGGCACACAGGATGGTTCCCAGGAAAAGTCTATTGAATCAATGAAAGATGGTTTTATTGACAAATCAATGTTTGTGGCCATGTCTCCAATACTAAGTCTGATCTTTATCTTATACCATACTCCTGACAAGAGCATATTTCAGAACCATGATGATAATTTTTGTCACCATACACAAAATATTACTTCATTTTTTTTAATTTCCTCTAAAATTCTCCTTTCAAGTGCAGAACTCAGACAAAATCTGTCATTTCAGTGTCTTGCAGAACCTTCATTTTCTTTTCCTACTCTGCCACTACATAGATTCCTAGCCTCCCTCTTGTCACTATCTGACCTTCAAAATGATAGGACTGTCGATCTACTATTCAGTCCCTTCAATTCTGCCCCCAAAGTTTCAATCCTGACACTGCTTTAGGCATAAGTGTAAGAGGTCCCTGGGCATGAACCCCACAATCCCACAGCCTCCTGCTCTTTCCACACCAGGCTCCTCCTGCAGAGCCTGAGCCTGGTTTGGGCTACGAGCATGTGCTCACTCCCTGACCAAGCTGATCGGTGCTGGCACCAAGCACTGTGCCAGACCCAGATGCTAGACCAAGGGGCCCATGCCCTTCATTCTTCCAGCATCTGCTCTGTGCTTGCCTGAAGGAGCAGGGCAAAGCATGAGTCAAAAGCTTATTGGCTAAGCATTGCAAAGTATTCAGGTAAGCATTGTTCTAGGTAACTCAGCATTATGACCCCACATGTGATAGAACTCACCTCTACAAGACAGCAAAATTGAATATGAGGAAGCATCCAAGCAGAAACAATAATAACACAGTGACATTCTTCAGTTTTACATTTGCTTATGGCTCCTGAGCTCTAAAGTAAAAATCACCTTAGCTGCCATGTATAATGAGCTTTCACTGCAGGAGCCCTTGGCCACTGACACCCTTTCTAAATTGGGCCACGCCACATCAAGCCAGGCTGGTCTGACCTTCCTCCCTTGATCACTCAGGCAGGTAAGACTCAGAGATGTCACCCAGGTGGCCCAGTATCGCCCAGTAATGGAAGCGCTAAGTTAATGAATGTAAACCCTTTGTTAGCTTTGCCAAATACCCTCTAACCAGCCTTTTAGTGGGTATTCTTTGGTCATTATATTGCATCTTTTCGTACATGATGTCATTTCTTAATTTGCATTTCTATGATACATTAGAATAATCAATTCATATTTGACAGCTAATTTTGTTGTGTAATCTTGACAACGCTATTCTACACGTTGGCTTATTTCCCAGAATCCGGTCAGTACATCATCCCCATGAATCCAAGAATGGCCGGGGGTCATCCGGCAGCGTCTGTGCCTTTCGCCAACCGAATCTCCCTTTCAGAGACCTTTGGTATCTTGTTCAGAACATGGACTGGCCCAGCTGTTGCCTGAGTTTAAGCCTGTGGTGGGCTACAACACAGAGTAGGGTGCTCCACGTGCAGCTGTTGCTGGGCTGGGCAGAGAGGTGCCTGGAAGCACTCACCAGCCGGGAGGGTGCTCTGCCTCCCGGGGTGGAGCTCTCCTGACTTCTGGCCAGCTCCAGATCCGGATCCGGATTCGGATCTCCCAGATGAGGCAGCTGCACCTGCCTCTCTCAGGGGCGGCTCAGTCTGTGGCGGCAGCGGCGATGGGGGGTTCACACTGAGGCAGCTGTGCACGGCTCATCTCTCTTCCTCTCCCCTTTTGCTGGAGGTGGCGAGGGGTCCAGGTGGAGCGATCCGATGTGCCCCCGCCTGGACGCTGCCCTTCTCTGGGCGTCACTTGGGGCTCTTGAGCTTTGTCCTGTGGGCTCCGCTGGTCGTGACGGGGCCCCACACTCAGAGAAAAGCACCCCGTGGCCCCAGGATAACCCCACAGAGGCGAGCCTTCCACTCCCGAGGAGAGGGGCAGGTTTTCTCAAGACCCGCCCTCCTGGTGTTGAGGGGCCCCGCACAAGGCTATGCCAGTGTTCAAGAACATTCCACCAGAAAGCACCCTGGGGTGGCTGACTCAGGAGTCCTCTGAGGAGCGGGCCCCGCCCTGGACGGAGAGGTTCCCTGTACCTCCCGGGCCTCGGGGAGGCAGGCAGAGGCCGCACTGGGCACCCCGCCCTCCTGCAGCGAACCTTGACCTGCAGAACAACCTCCACCACGGGCATTTCCTGTCCTAGGAAGCCAGCGAGGCCTGAGAAGCCGCTTTCTTACTAACGCACTGAGCTTGTAGTGGGTGGTGAGCAATTAGCTGGTTGGCTGCTATTGTTGGCGTGTGTTTAGCTGAGAGACAGCTTTCTGTCTGCGGAACAGTTGGGCCTCCCTCGGCCCGGGCCACCCCTGCTAGAATCCCTGCAGGGCTGCCAGGATCCACAGCTCGCAACCCAGACCCTCCAGTCTCCCTCCTGGGCACGGCCTTGGGACACCCGGTCTCTGAACCCTTCTCCTCAGTCTCCTCTGGTGCGGGCAGAGATGGGCCGGCCCCAGCAAACCTCTCACCCACGTCCCCCGCACACCCTTGTCACACAGTGGAGGGGACAGACTGGGGCCACGTCATATGGCATAGGGTGAAGCCGTAAAAATGTGTTTTTAAGTTTTAAGAGGTGTGTTTAATGGGGACAGTAACACCTAGGCCACAGTTTTATTATAATTGTTAAATAAAGCTTCAAGCCCTAGACCCCTAACTAGAGCATGGCACATGGTGGTACTGAGGGAAAGTCTGTTAAATGAACAATAACAGGACCAGGCAGCCAGGGCTGGCCCTGCTACTTTGAAGCACCGATTAGGAGGAGAACTTGGCACTGGATGTTTGGTTTTCTATTTCTTGCTGAAGCTCTGCCTTTGTCCCAATCAGGCACATGATTAGTTCAGATTTTGCTTTTGCTTCATGTATCTTGTTCTGAATATTGAGTTTGAGTATAATTGCAATAGGTCACACTACCTTTTTAAAAAATTCATTCAGTGTGCAGGTTTGGGAGCTGGGGGTGACAGGAATGTTATATGTAAATTTATGTAAATGAGTATGCTAATGTCCCTGTGTTCTTGCATTGTGTTTCGGTGAACGAGTCCCTTGTCACACTGTCACAGGTGAGTCCACCAGGGAGCTGGGTGCACCACACGTGCTCAGGAAGACTTGGGCGTATTGATGTCCCAGCTTAAAACAATCTGATTACTTTTCTCAAAGGATCTCAGAAGTTCCCCTACACTATTCCAGTGGAGGGGGAATATCACACACCACTTATCTCCCAACCTAGCTGTCTTTTTATGGGAAAATCACTCTGTATGTTTCTTACAGATGCTAATTTTAAAATTGACTTTGATTCAACAAGTATCATTTGCTGCTGTTTGGTGTGAAATACCAGACAAGATAAACACAGCACAGCCCTCACATTCAAGGACCCTGTAGACTGATAAACGGGAATCACAGTAGAGAGGGAGCTGGTATCCCCAGACCAGGAGGCTATGTGTAACTGTTTGTTCAGGGACTCACTCCGGGAGCTTGAGGAGAGCAAACCGAGGCGGGGCACGCTGCTGTGAGTTCCAACTGCTCTGTGAAGCCCAAGGCTTGGAGGCAGTGCTGTGGCCAACCTAGGGAAGAAGCAATGCCAGGGAGCCAGGGCCCCACGCCTCCTACCCTCCATCCAGGGCCCCTGAACTTCCATCTATATTGGGTTTGCCTATAAAATTAAAAACACAGAACATGTCCACAGTAAAAAAGAAAAAAATCACTGTACAAATGGTTCAGATGCAGTGGGGGCAATAAAAACAGACCCACGGGAGCCCAGTGAGATAGTACAGGCTGGGACAGTCAGGCCTGGGCACGGGCAGCTGTGGTGGGACAGGCGGAACGCGTCCACGCGGTGGGAGCTAAGTCAGAGCTAAGGCTGAAAAGATGCAGAAGCCCTGCAGTTGGTTGAAAATGAAAAGGACAGAGGGAAGACTCAAAGGTGATTTTCTGGTTGTAGGAAGCTGATTGAGAACACCTTGATGATATTGACAACAGGAGGAAGTCAGAATTGGTGGACTGCGGCTGGCTATGGAAGGATCTTAGGATGAGCTGTCACTGGGTGCCTGCGTGGGGAAAGTAGGCAGACACTGGAAATTTGGGAGTAGAAGCTTTGGTAGGAAAAAAACCAATGGCAACAACAAAGCCGGCCTGGATATAAAGCTTTATGAGTTGTTTAATTAGAGGTAGAAGTTAAATTCCTACAGTGAATGAAGTTGCCAAGGATGAAAGTAGAGGCTCAAGAACAGAATCTAGGAAACATTTTAATTTGGCAGAGGAAGGAATAGAAAGAGCAGCTTGGAAATTATCAAGTGAATTCTGTCAGCCACAAGGGGAGGGAATTTCAAGAGCAATGAAATGACCAAGCCAACCAAATGCCAGAAAGAGCAAGGCAGAACCAGAGTGTGCACCTGCACTGGGCGGGTTTGGGTGCTGTGTTATTTTGTTTGTTTTTTTAATTAATTTTGTTTCTAATCAACACATAGTAATTGTAAGAATAAGTTCTGGTGTTCTATTACCTTGCAGGCTGACGCTAGCTAATAATAATGTAGTATATATATTCCAAGACGCCTACAAGAGGGATCTTGAATGGGTGCCTTTTGAGAATTAATTTTAGTAAGAGTAGTGGCAGAAGGTAGATAAAATATGTTAATTTTTAGATTATAGTCAAGATAAAAAATTTCAGAATTATTTGAAATTGGCATTTGTTTTGAGAGAAGTATTTTAAAAATCAACGTAAAATATCTTCTCGGAAGAGAGTCCAAGTTTTCCAGATATAAAGAAAGCAAGCTGGCAAAGTAATTCTGCCCTAAATTTTTGTTTGAATTGAGGGGCTTTAAAATTGGGTAATTTCAAAGGTGCCTAATCCAGTGAACACCGCTCAATCTTATCACTGCATTATAGTTCTCTCAAAAGGAAGAGCCCACCCCAGAAAACACATTTTGCATTGATTTTAACGTTAATGCTTGAAAGAGTTCATGCCCACAGACAAACATTCTTCTGTATCAGAGGGCCACGTGGTCCAAGGCTGCGTCCCTGAGAAAGAGAAGAATTCACTTCGTCGAAGAGGAAGACTCGCTAGACAGCCTTTCCAGGTTGCTCCCCATCCAACTATTCAGTCCTCTATGTTGTTTGAAAAAAAAAAAAACAGCAAAAGCCTTGTGCCGCCAGGGCAGGGGAGCTGCTCCGAGTTCTGCCTCTGTGGGGTCCTTCAGGAGCCCGTGCTGGGAGCTTCCCGTCCACACCCACTGGATATTAGGCACTACCCAATCTGTTGGTGTAGGCTTATGCCAGCCTCCTGAAGTGGAGAGAGAGAGATTGCCCACACAATTTTGGGCGGAGCTCAGCCGAGTTCTTCACACACGCAGGCCAGCCAGAGGACCATCCACAGGCAACATCCAGGCAGCTCCTGGGAAACAGGCTGCCCCCTTCTCTAATGGACATTCTGTGCACAGCTGAGATGAACAGTTCATGCACGAGTCTATGCAGTCCAGCCCAACACTCCTCTGAGGGAGGCAGCTGGTGTCTAGGATTCGGTAAAGTGCCCACACTGGCCATAAAGGTGACTCAGGCCCCCACCCTGATGTCCCTTCCACCTCTACTCTTTTTTCTTTCCCATCAAGATGACCTCACAGTGTCTTTCCCTGGGGCGCAGTTTAAAATAGCCTGACTCACATCTACTCTGTTTCATTGACAAAGATGTGGGCAGCACACCTTTGTCAGTATCACAGGCTAACCCAACAAGTATCATGAAAGATGCTTTCTTTCCTAGATGGTGAAGAAAATTTACCCTCTCCTGGGCCATGTAGGTGAGTCCTGAATGTGACTGACATTTGACATGCTGGCCTCTGAGTATCTGTGGCCAGTTCTGAAAAGTAGTTATTTAAGATGAAACGCCTCCGCCAGTATTTGGTCGCAGGTAGGCAGGTGACCCGCCTTCCATCACATGTGCCTGAGTTGACCATATCAATTTGCAGGCTGTTGAATCATTGTTTTTGGAAAGATAAATACGGACAAAGAACTGACATTGTGCACCCACATATTGTGTACTTTTCTTTTTTTTTTTTTCAGAGCAGGAATGGAAGTGTATTAAAAAGCTTTAGAGCAGGAACGAAAGAAAGGAAAGTACACTTGGAAGAGGCCCAAGCGGGCATCTTGGAGGTCAAGTGCAGCATTTGACCTTTGACTTAGGGTGTTATCTGTTGGCATACTTCCAGACCGGAAAAGGTCTGTAGGTTAATAGATGGAACAGGAGAGGTTGAAATCTCTCTCAATACTTGTATCATCATTTAAAGGTAGAATTTGTGTATCCTTTTGTTTAAAAAAAATACCTAAAATTAATGCTGTGGAACTCTGAGCCTGCCAAGGAAAACACTGTCCCATAAAATAAGGGCATTTAAATTTGCATGAGAAGATGTTAACCAGCACAGAGGATGGACTGTAGCTTGTCAGACCACTTCGAGGTGGGTACCGGAGCTCTCTGGGACATGTGCTCCTAACCGTGAGGAGAGAGAAAGAATCCACTTGTACCCTGGCAGAAATCCCTCCCAATTTGGAAGGAATCCTGCATAGCCTCAGTAGATGTGTGCCTGTGGGGTTGCCATGGCGAAGTAAGGCCATATTTAACCAACATTCTGAGGTTATTCCTTTTACGAACAGTGTGCTGCACCCACTTGCCCGAGGGAAGTGCAGCAGACATACACAAGATGTCGTCCTTGCAGACTCCCGACCCTGAGATTTTTCAGCCCCTTTTGTGCTGGCTTACACTCAGGACATTTTGGAACTGCCACTTGTGTCAGTGACGTCTGCTGTGCAAGCATGATGTCTTGGTCACAGTGGCATCTCAGTAAACTTACACTTTTTTTTTTGTTTTTTGAGATGGAGTCTCGCTCTGTTGCCCAGGCTGGAGTGCAGTGGCACGATCTCGGCTCACTGCAAGCTCCGCCACCCGGGTTCACGCCATTCTCCTGCCTCAGCCTCCTGAGTAGCTGGGAGTACAGGCACCCACCACCACGCCTGGCTAATTTTTTGTATTTTTAGTAGAGACGGAGTTTCACCGTGTTAGCCAGGATGGTCTCAATCTCCTGACCTCGTGATCAGCCTGCCTTGGCCTCGCAAAGTGCAGGGATTTTAGGCGTGGGCCACCGCGCCCGGCTGGTAAACTTACACATTTAATGAATGCAAGTAAAAGTCATCTTCCTTGTCCTCTAAGTTTCTTAAGATCAGAAGGGCCCCAGATAAGTGAAAATATGACCCATGTCCTCATAAATGTTCTCCAATCGACCCTCACTCCTCACCACCTATTTTCCAGATAGAACAGAAAGGACTAGGCCCCAGAGGGCTGTTTAAACATAAGCTATGTCATTTGCTCCCTACATAAACCCTTTAAAAGCCTCCTGCCACTGCTAGAAATCAGCCTGGACATGTCTGGGGCATCAGCCTCCCATGTCAACCTTCCCCTGCCCACCTCCCACCTTACTCCACCCCTGCTCTCTGCAAATCCCAGGCCTCCTGTTTACTCCTTGAATCTGAATCCCTTTCTCCTGTACCTGTGCACCTGCTGTGTCCTCAGTCTGGGCCTTTCTTGGCTGGTTTCTCAGGCAGTAGGAACCCAATTATCACTTCTTTAGAAAAGCCTTTCACCCTCCTAAGCTCCCCACCCTTCTAAAGCAGCCCCTCCGGGAGACCGTCCAGCCAGCGTTGCCCGTGGTTCTCTTCTCAGGTGTCTGCCCATCGTCACTTACTAAGCAGAGAGGGACCCTGAGGACGCAGACTCACCTGTGCAGTTCACAGCCTTCTGCTGCAGGAGGGAAGGTCCTCGGTCTTCTGGAAGGAGCTGCTCAGAGGCAGCTGGGGTCCCTGGAGCTATGCTAACTGGGTCAGGTTCCTGTTTTACATCAATCCCAAATAAACTTTGGCTAATTAAAGATCTACATTTTGAAAATCAAATATATGCAAGGATTAGGAGAAAATCCTGGAGCCTGTCTTTTCCCTTAGAATAGGAAAAGCCTTCTTAGGTGCCACATACAACGTAGACATTACAAAAGACTGATGAATGTAAGTAGATCAAAGTTTAAAACTTAGGAACAAGAAAAGTTTGTAAACAAAGCCAAAAGACCAGCAGTAAACTGGGGGAACTATGATATGAAAAGATTAAGTATGCAGAGTGCATATAAACAATGTAATAAAGATGAAGGAAATAGCTACATCATAGAAGAGGAGGTAGACATGTCTAGGAACTACCTATTCTGACTCAGATAATCTGTCATACACAAATACACCATGAAATCAGCAGTCAAGTGAGATGTAACCCCACACTGGCAAATGTGTTCGTGAACGTGCGCCTTCCTGTGCTGAGGATAAATTCATGAGAACACTCTGAAGGGCGACTCCTTGGCATCTGGAAATTTTAAATAAATCTCTACCCTTGAGAAATATAGGTATGTGTGCATGAGAAAGAGACACATACAAACATTTTATTACAGTATTGAGTGTTTGGTGAAAAATAGGAAAAGAAACCCTGAATTTATATCAACACGTGATAGTTTTATAAACTGATTGTAGCTATACTATGGAATAACAGCCCCCACCAATCCTGACAATCAAGCTATAGCTAATTACACTGGCGGCTGGGCATGGTGGCTCACACCTGTAATCTCAGCACTTTGGGAGGCTGAGCTGGGCAGATTGCTAGAGCTCAGGAGTTCAAGAGCAGCCTAGACAACATGGTGAAACCTCGTCTCTACAAAAAATACAAAAATTAGCCGGGTGCAGTGGCGCACACCTGTAGTTTCACCTACTCGGGAGGCTGAGGTGGGAGGATCCCTTGAGCCCAGGAGGCAGAGGTTGCAGCGAGCTGAGATCTGCTACTGCACTCCAGCCTGGGTGACAGAGCATACCATATCAAAAAATAAATAAAATAATTACACTGGCATGTAAATGTTATCAACTCAAACTGAAAAAAAAATAGAAGAATATTTACAGTATAACATTTATGGTAAAAAATGAAGTAATTCTAGCATTTCCATATGTAGTAGGACTAAGGGTGTGGCAGCCTGTGTGTGAGGTTGCATGTGTGCATGCATGCATGTAGATACATGTAGAGCAAATATAGAAAAAACTAACAAAGGTGTTTGCCTGCATGGCAGAGAATGACATGGATCTAAAGGAACTTGAGTGTTATCCATGAAGTCTGAACCCCCCACACTGAGAATATATTTATGTATCACTTGAGATAAGTGGACTTGGGGTTAGGGCCTCTGGGCTTGGATACCAAATCTGTTCTCTTGTCTGAGTGGCCTTGGGCATTGTATAAGTCTGTTCTCATGCTGTTAATAAAGACATACCGAAGACTGAGTAATTATGAGGGAAAGAGGTTTAATTGACTCACAGTTCCACAAGGCTGAGGAGGCCTCGCAATCATGGCAGAAGGCAAGGAGGAATAAGTCACATCTCGCATGGTGGCAGGCAAGAGAGTGTGTGCAGGGGAATTCCCCTTTATAAAACCATCAAATCTTATCAGACTTACTCACTGTCACAAGAACAGCATGGGAAAGACTCGCCCGCCATGATTCAATTACCTCCCACCAGGTCCCTCCCACAACACATGAGAATTATGAGAGCTACAATTCAAGATGAGATTTGGGTGGGGACACAGCGAAACCATATCGGGCATGTTACTTGACCTTACATAAGTCACCAAATTAATTTCTTTTTGTGAGAAATGGAGATAAAGCTAAATTTACACAGAAGCCAGCATCTAGTATTGTACTAAGGTGGGAAGATATTTCTTACCCAAGTCAAAACCATCCTCTCCATCTGTCAACTCACAAATCAGCGGCTCCCCCAGCTCTATGTAATATGCCCACGTGAGTGTAGACAGGTGGAGAGCAGCCCTCCTTAGGAGGCGTTCTCTCTCTGGAACTCAAAAACGAAATGTAGGTGGTGTTGAGGAACTGCAGGGCCTCTTTCCCAGCCTCCTATACAAACATTGGGCTCACCTTTCTGGGGGAGTTGTTGATCTCTGCGTGAAACAGGAGAATCCATTGACCAAGTGGAGAGGACACAGTCCAAGTGTTCAGGCCCTGGATCCCCTGCTACTTCCTGAGGGTTTGAGGGTCTAATCACTCCTCAACTTTGCATTGCTTTGCAGCATGCACCATGCCATAAACGGCGGAGAGCAGGAAAGGCTGAATCCGATGAGCGGCCTGGCCGGGCCTCAATCTGACCCAATGTCTTCAAGATTCCCTCCTCCACAAAAGGAGCACTGGAGCACATGACCCAGTGAGAATCTTGCTCTTCATATTGGCCCATGGGTTGCTAAGTTACTAGTGACCAATGCAGGTCCTTCCATCCCTGTTCCTTTGTCTCTCCCTCTGCTCCTCTGTCTCTCCATGGCCACCATCCAGTGGGATGGCGGGAGGGCTCTGGGATGCACCAAACTCGACCTGCAACCCAAGGAGATGGCCAACTTCATCTTCTGCTATGACCTGAGTTAGTGTCTGAGGGCAGACAACAGACAGAGAAACAGACACTAGGCAAGAAGGTCTTATTCTGTCTGCCCTAGAATATTATTAAGTGAGGAAAAGAGAAAGAAAAATCAAACCTGCTTAGTGTCATCTGAGATTTTAAAAGTAGAGTCCACTTGCTTTGGGTCTATACTGTCTTCTTTATGCAGGCTTTACTCTTTTGAATCCATGTGGAAAATCAATTATGTACGTGTGTGCGTTTGTGTGTGTATAGGATAAAGGCACGAATAGTGAGAAATAAACTTAATTTTAAGAGTGTAGTGCTTGTGTACAAAACAGATACCTGCTTTCACTAGATTAACATGTTATTAATACTTTTAGGTGAAACAGGTACTTAAATAAAAACAACAAATTAAATCCTTAAAGGTCCAAAATTTTGAAAAATATAAAAGAAATTGAAATGCAGTCTCTGCCCCAGAAACCTAGCATTCACATACAGGAAGACAGTGAACACATAGCATCCCTTCTGTGTTTTGTTGGATTATAAGATGGATGGATGGATGGATGGATGGATGGAGGGATGGATGGTTAGATAGATAGATAGATAGGATTATACTTATAATTTTGCAACCTAAAGTATACTTTTTCAAAGTTACATCTTAAGTGCTTAAACATTGCTACAAAGTCTTCATAATACTTGTTTTACTTGGGGATGAAAGAGTTGTGTCTATTGGACCCTGGCTGTATGTTGTGTATTTTGTCATGTAATTCACCCAGACACCACACAGCAAGGTATTGTGACCTTCGCAGTATGAAGGGGGAACCTGCAACTTAGAGCAGGTAGATCCACAGTTGAAGGCACTGGCTGGAAGCCCATCTCTCAAGCTAGCTTCCTTTTTCAAATCAGAGGTCCTCTCGTCCATACTGGGACATGGACTTGTTATCAATCACAAAGCCCTTCCTATGCCATTGGGTAATTAGATTGTGTTCACAATTGTCTGTTCTCCTGAATAACTTTTGCAAACCTGAGAAGATGCAGAATGCTACAAAGGAAGGAGGTTAGTTGATGTCAGGTGAGTGCAGGCGCCTGCTGGCCTCACCAGTGCGATAAGCAGGGAGCGTTGAGTCTCTAGGGCAACTCTCAGTGTGGAGTCTACGAGTCCATGAATACGGCAATAGCCCAAGCCACTCCCCAGCCTGTAATGATGGCTCTGTGTGAAGCCCCAGGAGACCCAGCCTGCCTCCCCACCTGGCTGTCTTTCAGGGGAGGCAGCACAGCTGTCGATAGGCCTTTGGACTCAATTATTAGCAAGATTTTAATATCTCCTCCTTTACATTGTAATTTAAGCAGGTAGATGCTTTTAAATTGCCATCTGTGTGGTGAAATTCATGCTAAGAAAATGTGGGTCTGCTTTAATTAGCTGTGCTCTGGCTGATGGATTTCAGAATGCCGTTGCCCAGATTGGCAGGAAATTCAGACACTTAGATGCATGTACTGGTAGCTCCTATGTGGTTTCGTGTCTTCACGTGATCTAGATGATTACAGATGCATGTGCATACATATGTATTTATATATGTTTTGCTTTTCTTATCCAGCATGCCAGCTTCTTTCTCCCTCTTGATTCTAAATATTATTTTTGTCTTTTATTGTCTTTGGAGTTCTTCTTTCACATATGTTTCCCCAGTTCCCACAGAAGCTACCTCATGCATCAGCAGCCACTGAGTGCTGTGACAGAGAAGGGTGTTGGATTCCTGGTTATTTCTACAGAATCCTGGACCTCTGAGGAATTGTCTGGCTTGGCAGCATTTAGAAAAGTGAACAGTGCCATGGCGGCTGTGAGAACTCTTGAGCTAGGGTTTCGTGTGCTTCCCCATCTTAAATTCCAAAGGGCTTTGCTTTGGTGGCTTAATAGGCAGGAGGAGGAATTTCTCTGCTCAGGCATCCAAGTTTTCAGACAGCTTCCCGGCCAGTCTTCCTGAAACAGCCACTTCCTGACCCTCTCCATCTTCTTGCTCTGTGTTCTGGTGTCTGAATGCCTCTCTCCCCTGGCATATCACGTGTCTGTGCATTTGTTTGCCATCCCTGCCTGGGCATCTAAGCTCCAGAGAGCAGTGGCTTTGTATGGTTTCACCACAGCGTTGTCCCCTGCACCCAAACAGTGGATGTGGACAAAGCTCCTAGCACCTAATTGATGAGTGAATCCTTACAAGGCTTTAGCTGACCCAAGATGAATGCAAATCTTCCTTCCTAAGTTGACATTTTATTAAAGAAAACAGTGGATGGTGTGTGTCCTTTTAGGTTCCAGCCCCTCCCTCATTAACTTTTTGTGAAGCTTTCCTTTGTTCTGCTGTACCATGATTGCAGCGAGCCTCCTGACCTGGGAGTCCCACCCATATTCCTGGAGGGACCCCAGTTGGAATGCTTGCCGGAATCTCACTTTGTATGGGTTACACAACATCTGCAAGATAGACAAAGGGCTGCCACTTCACAGGATTGTTGAAGGAAATGAACAAGTGAAATATGAGACAGAACCTGTCCTGGAACCCGGGGCAGAGTGGACAGCCGGTGTGCTGGTGGGAAGTTCCTCCCGCCCCCTCCTTCCCTTGCCTCACAGGCTTCTCCTTCCACCTTTGTTTCCTCATGTGGTTTTCCCTATCTCTAAAACAGCTGCAAAGCCAGAGCAGCTATGAGTCTCTTGAGTTTGCAGAGAACTTTGTAATTCATATAATGCCTTGCACACTTGCTACTTAATGAGGTGCCCTGATGTGTGTTTTGCTTGGAAGGCCCAAAGATAGCCCTTTTAGGATCCTGTTTCACAGCCCAGAAGGTGCAGGCATGGAGGTGAGGTAGCCTTCCAGGTGGTCCAGCTGCGGGAGGAGCTGCCTGGCCTCCCATAGCCATGGCTTCCTTATCTTTAGAGCACGGTGGCAACAACCATGCAAGAACGTGGCCTTTTTGTGAGGATCAAGTGTGATAAGGACGCTGCTGGTGAACATCCTGCATGCTGCGCCTGCACTGTCTCCTTTCCATCATTATCGTGGAGCCCAAATTAAGTCCCCAGAAACAGAGACTCCTCGGAGGCCGTGTGCTTAAAGGCCCTGCCCTTGCACCCATTCTCTTCAGCATTGCAGTGCTCTTGAGGCCATGCATCCCTTTGTAAAACCCGCGTGGTCGAGCTTATGATTCATCCCACACCAGGACACCTGGTATCTATGGATACAAGTGCCAGCCCAGCTAGAAAATTTGCATTTTGAATTAGGGCCGAAAAGATCACCCTAAAACACAATTTTGATTTTAACGCTGTGTCACTCCAAGAAATCCAATAGCCCTTTGTAGGTAAGAAGAGAAAAAAAAGTCCAAATATCTTAATTCGGAGTTCAAAAGCCTTGTATCCTGACTCACCAAAGCCTTTCTTTCTGGCACACTCTCTAGCTTCTGCTTCTCATGGGGCTGATAGCACCCCTCTTAAGGGGAACTCCAGTGAATCTTCTTCCCCGGAAACCTGCCTGCTCCACTTCAGCTCCTGGGATCTAGTCCTCTTGCTCGCCCCAGCATTGGCACTCATTGCCTGCCTTGCTGGCCATTCTTGGCCTAAATACATCTTATCTGCATTCATTTCTTTGCTTCTGTGAGCTCTGGGCTCTGGGCTGAGCACTCAGATTATGAATCAGAGTCAGGCAGGGTGCCCATCCGGGATGCCCAGACACAGATGCTGGAGCTCCTGAGAAGCTGCCAGCAAGCAGACGCCTGTGCTCCCTGCTGCAGAGGAAGGAGGATAAACACCTCCTCACCTTCCATGCAGACACGACCTTCCACCCACTCCTTTGACTCTGGTCTGCTGCTGCTGAGCTCTGCCCTGCACAGTTCTCTCCCAGGATGACCGGCCTTCCCAGGGCTGTCAGCAGTGAAGGGCGGATTATCACGTTTGCTGGAGCACAGGGCTGCTGTGGGCATTAATTAAGTCACTGTTTGGAAGGAACTTGGAGACCGCCCACAAAAGGCGGTTCACAAGGACAAGGGCTGGTTATTAAGGCATTAAATCCCCAATTTGCCACTAGATAGAGGCAGTGGAACTCTCTCTGACTGCTCAGGAAAAAAAAAAAAAACAGGATTCCTGCATATCCCACTGCAGGAAAAAAAATGAAATAATAATGAGATGCACTTTACTTGCTCTCAAAGTTTTATTTCATTTAAAAGGTGCAAGGAGGCAATCTACTCTTGATCTGGTTCTTCCTTAGCAGTTAGTTGTTATTTACTAGGCAAATTGGCTGCATAGGAAAAGGCATGGGCATCCACATTTCTGGTCATATGAATGGAGTTCCAGCAAGATCAAATCCTGTGATGCATGGAGCAAACACTTCTTCACCATCCCTGTGCCTTAAAAAGTTTATGTGGGAAGGACTCCACCTATGACCTTAAACCAAACTGCCCGGGTGCGGACGCAGGCCTCCGTGCAGCAGCATGTGAATGCATGAATGGCACTGCAGAACCCACATGGGTGCTTTGTGTTAGCAGAATTCAGTCCCCCTTCTTGGAGCCCACCTGGGCCAGCAGGGCTCTCCCCTTTCTGGTGAGAATTGCCCCTCATTTCTGAGTACTTCAGCCCAGCGAGATGGAGTTGGTGGCAGCATGCCTCCAGCATGTCCCCGATCTGCAGAGCAGCACATGATCTGAAGCCTGGCTCTGCAGACACTCCCTGATCAACAGCCGAGGTTATAGCCAGAAGCGGAATTCTGAGCATGGCAACATGCATCTGAGCCCTTGTGCCCTCACGGTGACCATGAGCCTCCGGTTCCAGGCTCCAGTGGGCCACACGGGCAATGAGTTTGGGTTAATGTTTCAGGTTCTAGGCTTCAGGTCCTGGCTCACCAGGTGAGGCTGTGAAGAGGCAGAGCCCAGTGGCTGGATGGGCAGGTGTCAGAGGCCCCACAGACACCATTGCTGATGGGTGAGGATCTTGGCCTGGAGCTGAAGGGCACAAAGGGGGTTCCCATGCGTCATTCGAGGGAAGCCTGGCCCCTGAGTCCAGGGAAGAAGTGACCGCTGGGCCCGTGGGAAGTTGAGGCAGGAGTGAGTAGCTCAGGAGGCTTCAGTTGCTTCATTTGTGTTTCCTGAGTGTTCCTTGAGACATCGCATGAATATATCAACAACTTTGAGATATAATTCACATGCCATAAAATGCACCCATTGGAAGTGTACACTTCAGTGGGTTCTAGAATCGCGTGTTCTCCTGTATCTGTGGGATACATTCCAAGACCCCCCGTGGGCACCTGAAACCATGGATAGTGCCAAAACTCCATATACTATGTTTTTTCACATACACACATATTTGCGGTAAAGTTTAATTTACAACTCTGGCCCAGGAAGAGGTTAACAATAATAACTAATGACATGGAGCGATGATAAACAACAAGCCGGCCTCGGTGCTCTATCACCTGGGGCCACCCTGAAGTGCAATGAGGCACCCTGCATACAACACTGCGGTACCACAGCGGTGGCTCTCATGACTGAGATGGCTTCCAAGTGACTGACGGGTGGGTAGGGTGTGCGGTGTGGACGGACGCACTGGACAAAGGAATGATTCATGTCCCAGCCAGATGGAACTGGAGGGCGGGAGATTTCATCACGAGCACACAATGGAAAATTCATCATGGTTTATTTCTGGAATTTTCCGTTGAATATTTTTGGACCATTGTTGACCTTGGGTATCTGAAACCATGAAAAGGAAAACCACAAATAAGCGGGCCTATGATAGTCACAGATACAAACAAGTATCACCCAGTCAACTTTAGAACATTTTCATCACCTCAGAAAGAAACCCCATCACTCCCACATTCCCCGACTCTGGCCCCAAGTGGCCACTAATCTACCTTCTGCCTCTGCAACTTTCTCCATTCTGCACTTGTTATGTAAATGGAATCATTAGACGTGGCCGTGTGAGACTGACTTCTCTCACTTAGCATAATGTGTTAAACCTTCATTTATGTCGTAGCATCTATCAGTGCTTCATAACTTTTTATGGCAGATATATATTTCATTATCTATGAATTCATATATATCCCACATTAGTGAACTTTATTATATAAATCAGCCCCATTCTCTTTGTCCATTCATCAGTAGATGGAAATTTAAGGAGATTCCATTTTGGCTGTCACAAATAAAGTTACAGTAAACATATACAGTCTTTATATGAATGTGTGAACATGTTCTTAATGCTTCTTTAGGAATGGAATTTCTGGGTCACATAGTGACTCGACTCTGGTGAATCCGTTCAGGAGCTGCCTCACTGTTTTCTAAAGTGACTGCACCATTGACATTCTCACCAGCAACGTAGGCATGTTCTGATTCCCTTGGTGGTCTAGCACCTGGGGCCATCCTCAAGTGCAATGAGGGCTGTCTGCATACAGCAAGTGACAAGTGACCAGCACTTGTCAGCATCTCATGTTTGCTTCTGGACATCCCAGTGGGTATAGCATGGTCTCACTGTAGTTTTGATTTATACATCTCTGATGACTAATGATATTGACAGTCTTTTTGTGTGTTTAGGGTTTTTTGCAGATTTTCTTTGGAGAAATATCTGTTCAGATCCTTTGCCAGTTGTTAACTGGGTTGTCATTCTATTATTGATTTATAATAATTATTTATATATTCTGGATAGAAATCCCTTATCAATATATGATTTTTAAATACCTTCTCCCCTTCTGTAGATTGTTTTTTTCACTTTTGTGGTGGTGTATTTGCAACACAAAAGTCTGTTTTTTAAAATTTTGATAGCGTTCAATTTATCTACTTTTTAATTGCTCATGCTTTTGTTGTCATATTTAAGAATATGTTGCCAAATCTGAGAGTTGTATAGTTACAGTTTTTTTTTTTCTTTTTTTTCTTTTTTTTTCTTTTTCTGAGATGGAGTCTTGCTCTGTCACCCAGGCTGGAGTGCAGTGGCGCAATCTCGGCTCACTGCAACTCACTGCAACTCACTGCCTCCCGGGTTCAAGTGATTCTCCTGCCTCAGCCTAACATGGTAGTTCGGATTACAGGCACATGCCACCATGCCTGGCTAATTTTTTTGTATTTTTACTAGAGACAGGGTTTTGCCGTGTTGGCCAGGCTGGTCTCAAACTCCTGACCTCAAGTGATCCACCCGCCTTGGCATCCCAAAGTGCTGGGATGACAGGCATGAGCCACCATGCCCAGCCTACTTTTAGTTCTTATATGGATCCAAGTTTGGGTCTTGGATCCATTTTGAGTTTATTATTGTACACAGTGTGAGATAGGGACATGCTGGAGGCAGGCTGCCACCAACTCCATCTCACTGGGCTGAAGTACTCAGAAATGAGTACCCCTGTTTGCATGGGGATATCCGGTTGGTTAAAAAGATGATTCTCTCCCCTTTGACTAGCCCCGGCACCCCTGTGAAGAGTCTGTTGACAGTAGACGCGTGAGTTACTTCTTGGTATGGGTTCTGTTCCGCTGAGCTGCATCATGTCTGTCCATATGTGGCACCACTCTGTCTTGATTGCTGTTGCTTTGTAGTGAGTTTTGAAGTCGGGAAGTGTTTGCCCTCCTACTTTGTTCTGTATGATGTTAGCTGTGGGTGTGGCTTCTGAATCTTAAAGTTCACAAAGCCATTGCATAGAAGATCATGGATGTAATCCCTGGTCTTTAAATGACAGAACATCCCTAGAAGGGCGTCGGATCGATCACTGGGTAGTAGCAGCCATGGGGAGTGTATCCAGAAGATACCGAGACTTGATCCAATATAATGAATCTGTGGCTATGATGGACAGACAGCAGCAGAGTGGCACCTCCCATGTGCCTTTCTTCCTAGCACACTGCTGTCACTGGCAGCAGGCCCTGTCTACACCCAGACAACACCTAACTGTCCCTGCATTTCACAGCTTGTTCATAGCCAAGCAGAACTTAACAACATACAGTCAGCCTTCAGACTTGCAGCTTCAGACATCTAGGTCTAGGGGGAAAACATTTGGCTTCCCATTCTTCCAAATGTTTTCCCCCAGACCTGAAGGGTCATTTAGGGACAAGTTGTTTCTTAATCCCCTGCTGCCTGTACGTCTCACCTTCCTCACTCTCTACACAGAAAAGCAGCTAAGCAGGAGGAGAAGCAGGAGAATCTACTCTGAAGTTCTGCCAGATGGGCACTGCCTTGGTGTACTCTCCATTTTACCCCATAGATGCCCAAAATGTAAAGGCAGAGCCTTTGCACAGCTTTAGAATAATCTTTAAAATGCAATGGGAGGCTGGTTTCAAATATGCAAATCAATCAATGTGATGCATCCCATTAACAGAATGAAAGATTTTAAAACCCCATGATCATCTCAACTGACACAGAAAAAGCTTTTCACAAAGTTCAACACCCTTTCATGAAAAAAAAAAAAAAAAAAAACTCTTAACAGTTTAGGTATAGAAGAAAAGTTTCTCAGCATTATGAAGGCTATCATGTAAAACCTGCAGCTAATATAATTAACAGGGAGCAACTGAAACTTTGCCACTAAGATCCAGTAGAAAGCAGAGATGCCCTCTCTCGCCACTTCTATTCAGCATGGGATTAGAAGTACTAACAAGAGCAGTCAGACAAGAAATGAAATAAGATAAACAAAAGGGATCCACTTCAGAAGGAAGAAGTAGCATTTCTCTATTTGCAGATGACATGATCCAATATGTAGAAAACCCCAAAGATTACACACAAAAGCACTGTTAGAATTATGAATGAATTCGGCAAAGTTGCAGAATACAAAATCAGCATACAAAAATCAGTAGCATTTGTATAGAAAAATAATAACCTAGCTGGAAAATAAATCAGTAAAACAATCCCATTTATGATAGCATCAAAAAAGATATTTTGGAACAAATTTAACAAAGGAGGTAAATGATATGTACACCAAAAACTATAAAACATTAAGGAAAGAAATGGAAAAAGGCACAAATAAATGAAAAGATATTTCATGTTCATTAGGAAGAATTAGTATTGTTAAAATGTCCATACTACCCAAAGTAATATACAGATTTAACACAATCCCTATTAAAATCTTCAATAGCAACAATAGCAATTTTCACAGAAATTGGGAAAATATCCTAAAATGTTTGTAGAACCACAAAAAACTCCAAGAAGCCAGGAAAAAAAGAAAAAAAAAACCACTGAGAAGGAAAAACAAAGTTGGAGGAATCATACTTCTTGATTTAAAATTATATTACAAAGCTATAGATATTAAAGCAGTATGATACTGGCATAAAAACAGAACCATAGACCCGTGGAACAGAACAAAGAGCCCCCAAATAAATTGAAACAAATATGCGCAACTAATTTTTGACAAGGTCACCAAGAGGACACAATGGGGAAAGGACAGTCCCTTCAATAAACCGTGCTGGGAAAACTGAATTTTCACATGGAAGATAATAAAATTGGATCCTTGTCTTATACATTAAAAAAAATAATAATAACTCAAAATGGATGCAAGCCCTAAATGTAAAACCTGAAACCATAAAACTCCAAGAAGAAAATGTTGGGAAAAATCTCCTTGACCTTGGTCACAGCAACACTTTTTAAAATGTTACCCAAAAGCTTAAATGACAAAACAAAAATAAATAAATGGACTACACAAAACCATAAAGCTTCTGCACAGCCAAAGAAACAATATCACAATGAAAAAGCAGCCTATAGAGTGGAAAAAAAAAGTTTGCAAATCACATCTGATAAGGGGTTAATATCCAAAATGTATAAATAACTCTTACAAATCAACAGTAAAAATAAGGCAAATAATCCTCAAATGAGCGAAGGCCGTAAACAGACATTTTTCAAAACAACAAATAAAAATGTCCAACAGGCAAATGAGAAGGTGTTCAGCATCACTCCTCAAATGGGAAACGCAAAATAAAGCCATCATTGTAACCTCCTGGCCTGTTCTTCCTGCCCACTGCACAAATGAAGACCAGGGCATTGCAGTAAACCAAGAGTTTAATTAATGCGAGGCTGGCCACGCCCGTGGCAGATGGAGTTATTAACTCAAATCAACCTCATGGAAGGCTTGTAGGTTAAGGGATTTTCAAGGACAGTTTGAGGAAAGTGTGGGGCGCCTAGGCAGGCTGCTTGCTGCCAACTGACTAGGATACAATCACAGGGTGTGGGAAAGGTCCCCCTGTGCACTGAGTGGTTTCTGAGTGGGGCCACAGGAGTGACAGAGTCATCTATTGGGGGGTCCACATGGAGCCATGGGTGTCAGACATGCAAAAAACCTGAGAAGATGCCTCAAAAAGCCAATCGTAGGTTCTACTATAGAGATGCTCTCTGCAGGACCTCCGGAATAATGGCTGACCATCATGAATGTCCACACCTTAGCAGAATTCAGGCTCCTCTCCTCCCCCTCACCAGGTGGTCTCTCATTAGCTTTACAAAGGCAGTTGGGTTTGGGGGAAGGCCTATTAATTATCATTTAAACTATCAACTAAATGTCTCCCAAAGCTAGTTTGGCAGCTTGAGGGTAAAGGCAAAATGGCATTGGCTGGATCAGATCTTCCACTCCCAGAATTTTCTCACTGTTACCATTTATCAAAGGTGGTTTCATCATAAGTTACCACCTCACACATGGAAGGACAGCTGTGTGAATGGAAAAAAACAAGTTGGGACCACAATTCCCTAGGCCAAAAGAAAAAAAAATAAGCTGAAATCTGAGTCATGCAAGAAGTTACCTTTCCCTTTGTTCCGAAGCAGATAGCTACAGATAAAAGGTTAAATATCTCCACAGGTAGCAACTCCTCATTCACCTTATCTTATGTAAAGTGCCAGTTTTCCCTGTTAAATATTGAAGCTCTCAAATTCATCTTTGGAGAAAGGCACAGACAGTTTCTGTAATTCTGTTTTGTTTTTTTCCTTAACCTTGGCAAAATAACCTTCTAAATTGATTGATACCCATCTCAGATACTTTTTGGTTTACAGCTATTATCCAAAAATCAAGAGATAGCAAGGGTTGGTGAGGTTGTGGACAAAAGGGAAGCCTTGCACACTGTAGATGGGAATGTGGCTTGGTACAGCCATTATGAAAAACAGTACATTAAAAATAGAACTACCATGTGACCCACCAATCCTCCTGAGGAAATTCCAAAGGAGACAAAATCAATGCCTCGTAAGGATGCCTGCAACTCCCATGTTCATTGCAGCATGATTGACAATAGCCAAGATACAGAAGCAACCTAATGGACAAATGGATGGCAAAAATGTGGGGGATATATATATATATATATATCTTCAATGAAATATTATTCAGCCTTAAGAAGAATGCAATCCTGCTATTTGCCACAATATAGATATACCCAGAAAATATTATACTACGTAATATAAGTCAGATGCAGAAAGAAAAATATTGTATTATCTCACTTAAATGTGGAACTTTTTTTTTTTTCCTAAAGAGCTCAGCCTGGGTGCGGTGGCTCAGGCCTGTAATCCCAGCACTTTGGGAGGCTGAAGGGGGTGGATCATTTGAGCTCAGGACTTGGAGACCGGTCTGGCCAACATGGTGAAACCCCGTCTCTACTAAAAATACAAAAATTAGCCGGGCATGGTGATGTGCATTTGTAGTCTCAGCTACTCTGGAGGCTGAGGTGGGAGGATCACTTGAACCCAGGAGGCAGAGGTTGCAGTGAGCCGAGATCACGCCACTGCACTCCAGCCTGATTGACAGAGTGAGACCCTGTCTCAAAAAAGTAAAAATTAAAAATAAAAGCTCAAATACACGTAGGTGAGAGTGAAACAGTGGTTATGGGTGGGGGGTGATGGGGAGATATAAGTCAAATGATACAAAATAGCAGATATGTGGGATGATCAAGTCTAGAGATCTAATGCCCAATATGAAAACTAAAGTTAATAAAATTATACTGTGTTGGAGGCTTTGCTAACTAAGTAGATTTTAGCTGCTCTTGTCACAAAAAAGTAACTGAGATGATAAACAAGTTAATTTGTTTCACTATAGTAAGCATTCTACGATGTATGTGTATCCCATATCAACATGTTGTAAACATCAAACATACATGATAACATTTTTTTTAATGAAATGGAGAAACTAGGCTATAAGCAGACTGTTAGAGTACCACATAATGATGTGTTTGTGTCTGAAGTAAGAAAGGGTGCAAAAGAAAGAAGCCATGAGTGAAAGAACACGTGCAGGAAACAACGCATGGAGGAAAGAACTCATGCAGGAAAGAAGGCATGCAGGAAAGAACACATGCAGGAAAGAATGCATGCAGGAAAGAACACCTGCAGGAAAGAACGCATGCAGGAAAGAATGCATGCAGGAAAGAACGCATGCAGGAAAGAACACCTGCAGGAAAGAACGCATTCAGGAAAGAACACATGCAGGAAAGAACGCATGCAGGAAAGAAGGCACGCAGGAAAGAACGCATGAGGAAAGAACGCATGCAGGAAAGAAAGCAGGCAGGAAAGAAAGCAGGCAGGAAAGAAGGCATGCAGGAAAGAACGCATGCAGGAAAGGCACACAGGAAAGAACGCACACAGGAAAGAAGGCACGCAGGAAAGAACGCCTGCAGGAAAGAAGGCACACAGGAAAGAACGCATGCAGGAAAGAACGCCTGCAGGAGAGAAGGCACGCAGGAAAGAACGCATGCAGGAAAGAACATATTCAGGAAAGAACGCCTGCAGGAAAAAACACATGCAGGAAAGAACATATGCAGGAAATAATGCCTGCAGGAAAGAATGCATGCAGGAAAGAAGGCAAGCAGGAAAGAACATATTCAGGAAAGAATGCCTGCAGGAAAGAACACATGCAGGAAAGAATGCCTGCAGGAAAGAACGCATTCAGGAAAGAACACATGCAGGAAAGAACGCATGCAGGAAAGAAGGCACACAGGAAAGAACGCATGAGGAAAGAACGCACGCAGGAAAGAAAGCAGGCAGGAAAGAAGGCATGCAGGAAAGAACGCATGCAGGAAAGGCACACAGGAAAGAACGCACGCAGGAAAGAAGGCACGCAGGAAAGAACGCCTGCAGGAAAGAAGGCACACAGGAAAGAACGTATGCAGGAAAGAACGCCTGCAGGAGAGAAGGCACGCAGGAAAGAACATATTCAGGAAAGAATGCCTGCAGGAAAAAACACATGCAGGAAAGAACATATGCAGGAAATAATGCCTGCAGGAAAGAATGCATGCAGGAAAGAAGGCAAGCAGGAAAGAACATATTCAGGAAAGAACGCCTGCAGGAAAGAACGCATGCAGGAAAGAATGTATTCAGGAAAGAACGCCTGCAGGAAAGAAGGCACGCAGGAAAGAAGGCATGCAGGAAAGAACGCCTGCAGGAAAGAAGGCATGCAGGAAAGAACGCATGCAGGAAAGAACGCATGCAGGAAAGAATGCCTGCAGGAAAGAACGCATGCAGGAAAGAACACATGCAGGAAAGAACTCCTACAGGAAAGAACGCATGCAGGAAAGAGCGCATGCAGGAAAGAACACATGCAGGAAAGAATGCCTGCAGGAAAGAACACATGCAGGAAAGAATGCCTGCAGGAAAGAACGTATTCAGGAAAGAACGCCTGCAGGAAAGAAGGCACGCAGGAAAGAAGGCACGCAGGAAAGGCACACAGGAAAGAATGCACGCAGGAAAGAAGGCACGCAGGAAAGAAGGCACGCAGGAAAGAATGCCTGCAGGAAAGAAGGCACACAGGAAAGAATGCCTGCAGGAAAGAACGCATGCAGGAAAGAACGCCTGCAGAAGAGAAGGCACGCAGGAAAGAACGCATGCAGGAAAGAACGTATGCAGGAAATAATGCCTGCAGGAAAGAATGCCTGCAGGAAAGAAGGCAAGCAGGAAAGAACATATTCAGGAAAGAACGCCTGCAGGAAAGAACGCATGCAGGAAAGAACGCATGCAGGAAAGAACGCATGCAGGAAAGAACGCCTGCAGGAAAGAAGGCACACAGGAAAGAAGGCACGCAGGAAAGAACGTATGCAGGAAAGAACGCCTGCAGGAAAGAACGCATGCAGGAAAGAACGCATGCAGGAAAGAACGCCTGCAGGAAAGAACGCCTGCAGGAAAGAACGCCTGCAGGAAAGAACGCCTGCAGGAAAGAACACATTCAGGAAAGAACGCCTGCAGGAAAGGAGGCACGCAGGAAAGAAGGCACACAGGAAAGAACGTATGCAGGAAAGAAGGCACACAGGAAGGAAGGCACGCAGGAAAGAAGGCACGCAGGAAAGAACATATGCAGGAAAGAACGCCTGCAGGAAAGTATGCAGGAAAGAATGCATGCAGGAAAGAAGGCATGCAGGAAAGAAGGCATGCAGGAAAGAACGCTTGCAGGAAAGAATGCCTGCAGGAAAGAACGCATGCAGGAAAGAACTCATGCAGGAAAGAAGGCATGCACGAAAGGCATGAATCAATGTATTAGGCTTCATGATGGAAAAGGAAGCATGGTGCACTGAGGGAGTGGAGTGAGGGTGCCTGAAGCAGCCGGGCCTGGGGCCATGAGAACAGGTGCTGCTCCCAGAGGCTGAGGGGAGACTTAGTCAGGGAAAGTGGGGGTCCACACAGGAAGGCGTGCAGACATGGAGGAGGCTCGGCAGCCCTAAGCACCCATGGGCCCCACACCAGGGTGCTGTCTTACCTCAAAGGTGATGGGGTGGCACTGAAGACTCAGGTACAGGAAGGGGACATCTCACAAAGACATAGAGAAGGGGCAGGAGGTGCCAAGGCACCCACCCCAGGAGAGAAGCCCCTGTGGCTGCCGGAGGAAGCAGCAGCAGGCCCACAGGCCATGGTCCATCAGTGGGAATCAAGCCACACAGCAGGAGGGAGAGAAGAGCTCTGTTGAGAGGCACTGGGAGGCTGAGAGGAGCTACCCAGAGGCCAGGACCATGGGCCAGGGTGACGGTGGGCAAACCTGGACTGGGGGCCTGGGTTGTTACTATTCACTGTCACAGGGAACTTGGAGGAGAAGGCTGAGGGGTGTTTAATAAGTGACCCTCCTACCTGCTGACTTTTTCAACAATTTATGTGAAACGTCACGTGGAAAAGCCCAAAAAGCCTTTGGCAGGAAGTGTGAGGCTGTGTTGAGAGACACACACCAGAAGCACAGATGCCCCCCATGCAGAGCAGGCCATGGGAATCGAGCAAGTCTAAGTGGGAAATGGGAACGGGACTCAGGAAGAACAGGTGCATATTTTGGAGCAGTTGTAAGCTTACCGTGGGGTTGACGTGGAGGCATAGATTGGTTCTCAGCAATTCCCAAGGTATATTAGTCCATTCTCATGCTGCTACAAGGACACACTGGAGACTAATTTATAAAGAAAAGAGGTTTAATCAACTCACGCTTTAACATAGCTGGGGAGGGCTCAGGAAACTTACAATCCTGGCAGAAGGTAAAGAAGGAGCAAGGCACCTTCTTCACAAGGTGGCAGGAAGGAGAAGTGCAAGCAAGGGAAATGCCAGACACTCATAAAACCATCAGATCTCTTGAAACTCACTCTCTATCATGAGAACAGCATGGGGGAAACTGCCCCGCCCCCGTGATCCAGTTACCTCCACTTGGTGCCACCCTTGACATGTGGGGACTATGGGGATTACAATTCAAGATTACAATTCAAGGTGAGATTTGGGTGGGGACACATATCACAAGGCTAAAGTATCATGTTGAATATTTACCCTGAAAAACATTGACCCTACCCTGTGAGTAAGGACAAATGATTACACCCTTTTGCAGTTAGTATAATGCTTGGTCCACCGAAGGCCTTCAGTCACTTCATACATTCCATCCTCATTGTCTCTTAGGCAACCTGGAGCACAACAGTGGCCTGACACTTACCAGTGGCATCCAATGACAGACCAACTGAAGCATGTGGCATACATGGAAAGCAGTTTTGAAATTGAATTCTACATGAAACTGAGAGATACCCAACTGTACTTTACAACTGGTATCATAGATAATGTTTTCAGTATCTTATTACCATAAGTGGTGATGAGGTATTGGGCTAGAAGAGGTCAAGGCAGGCTGCTGTTCGGCAGCAGCAGAGAGCCAACCGCACAATCACACACCAAGTCTCATGGTCGAGAGACCATGGAGAAAATATACCCCAGCTAAGTTACACCGGTGTTTCTCCAACTGTGGCCACAATTCATTTGTGAGTTGTGATACCAGTCTGAGGAGGCAGTACTAATGTCAATAAAAAGAAGTAGAATGGAAAGCATTTGAGGATGTCATACATATTAAGAAGGTGTTGTTCTGTGAAATGTTTGATTTTATCACGGTTTCAAATCTCTATAATATACATAGGATGTGCACACGGGATCAAGATGTAAAATCTATTTCTCACCGTGGAGCAGGGTTAAAACCTGACAGCCACCATCCTATTTCCATGTAGAAAGAAGGTGACCCCCCCACCTCTGAGCAAGAGGATCTGGAGGTAACAAGACCCATTCGAGGAATGAAAAAGTAAACCAAGAATCCCCGGGGTACCAGGTTGGAACGAGGCCTTTTCTTCAGCTGAACCCTGAGGTGCTAAGAGGTCATGCCCAACAAAGGGAACCCAGGAGGTCCTGACGTTGTTCCCTATTTTACTTTTGCCTGAATTACTTCAGGACACCCTGTGCTTCCTTTCCCAACTTACTCATCAACTGTGCAAAAATGGCCAAATTGTGTACCCTTTCCAGCTTCTGTCCAACATCTGCAGAATGAGGCTAGTAACACCCACTTTATACAGTTGTGAGGAACAGGGACAATGTGGCACCAGCCCTGTGCAGAGACGCTCTCACTCACTTCTTTCTTCCTTTATTTCTTCACTCTATTATTGATCAAATGTTTACATATAATGTACCTTGTGTGAGATATTAACCACACAGTGGTGCGACATGATCTCTATCCTTTTGTAAAGACAAAAATTGACCAAAATAAATGCAAATGTGTGACTGTGACAAAACCTAATTTTGAAAATTAAAATTGGAGTACTGAAAATTTAAAGTGCAATTGAGGAAGTCAAAGGTAAATTTTAGAAAACCTTCCAGAACATGGAGAAGAAAGAGATAAAAAAAAAAAGCAAAAAAAAAAAAAAAGCTAAAACCAATGGAAGATAAATTTAGACAATCCAAATCCATTTAGTAGTAGAAATTCAAAAAAACTAATAGTGATAAAGGAAATAAAGAGGGGGAAATTAATAAAGAAAGAAGAAAGTTCTCGGAGATGAACAGTTTTCAGGTTGTATGGGGGCACGAATGTCAAGCATTAAGAATGAAAAAAGGTTGACAAACCTAAACACATCAAACTCATCAAACTCCAGAAAACCAACAGGAAGAGAAGACCCTAGACCTGTTCAGAGAGAAAACCCGTGCTTCTGAGCTTCTGAGCTTCCCAGGGGAACCAGGATTAGACTGCAGACTGGCCTGGCAATGGAGTGGAACCGTTCATAAACCTGAACACCACGCATGCATAGCATAGAATAAAATAGCCTCAGGGCCTTTGCAATCTTGGGTGAGATCATTATCCCCTTAGTGAAATAAATATTTCTGACATGCAGGGCCTTAGAACCCTTACGTGGAGGTCCCCATTCTGAAAAAAAATGCCTGGGGCTCTGTGTCCACAAACTGGAGAAGAAATCCAAAAGAGAATGGTGTGGGACACTCAAACCATGGGATTCATAAGAAACCCAAAATAAACAACCCCCTGTCCTCAGGTCATGTGGAGTCGGCTGTATTGGGAGGGCAGAGGAGCGGGGCAGGCATAGCCCCTACACACCACACCCACCCTGTGGTCCCTCTGAGACAGGACCTGCCCAGCCCAGGGAGAAGTGCCCGTCACTCAGGCCAACTCTTCTTGTCAAGCTCTGGAGATGGCCACTTGTGAATGCTTGGTTTTCAAAAGCAAATAAACAGAAACAAATTAGGTCTGAGACCTTGCTTGCCTAAAATAGATTTCCCAGAGGAAATTTCTGCCTCTGACTTTAAATATTTTTTTTAAATGAACTAGGAGCCACAAAAGGGGGATTTTGGTAGGTTCTTGACCCCCCTGCCCTGGGACAGGAGTCTGTGCACCAGGTTGTGGCCGCAGAGGCTCGGAGGACGGACTCGAACCCCTGCCCTGGGACAGGACTCTGTGCACCAGGTTGTGGCCACAGAGGCTCAGGGGACTGCCTGGCTGCCCTGCTCCTGCCCAGGGAGGGGAGCTGTAGGTTTTGTGCAGTACTTTGTTCTGGAGTCATGCACAGCCACCTTCTGATTAGAATAACGTGGACGGATTTCAGGCAAGGAACTTCTCCATCACATCATTATTCTTTGTTCTGTTGGCTCTTTAAGGAGCATTGTCTAGCATAAGGTTATTGTTCATAAAATCCCACCAATGAGCATGCTTTATATGACAACTTTAATAAGAACCTCACACGCATTTGAATTTATACTATGAATATGAATTGTAGCATACTTTGCTTGTCATTCATTAATAACTGTTTAATTTTTAGATATGAGCTAGTCATATGTATGTTTCTGGGTATTATTACTAATATTCCATTGATATTAGCTGATTGCAAAATGCTTTTTAAAGTAACTATAGCTTTATAAAATAATTTACTAAAAAAGACAAACACCCCACATATGTCACAGCATGAAAACTGAGCATGTTGCCAATGTATTAACTCGTTTTCATTTTTTTTATTTTAATAGATTATGTTGAGTTTTCCATTTATTGACCTTTGGGGTGGTAAATTTAAAGATGGCCATGGAATTTCTTTTTTATGCAAAAATACATTTTTATATTTTTAAATTTTCTGTTCTTTCATATTTTCCATTTGTCTTTACACCCAAAATAAATTATTTTTCTACATATTTAAGATTTCAACTGTGTCAATTCCAGCTTCTGTCTATTCTTTCTCTCCACCTTGCCTTGAGTTGATGTAGCGATATCTTACCCATCTGTTTTATACTGCATTACCCGTGTCTAGCAGAGTGCCAGAGACTCAGCCCTCAGTCAAGGGTGGGCAAATTAACTGGTCACATTCATATGTAGGGAGCCAGAATTTTCTGTATGTGACCTTTGCTGCTTGTCTAGATCATCACATTTAGAAATTAGAAACTGAAAATGTATATTAATAAATTGGTATCCAGTGATATTAATATCACTGCCTACTATCATTTATTGAGCACTTAATGATAAGCCAGACATTTTTGATATATTATTTAATTCAGACATTGAAAGTCTAGGAAATTAATGCTTATGAAACAACATGCTCAAATCATGAAGTAGTAAGTGGTGGTGCTGTTATAACCCATTCTGTCTAATCGCACATTGTTTACGCGTTGAAGATTTTGCTTGTTGCTTGGGTCACATGTAGAGCATGTCTGATCATTTAGAATCTGTCTTCACAGGGCAGTGCGAACATTTTCTTTCTCTTTTTCTTTCTTTTCTTTTTTTTTCCCCCAGTGAATCCATGTTAACCACTAGGAGCAGGCACATAAGATCCAAAGGCGGGTAGGAATTGTGTGGGCTCTGGGGTCTCGCATAACAGAGGATTCTGTAAGATAGTTCAGAGTTCATGGTAATGTTTAGGGGAGTTATCGTATCCAAAGGAGGGGTAAGAGAAGTTCTTTTGTTTTAAACTACAATGTAGTAGAGAAAAAAGATCAATCTGGTCTAATTCCTTTCTCCTTCAAGGGACTAATCAGGATTTTTAACCTTCTGAGGTTCATATCTACCATTATGTTCTTGACAAGACATACATGCTCCATCCCTTATTAACTGTGTGTATGGACGAAATTGTTCTCTGGGGAAAATTAAGTACACAAGGAAAGGGTTTAGGGCTCAGTCCCTAATGGTCAGCAGAAGTGGACAAGGTGGGTTAGTTTCCAGGTCGAAGGAAAAGATTTGCGAATTCTGGGGAAAATGTCCCTATTATGACTCCCTGTATTTCTTATTTAACTCTACGCTCTGGTTTCCTGTTGCTCTAATGAGGAATTGCATAGAAAGTGCAGCGGCACTTCCATGATGGTTATCTGCATCAAGCTGCATCATCGCAGGGCTCCGGGCTCTCTGCTCACTTGACCTGTTGAGGTTCAAAACAGCCCAGAGAGGTTTAGTCCTGTCAACCCTGGAGAGCAAGAAGCACTGAATCCTTTGGAATGGAAATCATAAGGGGACAATTATCCAATGCCACCACCCAAGGCTCCCCGAGGACCTAGTGGCGAGACTCAAATTCCCTGACCCGTGTCTCAGCGTTGTGGGTCCTTCCTGAGCATGTGTAGGGACAGGCCTTAATTCATGGTGGGAAGAACTATACTGGATCTCAACACAGATAATTCAGTTTCAATTATTATCTCCTGACTAACTGGGGAGTTCTGAGCACTCTCTGATACTCTCTGAGTATCAGTATCTTTATTCATAAAATTCACATAAAGTTCAATTGATGGCCAAATGACATAATGGGTAAGAAAGTGTTTTGTAAGGTTTTTAGTTCTATGAATTTTAAGGAGACTAGGCTGGTCCTCTCACCCCAGAAGTCCCTGGAGACATCACAGAATAAATAAGGGTGACAGCACGAATCCTGGTGTGGAGCTCCTCCATGATGCTGCCACACGGGCTGAGTCTACCCCGAGTCTGGGAAGGAGGGAGGATAAGGCTGTGTGCAGGGCTTCTGGTCCACAGGAACTGGGAGCTCATGGAACCATATCAGGCAGAGCACAGAGCTGACGTAGCTGGCAGAGAACAAGCTGTCCCAGCTGGGGCTTGCTCCCAACAGGAGCCTGGGCAAGGGTCAGAGTCCGAACAGCAGGCGTCAAGCCTAGGAGAATAAACTCTAAAGGGGAATGCGTTGCTCATGGACATGAAAGAGAACATTTGGTTCCTGGAGGAAGCTGCTGTGTGCATGTTGACGGTTGCAAAGAGGACGCCCTGTGTATGTCTCTCCCTAAGGTGGCGATGAATTCATGAGGTGCTGTATATTGCTTTTTATATTTTACAGATGGAGAAATCAAGGCATAGAGAGATTAAGTGACTTTGCCACAGTCACAAGCTGGAGAGGACCAGGAGTAGAGCTTAGAGCGAGCCCCTGACTCTGGGCCTGCGTCCTGCCAGGAGTCACGCTGCCTCCGTTCCTAGGAGAGAAGACTTCCTGTAAGGTAAAGGCGGCCCGTCTACACTCGGTTCTGTGCAGCCCACACTGAAGCAGGGTGGCCCTCACTAGGTAAAGGCGGCCCGTCTACACTCGGTTCTGTACAGCCCACACTGAGGCAGGGCGGCCCTCACTCACTAGGTAAAGGCAGCCCGTCTACACTCGGTTCTGTACAGCCCACACTGAAGCAGGGCGGCCCTCACTAGGTAAAGGCGGCCCGTCTACACTCGGTTCTGTGCAGCCCACACTGAGGCAGGGCAGCCCTCACTCACTAGGTAAAGGCAGCCCGTCTACACTCGGTTCCATGCAGTCCACACTGAAGCAGGGCGGCCCTCACTCACTAGGTAAAGGCGGCCCGTCTACACTCGGTTCTGTGCAGCCCACACTGAGGCAGGGCGGCCCTCGCTCACTAGGTAAAGGCGGCCCGTCTACACTCGGTTCTGTGCAGCCCACACTGAGGTAGGGTGGCCCTCACTCACTAGGTAAAGGCGGCCCATCTACACTCGGTTCTGTGCAGCCCACACTGAAGCAGGGTGGCCCTCACTAGGTAAAGGCGGCCCGTCTACACTCGGTTCTGTACAGCCCACACTGAGGCAGGGCGGCCCTCACTCACTAGGTAAAGGCAGCCCGTCTACACTCGGTTCTGTGCAGCCCACACTGAGGCAGGGCGGCCCTCACTCACTAGGTAAAGGCGGCCCGTCTACACTCGGCTCTGTGCAGCCCACACTGAGGCAGGGCAGCCCTCACTCACTAGGTAAAGGCGGCCCATCTATACTCGGTTCTGTGCAGTCCACACTGAGGCAAGACGGCCCTCACTCACTAGGTAAAGGTGGCCCGTCTACACTCGGTTCTGTACAGCCCACACTGAGGCAAGACGGCCCTCACTCAGTAGGTAAAGGTGGCCTGTCTACACTCGGTTCTGTACAGTCCACACTGAGGCAGGGCGGCCCCCACTGTAGACGGTTAGGTTGTGTGCTCTCTGCGTGTGAGAAAAGAACTAAATAAACAGCAGCACTCACATCTCCTAGCCCGGTTTCCTAGCCTCTTCCAGACCACATTGTCCACAAACCACTTCCTTATGTGGTCAAAACAATCAGCCTGCACACCGCTTCCTCCACCTCAGCCTCTCCGGCCCTTCCCTCTTCCACTTTCCATCCTGGGAAGATGCCTCAGCTTTTTCTTGTAAACCATTCCTTCAGATTTCCCCCTCTCCTCTTCCATATCAGTCACTTCTTCCTTTCTGATGGCTGGATTGACCCCATCTTGGATTCTAAGAAACAGAGGGCAGCTTCCTTCCTCTCTCTTGTAGCTCTTCACTTGCCTCTGTCCCCTGGGGCAGTCCTAGGCAGAGCCGCTGCCCACCTCGTCACCTGCAGCAGCCCTGAGAATCCCACTACACGCTGGCCTCCTCCTGGGACTCCCCTTGATAAAGGAGCACCAAGCCCAGGCAGTGTTGTCTGGGACGGGGATTTCGGCATCAGCTGGTCCCACGCCCATCACCCGGGAACAAAGGGTCTGTGCTTCGAACCCACACGGGAGGGCCTCTCTCATGCTCAACCACTACCCGGCAGCAGTGGTCAGCGAGAGACCACCCACTCACTTCCTTCAGTCCTCCCCCTACAGCGGCTGTGCTGACAACATAATGTTCCTTCCTTTTCCCTTCCACCCCTTCTAGAACTTTCTCCTCTCTTCTGCAAGAGGCAGGTGTTTTTTTAGGGTTTTCTCTTATTATTTAGAATGCTCTTGTTGATGCTTTTTTTCTTTCCTGCTCCTTGAAGGGAGGGCAGTGTGATATTAGCGGTGCATTTCTCTCATGGTGAAGGGCACTCCCAGCAGGAGAGCGCAGTGAGGACGACAGTCTAGTGAACTCACAGCTACCGCACTGGGCACATAGCAGCGTCCCCTCACACGTGTGGAGCCCTGTGCATTTTCCGGGTTCTTCCACACATGCTAGAGTGTTCACATCCACCCCGTCACATAAACACACAGGAAAGACATTCCTGTGGAATAGTTCGTGCAGATGATAAAATAGATGCCTGAAAGCTAAAACGACACAGTAAGTAGGAAAAAAAAAAAACTATTCCAAGCCCATACCCTGTCTCTAAACTTCATGTTTCCCATTTAATAACTTTCAGAACATTTTCATTTCTATGACTTTTCTGTGGAATAACGTATTTCCTCCCCAGTGAATACTTAACATATGTCACAGATTCCACATTCTATCACTTGTAGACACAGGTTTCTCTAAGTTTTCTGTCTGTTCTTTATTCTTTTAGTATTTTCCTCCCCCTAAAAAATAAGTAGAATAATTTAAAAAAATTAAAAAGAATATGCAAACTAGAAAAATCATTAAGATAATTTCAAATACCTGTATAAATGGGAAGTTCCAGTAATATTTTTCTATGGCAAAACATATTTGAATTTTTAATTTTAAATTTTTTTTACCACATTACTAAAATCTGAATTAGGGAGAAGTAAAGATAGAAAATGCTGAATATAAACCAGATGTAGTCTCAGAACAGCCCTATAGATCAGCAATACAGAACACTGTCTATTACTTGTTAAAATCAGCTCTTCAGTCACATTTGTGTTTTTTGTAGCTATCAAAGAGAGCTTTTTTCACTAGCACCGTAGCCACACATCTGCTGGGACAGGCATTCATCAGGGAGGGAGCCGACACCTCTGAGCATCACCAGGAGACAGCACGGCCCAGGGGTGGAGTCAGTGGAGTCAGATGCCCCCAGGAGGACTCGCTGGGAGGAGGGGGCAGGGCGTGAACCAGGGCTGAGCCCCCCAGGAGGACTCGCTGGGAGGAGGGAGCAGGGCCTGAACCAGGGCTGAGCCCCCCAGGAGGACTCGCTGGGAGGAGGGAGCAGGGCGTGAACCAGGGCTGAGCCCCCCAGGAGGACTCGCTGGGAGGAGGGAGCAGGGCCTGAACCAGGGCTGAGCCTGGTGAGGGCACCGGAAGGAACAGGCCCGTCAGGGGCTCGGCCACTCACCCCAAAATGCAAGGCTTAGTGAGAAAGTCACATGCAGGCCACGGAGACTGGGATTCTTTTCAAATGACTGAATGACCGAAAACGTTTATGTATACATGGGAAAAAATACCATGAGCAAAATAGAAAAACAACAAAACAATATCAACAATAAGCTGTAAGAAAATACTGGTGACAGATAAGGTGGGCAAAGGGGTTAGCACCGCAGTGTACAGACAGCTATTATGAATCAATGTGAAAAATGTGAAAAGAAAGAAGAAAAACAGGCAAAGGATATGAATCACAATTTCACAGACGAGGAGCTGTGGACGGTGAGGGTGTGAGAGAACGCTTACCCTCCCTGGGGGCCAGGAAATGACGAGACACGTGGCTTTACTCAACCAAAGCCAAGGACGGAATAAAATTAAAGGTGACCAGCGCTTCCAGAAACCAGCATGATCACATGTTACTAAAAAGGGCGTGGAATGTTTTCTTTTTTAATGGTAAAGTGACGATATCTTTTTAGAAAACTCTATTCTGGAAATACATGCAAAATACATGTAATCATTTTTGTAAATTATTTTTGTAGTGAAATAAAACAACATAAGCCTTGTTAGTAAAGGAACTTGGAGGGCTGGCTGGATAAATTATAGTAGGTATATTCTGAGGAATACTATGCAGCCATTCAAAAAGATGAGTTCAATGGATAGACATTAGCCTAGAGAGATGGCTGTGATTTTTTTTTAAGTGAAAAATAGCAAGTACAAAAAAGTTTTGTAAACAGAGCCTGATTTTGTAAACAATAAATATACAAAGAGCCTGCTCTGTGTATTCATTCCATTGTGGAGTGGAGTGAAGGTTGGTTTCCTCCAGTAAGAAAATTGGCTGTGGGAAGAGAGACAGCAGCGGCTGCCCAATCCCCACCTGGCGGACCCCTGTGTGCCTGTTTGTACTTCAACCCGATAATGTAACCGCCCAAGGGGTTCACCTTGCCTGCTGCCCAGACAGAGCTGATTCACCAAGACGGGGGAATTGCAATAGAGAAAGAGTAATTCACTCAGGGCATCTGTGTGGGAGGCTGGAGTTTCATTATTACTCCAGTCAGTCTCCCCCGAGCATTCAAGGAGCAGAGTTTTTAAGGATAACTTGGTGGGTAGGGGGAAGCCAGTGAGCCAGGAGTGCTGATTGGTCAGGGATGAGATCATAGGGAGGTGGAGCTGTCTTCTTGCGCTCAGTCAGTTCCTGGGTTGGGGCCATAAGATCAGATGAGCCAGTTTATTGATCCGGGTGGTGCCAGCTGATCCATCAGGTGCAGGGTCTGCAAAATATCAGAACACTGGTCTTAGGAGCAGCTTAGGGAGGGTCAGAATCTTGTAGCCTCCAGCTGCATGACTCCTAAATCATAATTTTAAATCTTATGGCTAATGTTAGTTCCACAAGGGCAATGTAGTCCCCAGGCAAGAAGGAGGTCTGCTTTGGGAAAGGGCCGTTATCATCTTTGTTTAAACTGTAAACTAAGTTTCTCCCAAAGCTAATTCAGCCTTTGCCCAGGAATGAATATGGACAGCTTGGATGTTAAAAGCAAGATGGAGTGGGTTAAGTCAGATCTCTTTCACTGTGTCAGTCATAATTTTGCAAAGGCAAGTAAGGAAAAGGAGGCATTATTGCTAGACTTGGGGTAATCAGCAGAGAACCACTCTGGGTTCTTATGCCCGAGAATTCCCGGACAGAAGGCATCACAGCGGGGCATGGGGGATAGACAGGAAAGCAGGGGAGGGGAGCACCTGGGGACTCCAGCAATGCTCCCTCTTGGTAGGATCAGGCATGGAGGAGGGTGGTGTCCAGGCAGATGCAAGGAAACGGGAAAAAATGGCAACAGCCAAAACCAGAATGTGATAAATTATTTGATAGGGGAAAGGGGGAAAAACTAGCCAAGTATTATTTTAAAGCTTCGGAAGGGAAGAACAATCACCTCATACATTCAGGAACTAACTATGGAGAACGTGGACCGACGCTGGGTTGTCATGAGGCCCCACCTCACAAGCTCTTACAGCCAGTGAACTGTGCAGAAAAACCGATGTCTAATAAATAAATTTGCAAAACGGTGAGGAAGGAGAAAGGAGACAGCAGTGCCTAACTGTGCGATAGGAATTAGGGGCGTGGTTAAGGGAAAACCCTAAGATGAACTTGATGTGACAGAGGCAGCAAGGAGTGCTGACCGGAGAGGTTAGGGCTGAAAACGCCAGTTCGAATCCTTCTTTGTGGAGCAGGAGAGGCAGCTATGATGTCCTCTGAGAGGTGAAAGGACCAGGATAGAGCTCTGAGAGCCAGTGTGGTGAACCCGAGAGATGGAAATTTGGGGGAACGTGATCCAGAGAATCCTAGTCTTCGCTGATGGAGAGGAATTGACAAGACTGTGGATTTGGGGGATGGGTCAGTGGTGTTCTTTGAAAGAAGGATGTTAAAAGTGATAGCCAACAGGGTCCTGACTGCATGAGAGAGGGCAGGTTAGCCGTTGGAGGGTGGAGGGGTCTGAGCTGAAGGAAAGCAGGAGGCGAACCAGGCGAGAGGGATGGACAGACACACTGGAAAGAAGGATGGGAGAGAGTGGGTCCTCAGAGGTCAGCTTTAAGAAAAGGATCTAGGTCAGGCGCAGTGGCTCACACCTAAAATTCCAGAACTTTTGGAGGCTGAGGCAGAGGATCACTCGAGGCCAGGAGTTTGAGACCAGCCTGGACAACATGGTGGCAAAAAATACACAGATTAGCCAGACATGGTGTGCACCTGTAATCCCAGAGTCTCAGGGGCTGAGGGGAAAGGCCACTTGGGTCTAGGAGGTCCAAGGCTGCGGCGAGCCATGATCGTGTCACTGAAACTCCAGCCAGAGTAGCAGAGTCTCCAAAAAGAAAAGAAAAAGATACAGCGAGACCCTCACAAGAGGGGGCGGCGGCAGGGGCTGATGTGGAAGCGTAGGTGGGATCCAACAGGAGCCCCGGATCCACCCTGTGATTTGGGGCCACGATTCCTGGCAGCGAGCAGAGATTTCAATGGAAACTTCTTACTCGGAAGCAGGCTGGAAGGGGATATTGAATGAGAGACGTAGTTGAGACCAGCGGAGGGGCTGGCTTCAATGGCTCCTCTGCTCTTCCTTGTAAAGAGAACAGCAAGCTTGCTGCCTGAGAGGGGACAAGATGGGAAGTGCAGGTTGCAAGGGAGAGCAGTCTCCATCAGCCCTGGGATGAGCTTAGCCCACAAAGGAAGCTGGCACGGCAGGAGGACCCAGATGGCCGCCTGTGAGGCTGCACAGCAGATTCCTGGGCTCTGTTCCAACACATCCCAGAGCAGTGTGCACCAGGGCATGCGCCAGCCTTGCTTCTTCACATGGTATTGTCCTGGCTGAGTTGTGGCAATGGACGCTGAGGGCTCTAGACGACTGGGCCTGTTCCAGAGCACCTTAGAAGGCAGGGCTGGTCCTGGCAGTCCACACAGAACTGCCGTTCTTTTCCCCAGAACTCTCTCCAAGCCGCTCCCTTCTTTGGCTTCTCAACATCTCTGGGAATATGTGGGTGCTGTTGCCCACATGTGTCATCGAGACACCCCTGGCCATGGAGCTTAGATAACTTGCCTGAACTCATACAGCTAAGAGGAGACAAAGGCAGGGTGTGACCCTGGGAGGTTGAGCTCCTTACCCCACTCTTCCCCACTGCCCTCCATGGCACCCGCAGTGGTTTTTCTATTTTGGTGCTGAGTTCATCCTGTCTTGGGTTACAGCTTGGTGCTTGAGTATCTGTCTTCCTCGTGATTTCCTGAGGGTCTCTTATTTACAAGAAACCATGCCACAAATTGAGGAACCACAGAATTCAAGAATGAATTGAAAAAGCCCTCACCCTCAGGAAGTGTGCACTGCTGTGTAGCTATGTGTGAGTTTATAAATAGGTACAATAGAGGATAGAGGGTGAGGAGCCCTCACTGGTGGTACAGGGAGAACTGTGAGTTCCCACAAGAGATGGCGTCCGCCCAGGAATGGGGAGCATCAGCTACACCTCCTAGATCAGGACTGTGTCCCTTGACCACACCGTTTATCCTGCAAGACACTGATTTTACAGGTGCCAAAAGGCCAGAGATGATTTTTATTTCATACTATACTTGTGTGAAAAAGCATAAACTACCAGCCATTAAAATTATCCTTAGTCTAAGTGGTTTTTGTTGTTGTTTGGTTTTTTTTGAGACGGAGTTTCACTCTTGCTGCCCAGGCTGGAGTGCAATGGTGGATCTCAGCTCACTGCAACCCCCGCCTCCCAGGTTTAAGCAATTCTCCTGTCTCAGCCTCCAGAGTAGCTGGGATTACAGACACCCGCCACCATGCCCAGCTAACTTTTGTATTTTTGGTAGAGACGGGGTTTTCACCATGTTAGCCAGGCTGGTCTCGAACTCCTGACCTCAGGTGATCCACCTACCTTGGCCTCCCAAAGTGCTGGGATTACAGGTGTGAGCCACCACACCTGGCCCCTAGTCTAAGTTTTTTGAATGTTCATTACTTACCTAATATTTATGATGTTTCCCCCTATAGGTAGGAAACGTTTCCCTTTATTTTACTCATTTTCTTTCCTGCGTAGAGCATCTGTGACTCTTAACTAAATTATTTCCGTATTGTCAAGAAGGTGTGTCCAACCTTCATGCGATCCTTAATCAAACCTTGTTATTTGTATTTAGTACAACTCAGCAAATATTTATCCAGCCACTGCCCTGTGCCAAGTGCCATGCTGAGGGCTGCAGAATGAGAAGATGTAGGGTGCACTCTCGCTTCTGTCCTGGGATTGCCGGGCTGCAGCTCCTGGGCTGGGTTTCTCCTGGCATGCAGAGAGCCGCCTCTTCTAGCAATGACCCAGTTCCCCAGGCTTCAGGACTGCAGCTCCTGAGAAGACACTCTCAGCTGCTCCCTTGCCTGGCACAGGGAACTTAGGAGTCCAAATCCTGTTAAAAATGAAGAATTAGTTGAATTAAAGGAGACTGTGAAGAGTCCAAGAAAAATATTCTCATCTAGAAAAGAAAGTTGTGTTCCCACCTGACACACACACACACACGCACTTTTTAGATTTTGTAAATGCAACTAAACGTTTGGCTGTAGGAGTCCTGGAGACTGTACTCTGGGGCCAAAGTACCAGCATACTAGTTCAGGGACATGAAAGGCTAATATAATATTTGGTATTATGAGAAGGTAATCAACAGTACCCAGAGGACTTCATCTTACCCTACATAAGAAGGGCTATGCAGTTATCTGTAACATGGATTCCACAAGCATTTGTTTCTTATCCCTTTGGGAAAACTTACAACACCCAGACATGGAAATAAGAAGAAAGCACCAAGCATATCCTCAGCATCGGCTATGTACCCAGCCAGGCGCAGTGGCTCATGCCTGTAATCACAGCACTTTGGGAGGCTGATGTGGGTGGATCACTTGAGCTCAGGAGTTGGAGAGCATCTGCTATGCACCAAGCTCTGTAAAAGGTTCTTACCTAAGATTCTTTTATTCAGTCCTCTCCACCACCCAATGCGGTAAGCAGGGATTTTACACATGAAAATACTCAGATTCATAAAGGTGATTGTGCCCAGCATAAGCAGGTTTGTGTATGGAGCCAGCACTGGCACTGCAGGCTGTCACCCCGTCATGCACATGTATGCTGCTGCTGCCCCGCACGGTGCACAGGCCACAGTGTCTTCCAAAGCCATCCAGTGAAGGGGCTGCCACTGACAAGGAGGAGTTCGAGAATATGAAGACACTGAAATCTGGAGAGCCAGCAGAGTAGACGGAGGATACTGCCCACTACAGGGCCCTGGAAAGCACATGCAGAGATGTTCAGAGCCACGTATCATCACGGGCCCACCTTCCACCCACCCAGCATGGTCAGGCAGCCCTGCTGTGTGCCCGGCGCTCCGCAGGAATGGGAGGTGCAGGCGGGAATGTGGCACATCTCCACCCCGGAGGTGCAGCTGGGCTGGCAGGAGGGTTGGAATGTGGCACCGTTTCCACCCTGTAGGTGCAGCTGGGCTGGCGGGAGGGTGGGAATGTGGCACCGTTTCTACCCTGTAGGTGCAGCTGGGCTGGCGGGAGGGTGGAGGTCTCACAAGCACATGAAGATAAGACCAGAGTTATTTTAAAGGCATGTGCAAAGTCTATGGAAACTTGTTTGGAGCAACTTTCAGGAAGATCAAAGAACAAATTACTCCAAGAGCAGAGATGAAACGCAAAGAAATTATTAAACATTGACCAAAAGCTCACGTGCTAGAGGACAGCTTCAGGGGGAGTTGGTACATTCTGAACCTTTGCCACATACAGTTCCAGTATCTACCCAGGACCCATGAACGTCCTGATGAGCCATATTCTGAGTCTTGAGGCCCAGCATGGGAATGTCACTCCTGTAACAATTACATACCCCAGAAGCATCAACTGAGGTCTGGCTTCTCCAGGATGCTCCAGAGGTCCTGGGACTTCAACGTCTGCTCTTTCTCTTAGACTCAGTCATCCTCATGGGCAGAGAGCAGGGGACCCAGGGAGCACCTGCACTCCCCACGCAGCCTCAGCTCACTGTTGCTAGGTCCAGCTTCAGAACCAGCTTGGAACAGATGGAGAGCAGCAGACGTGAATCCCTGAAGCAGGTGGGCAGGAGGCATAAGCCCAGAAAGGAATGGGCATGAGGGCCCCAGACTTGAAAGCTGTGGTGTGGGGTAGCACATGCCCCTCCCATGGGAACGCTGCCCCTCCCATGGGAACACTGGCTGCCCCTCCCATGGAAACGCTGCACCTCCACTCCGGCCATCTGAGGCCAAGAGAAATTTAGAGCAATGCTTTCAGATCATCATATTTTTCCAGAAAGAAAAAAACAAAAAACAGAAAAAAAAAAACAAAAAAAACAGAAATCAAGGTTTTGATATAAAGCCTGGAGATTTTTAGATGTTAGTCCAATTTGTTAAGCACCAAGAACCCGATGGAACAGTTCTAAGTGGCTGGGTATGAGCCCCTGGCCATGAGACTGTTCGGGTACCCCCCAGCCCTAAAATTCTGATTCTTTGAATTTTCTCCCAGAACTTGCTGGCAAGATAAAGTAATGGAGAAGTCATAAGAAACACATTCAAGTTTAGAAAATCATATTTTAAAATGAAAATAAGGATCTATTTTCTTATTTTTATGCTCAGGGCTGAAACAACATCTATTTTACCAACAACAACAACAAAAATAGTTAAATTCTTGAAGGGCACCTGACTTGATGTTTCCTCTGAAGTTCTGGAAGGGGTGCCTTCCTGCCCAGCCATTCCTTGATGTAAAAGTAGGTATCACGCTGTGATTGGAAATGCAACCATTACATCTGAAAGAGGCTCCAGCTCATCGGGTGTCAGCTCTTAGTGTGAACAACAAAGCTTCACCACTGCTTGCACAGCATCTGACGACCCCCTTGGCCTGAGATGAGGCCTCCAAAGTGAAGTGAGGCCTCTCTCTTCCTGGCCCCTAGCGCTTCCCCAAAAGTTCTTCTTGTGGGTATTTTGGGGCTTCTCTGCTGTTATCGTACATGACGTAAATTGGGCAACCTGTTTTTCATGGATATAAAACTGCTAGACCATCCTTTTTTGAATAAAATCAAATGTAAATTATTTTATGAAAGCATCACCACTGCCTCGATTACCCTGTAGACATCTTCGAAGCCTTTGAGACTTGGTTCAGGTTTGGTTTAGTTTCAAATGTTCCATTAGCTTCCCGGCTCAAACATGATGGGAGGAAACCCTTCTTGGGCCAGGGAATCCCAGGATTTTCCCAGAGCAAATACCCTGAGGCTTTTTTTGAAGCTCTGAAAGGCTCCTTGCTGACTTCTGGCTTAACGTCCAGTGATCCCAGGCCGCCTGACCAGCATTCCATTGACGTGGCATTCCCACCATGCATGTGGAAATAGAGGCGTAGGTGTCTTCTGGCTGCATGTGGAGTGGATATTTCTTTGAAACTTTTTATTTGTATTGTGAGAATTTTTTAAAACTGTAATAAAATTATTAACAATGTAGCTGACCAAGAGATGCATTAGTACAATGTAATTAGTTTATTCATTCACTCACTTAACTGAAATTTACAGGCATCTACCATGGGCCAGGCACTTTTCCGTCAGGACGTCCACCTGCCTGAAAGATAGGATCCTATATTTTGACAACTTGCTTTTCCTGTATTCAAAAGGCTAGTGGCTGAGTGCACTTCCTATGGCTGTCCTCCCACCTCTGTTGGGTCCAGCTCCCAGCTCTGCACCCTCACAACACACACAGATCTGAGGGAGAGGCTGGGGGCACCCATTGAGGCACAGGCTGGTGTGGTGTCCTTGGTGCCGTGCTCGAATTAGTGCTATCCTGGGTGGTCGCACTCTCACAAGTTGGCTCTGTCAAAATGATGGAGCTCCCCTCTAGGGGGCCTATTACAAGACATCTTTATTGCAACCTGTCATCATTTTGATTGCTATTTTCTTAGGATTTGTAGCGTGATTTTTAAAGTGTTTGTCTCAAACTAGGCATAGAAGTCTATTAAGCATTCAAACTATGCCATTTAGAAGGATTTATTTTTAGGGTTTCATGATAATACGTGTTGTTGTCATTCTCTGTTTAAACATTTTTGAAGGATGACTAGAAAATATAAGTTATGATTCTTGCTAATCTTCATAGATGTATTTTTAGGAGCCCAAACTTGCTGGAGTCAGAATTGAGACGTGGAGGTATTTTCTATGACGTAGGGTTTTAGAAGGCTGACCAGCTCCCAGCTGCCTTGGAAAGAGTAATTCCTAGGAAGAAGTGCTGTTGGGAAAACACCTGGATATGGCTAGACATGCACACCTGCACTGCCTTCTGCCAGGACTTCCAGTTTCTCTTCAACATTCCTTCCCCGAGCCTTCCTTACCCCTCACAGAGGCTAGGACTGATCTCTGGCTCCTGCCCTCCCTCCTATCTCCTCTTCTTGATGCTGCTGACAAGCAAAGAATTGACCAAGCGAATTGAGCAGCAGGAGCTGAAAGGCAGGGTCTGGCTGGTTGGCAAAATGGAAATTGCTTCCTGGTTAGTGGAGGAGTGACTGTGGCAGGGAGGGAGGCCTGGAGCTCAGGTTCTGGTGTCAAAGTGGGAGCTGTCCGTAACCCAGCCTGCAGTCCAAGCCCCCATGTCCTGTTCCTGCAAGAGGACTCTGTCGGGGAGGGGAGAGCAGGTCCCTGTGGCTAGAGACTCGGGTTAGGAGGACCTTGCTGGTCTCTGGCAGACCTGGGACCCAAAGTGAGCTCCTCCTGGGTTCACAGTTATGGCCTAATGTGGTACTTGACATCAGAAAGCAGCCACTGAGGACTCCAAGGGATTTTACTGAGTTTATGAAATTTTCGTGCATTTAAAATATTAGTTCTTGGCCAGGCACGGTGGCTTGCACCTGTAATACCAGCACTTTGGGAGGCTGAGGCAGGTGGATCACGAAGTCAGGAGATTGAGACCATCCTGGCTAACACGGTGAAACCCTGTCTCTACTAAAAGTACAAAAAATTAGCCGGGCATGGTGGCGGGCGCCTGTAGTCCCAGCTACTCGGGAGGCTGAGGCAGGAGAATGGTGTGAACCCAGGAGGCGGAGCTTGTAGTGAGCCCAGATAGCGCCACTGCACTCCAGCCTGGGCCACAGAGCAAGACTCTGTCTCAAAAAAAAAAAAAAAAAAAAAATTAGTTCTTGGCCAGGTACCATGGCTCACACCAGGGATCCCAGAACTTTGGAAGGCAGAGGCAGTAGGATCACTTGAGTCCAGGAGTTCAAGACCAGCCTGGGAAACATAGTGAGATCCTGGCTCTACAAATAATTGAAAAGATTAGCCAGGCATGGTGGCACACACCTGTAGTCCAGCCACTCTGGAAGTGGAGTTCGAGGGTGCAGCAAGCTATGATTGTGCCACTGTACTCCAGCCTGGGTGACAAAGTGATACCCTGCCCCTAAATATATGTATCAAATATATATACATTATAATCTCTTCACTGAGGCTCAACTTGAGGAAAGCATCCCTTTTATTGGAAGGAAAAGAGAAGGAAGATCATAGTACTAAAATAAATCCTGAGTCCAAATGTAAAGTTTTCATATTAGGAAATAATTCACCTGCTCTCTCTTCATGAATCACTCCTGACAGCTTTATTGGCTCAAAATAGATTCCTTAAATTCAAGACTTTTCTTTAAGTATAAAACAAATTTTAAATCTTAGAAAACGTCCTTATTTTAAAAATAAATATTAGACTTCAAAATAAAAAGAATTACTGCTAAAGTGGAGTTTTAAGGGTGATTTTCTAAATGTAAATTACTGGAGAGGTAATCAGAAACCCAAGCAGTGATAACTGAGGTGAACTTTCTCCAGTTCCAAGGAAGATCAGAGCTGATGTCTTAGAAAACGCGACTGAGCCATTCACGGGTTCAGTAAGTGAAGCTCGCAGTTCCAGCCCTGGGACCACCAGAAGAATGAATTCAAATGAACGGTTTAAACGCCTGAGGCTGCCAATGACAGTCGCCAGTGGTGGGCAGGCCCTGGGTGGAAGCAAGCCCAAGCATTCTTTTCAGGCGGGTAGGAGAGAAGGGCAGGGCAGGATGGAGGGGCTGGGGAGTCCTGAAGAAACAAAGTGTGAGAGTGCCGGCAAGGGCCAGCTGCCTTAGGACCACACACCATCAGGTGCACACATTAGAAAATGAAAACCTCCTGGCATTTCAGACCATACGTTTTATGCTTTCTGCTTAATTTGAATCTTTCTGGCAATTGGCACTTATTAAACAGCTATGTAAATGTAAAATTTAAAACAGCTTTTGAAACCCTTCAGATTTGGGTTTCATTGGCTGAAAGGGAAAGAAAGGGGAACCCCATCTGTTTAGTGTCTGCTCCATGTGGGGTGCTGTGCTTGGCATCTTTCATAAATTATCTCCTGTAATGCTCATAGCAAAGGCCCTTGTTCAGCAGAGGAAAACACACTGTAGAGCCACCATAATCCAAACAGGATTGCACTGGAAGGAACCGACGGAGGAGGGAACAGAGAGTCTGACCCAACTGTGGCAGGAATTTCACATTCAGCAAGAGGAATATTTTAGTGTAGGGAGGGAATATGATTTATTTAATAACTGATTACTGGAAGAATTAGCTATCTGACTGGAAAAAAAATAAGTTTGCCCCTATATGCATAAAAAATACTGAAAGGATGAAGAATTTAATTGTAAAAATAAAACAATTCTTATCCTTATCCAACCATATGAGCAGTTAGCTAATAAGGCCAAGTTTTTCTATTTAATGCCCACAAAGGAAAACTAGCTTTACTGCACTTCTGCTCACAGGTGCTCCCCTAAACTACAGCAAGAGAAATCATAAATGTGGGTTTATTCACGAGATGCTGGATAAGGGTAAGCAAGCTGGGTGATGACTGAGTGTGACTGGCCCCTGTTCTGCTGGAAACTTTGAGAATTCTGTGCCCTACTGAAGGGAGCTCATAGCCAAGCTCGGAGTGTGTCTCTCCCACCCCAGCCCCAGCTTTGTCTCTCCTGGAACACACCTGTCTCTCCAAGCCTTTGGGTCTTTACACGTCCTGTTCCCTCTGTGAGGAACACACCCTCACCACAGTTTTTCTTTTTAACCTGAAACATCCAGTTAACTTTTAACATTCAGCCCAAATATGAGTTCCTCCAGGAAATTTCTTTCTTCTTCCTAATCCTCATCCAATGGAATGATGGAATGGAATCCATGGAATCCAATGGAAGCCTCATCCAAACTTCCACTACACCCCCGGAGAATGTTTCTCAACTTATAGGCCTTCATTAAATGTTTTAATTCAATTTTGAATTCCTTAAAGAATACGATTTTACCCCATTATCTCTGCATCCCCAGACCTGTGACAAAGGCAGGGGACCCTGGGAAATGCCATTTCTCGTGGATGTGAATGGCCTGTGACAAGGGCAGGGGACCCCGGGAAATGCCCTTTCTCATGGATGTGAATGCTGTTTTTGCCATTGCTTTAGGCTTCTTGACTCTCAGTTCATCTCTGCCTCATGTCACTTTGGCCCTAGATCACTTTGCTAGAATTTTCTGGTGTTTTGAAGTGTTTTCATGTTGAATAGCAATTTCAGAGCATTGATGTGTTCCTCATGGTGCTATTTAGTTAAATGTCAAATCCACGTGATGTGGCCCCAGAGTTTCATATCCCAGGTATATCTTTAAATCACAGGAAAGGGCAGAAAACCCAAAAGCTGCCTGATGAGCCATTGTGTTGTGTGGATTCTTCCATCAGAAAGTTTTTTAAACCCATTTCTTTCTTTCCCAGACAATTATGTTCCCGAATTGGCTGACGATGGGACTAAGCCACAGATGCTGTTGAGGCCACTGCCCAAGCCCTTTCTTCTTAGGCGACTGCCAGTCTCCTCCCAGCTTGCTCCCAACTGCACTGCCTGCCCCCTCCATGCCCTCTCTCAAGCTGCCGTTAACTTGTTTTTTTCTAAAACATGTTTGCGACTCGTCCTCCCCATGCTCAAGAAAGGCCAGCAGCTGTCTATTCAGCTGGACCAGCGGGGCCTCCCGGTACATCCCTTCCAACACTGCACGTGGCCCTGGCTCAGGCCCGTCGTCTGCACCGTCTGATGTCGTCTTTCCAATATTCCACTTCAGGCACCTCCTTGACCTGCAGCATTCCCAGCAAATGGACTCATTCATTCATTCATTCACTCAATAACTGCATATCAAGCCTCTAGATGCCAGTCATAGAGACAGTCTCTTTTCCTTCCTTTCACACCTACACAAACAATTCTCATGGATCACAGCTTTCCCCGAGCATCTTTCCTTGGCTTCCACTTCCCATTGGCCCCTCCTTTGCTGAAGTTTTTGTTTTGGTATTAAATCTGGCACATCATTATGTCCATATATAGCCCATTAAGAGATTTTTAAGCTCATTAAATGAGCTTATGTTTTTATTACATGTATGATTTTATCCCCCGATACCATAATACTCATCCATAGTATTCATCAATAAATAGCTGCTGGTTAGTTGCTATAAACATTAAATCAGGCACTGTCCATGTGGATTTCTGATGCCTTTCATACTGTACCTGTTGAGTTGTGCCTTGCTAGTTTATTTCAGCGGCAGATCTACCCTGTTCTTTTCTGGAGTGTGCCTCGAATAGAGCCACAGGCATCTAATGAGTCTTCTTCACTCAGTCCCGATGTTCTTCCTCTAAACCATGGAGGAAGTGGCTTTGGTGTGCCCTGTGAGCCGGTGTAGAGGCCATTCAATGGGGCTTTGGCCAGCTTCTATTGCTCATCTCTTCTTAGCTCCCCCGTCGTCTTGAGTAGAGTTCTCCTGCTATCCAGTTTGCCATGTGCAAACACTTCCCATACTGTGGGAATGTTTGGTGAACAAACATACTCGTATATATTTACCACGCAACAGCATGCTCCTGAGGCTTAGTGGAAACAAAGACAGACATGTGATTTTTGGTCCTTACTCCAAAACCTTCAACTCAAACCATCTTGGGTAACTCAGGTGGTCTGAATTTTAGTTTTCTCATGTATTAAATAGGTATAATAAAAATACTTTCCTTACAAAATTGTTGTGAAGATCCCACAAAGTAATATATAAAAGCATTTGTAATGTCTCAAGTATAAGATGTGTCAGTTCCTATGAGTGGAAGGTCTAGATGCCTCAAAGGAAACCAAGCAATTTAGATAAATGTGGAGGACAATTGCATTCCAGGAACTAAACAACATTGAGAGCGCGCCCCTGATGGTAAAACGTGTTCTTCCACTGTACCTACAGCCTCTTGTCTTAACCGCTTAATCAGATTAAAACTTTCAGTTACAAGGAGAATCTAAATATTATATATATATGTGTGTGTGTATATATAGATATAAATATAAACTATATATTATATATAATGTATATATAATATTTAGATTCTCCTTGTAACTGAAAGGTATATATATACAAAATATATATGTTATATATATAAATATTTGTTTTTATATATACATAAGATATATAAAAATACATATATATTATATATATTTACCTTCTTATAAACCTAATGGCTGTTATATTCTTAGTACAAAGCACAACTCAGAAGCACACAGATGTGTCTCCATCAAATTCTTGAAAAGAGAGTAAATAGATGGTACTTCAAGATTCATCAAAATCTACCCCATTATAGAGGACAAGGGCCTCCTGATTAAATATTCCCTACAAGGTTAAGGTCTGTTTATAATTGTTTGAGTAATACATTTAGATTGCCTGGTCTTACCCCCTGCCCTTGTAGAGGGCTTCCCTTCATGGAGGGAAACAGGATTAAAGCCCCATTAATAGAATGCCAGGGAGAGTGAGCCGCCCCTGCAGGGCTGGCCTGCACAGGCAGGATAAGCACATTGATGGCTGCTAATCTATCCCCAGATGGAGGTGGACACCGAGGAGAAGCGGCATCGCACGCGGTCCAAAGGGGTTCGAGGTATGTCCGCGCTTCCCTGCATCCTGAGGCCGGCTCAGGGTCACCTTCATCCTGCGGAACTGAGGTCGATTCTGACCCCACTTTCATGCCACCCTTTTGGTAATTTTCTGTGGAAGAGGGTCGCTTGTGATAGATGGTAAATTTTTATCTATTTCCATCTCTCTGCAGTTCCCGTGGAACCAGCCATACAAGAGCTGTTCAGGTTAGTGCCATGTGGGTAAAATGCATCCCCATTAACAGTTTGGAAAATTCACGCCTTCTAATGGGCACACTGCACCTTCCAGCTCATCGGCAGCTTGCTCACGCCCTGCTGCACTGATGAAATTAATTCCCCCGAGACTTGCTCGTAAAAAGCCTCCCCGAATTTCCCCCTCCTTTGGATTGTGTGATTTCTCTCCTCTGTCTGAGCCGCCCTCCTTCTCTCTGCTGCCACGGAAGCTTTCCGTCTCACCTGCCTGCCTGCGGCACCGTGTAATCCATTCTTTCCTGTTGCAGCTGTCCCACCCCTGGCTGTGACGGCAGTGGTCATGTCAGTGGCAAATATGCAAGACACAGAAGGTAATGCCTGCATTTTTTTTTCCACAATGTGCTGTCTAAAGTGACTTATTTGGGGACCCAGTCCTGATGATGAACTGTGTGAGCAGGTGTTCTTGGAAAGCAATACACATTATGCCTTCTTTTTCTTCTCACACTGGAACTCAGTCTTTGTCTCTTGAAAGGGTTCTCAAAACATAAGCCGTTCGATCTCGTGGGCAGAATAGGTGACACTCCTTAGGATGACACAAATTCAGGCCAGCCTTAAGCTCATGTTCCCATCTGCATATGTGGTGCTCAGCACACGGCCACCTAAGAACTTCCCACTGCTCACCGAGGAGCCCAATTTCTCCTTCCTCACGTCCTCATTCTGGGAGTGGCAGGATGGTAAACAATGAACGGTCAATTAAAATGTGACCTGCTGACCTGTCTGTAGACTCCATTTCCAGCATTTAACGGGGTTCATCCTGGGAAACTAAGCCCATTCTTACATCTGGACGGCTGCAGGGTGAGGTCAGGTCAAGTGAAGGTCAGGGCATATCAAGCTTGCAAGACTTTGGAACTGCAGTGATTACATTAATCTTATAAATACCAGCATTTCAGGTCTGCGACAGGGATGGGGTGGAAAACCTTTAGAAACTAAGGGGAAGGTGATGATTGCTCAAAATGTGTCATGGCAGAATTATATGTTACATGCCCGTGGCTGACTGTCAGGTACACATCAGTCCTTTAGATGTTTTTCTGGTAAGCATTTTTTCCCTAAGCTATTCATGAAGATGTGTCTTTCAATAGAAAGGTTTCAATTATAGTGAGGTAAAAGAGTTTACAGGCTAAAGTATGTTTTACTTTTACAAATTAGATTGCAAAGACCAAGGTCATTCCAGCCTAACAAACCCTCAGTGAGCAGACCCAGGTCACAAAACTGATTCTAAAGCGGGTGCATCTGCCGCACATCTGGGAGGCCTCTCCTCACGGCCTTGCATTCCATTTCCTTTTTAGTGAAACATTAGCTTACGAGTGACATCCAGCAATTATTTTGATTGTTCTTTAGTAAAATCAAAGGAAAAATTACAAATTACTCCCAAATCCCCATTCTAGCATTTGTGGAGGCAAGAATGTCTAATGAGAGACCCCACGAAACAATTGTCTGACTTCCTCTGTTACAGATCAAAGGAATTGTGGGCTATTTTTCAGATAATTTTGCAATTTCAATTATTAAATTTAGTCAATTACATTATGATTGTTATTGTATAAAATAGTAAATTATTGAATTACATAATTGAAATAAGTAGTTTACTTAAAGTATTATTTTATGAAGAAATATATATGTCAGCATTTAATCTAAAAGTCTAAAACACTGCATTGTTTATGTTTTCAAAAGAAGTTAGTCACCCATGAGAAAAATTCATTTTCCCCTAATCATCTCTTCATTAGTCAGTAGTTAAACTTTATCACACTGTTATATAAAAATTAAATTTGGCTAAAAAGTTTCTTAAAATGTTTATTCTAATTTTTATGTGTACATAGTAGGTGTATATACTTAGGGGGTACATGAGATATTTTGATACAGGCATACAATGTGAAATAATCACATTGTGAAAGATGGAATCTTCATCCCCTCAAGCATTTATCCTTTGTGTTACAAACAATCTAAATATCCTCTTTTACATATTTTTAAAGGTACAATTATAAAAAGTTGTAATGAGGTGTGAGCTAGATATAATTTTATAGCCATAGTTTTGCAGGAAAAATCGTGACGTTTCCAAATAATTTCAAGCATTCATATGCTTAACCAAGGTGCATTTCACTAAGAAATGAATTTATGTGTCCCATGTAATGTGTGTGTGGATCTGTTCATGAGATCTCTTTCCCTGCTTCAGAAATGTTCCCTAGAGTTTGATTTGAAAACAAGTTGGGCTTTTTCTTCCTTCGGAAACTTGCCACTGACTCATTAGTGCAGAAGTGCCTGAGTCTCAGAGGAACCCATTCGCTGGGATGTTAGGGAGGAGTCATGGAAGCTCTCGGGCCAAGAGCTGTTTCCAATAAACTTTTGCTTAATTTTTTAAAAATCATCATTTTTACCATGGCTCATATGGTATGTAATTATTAGAACACCAAATATTTTAATGCACTCAGTTATCTAGAACATCTAATGTGGTATAGTTGAAAAAGAACTATTTCCCGGTTACTTGGCCCAGATGCTAGCTTCCACTACATCACTAATGGACCAGTAGCTCTGGACAACTTACGTAACGTCTACAGCCTTCAGTTTCCTCTGTTCTAAAATAAGAGGGTTGCAGACTTTATTATGTAAAACGGTGCAAAAATGTTGTCACTGTGTGAGCCTTCTCTTAAGAGGACTCTCACTGAGCGTTTTCTAAGCCTTATTATTTGATGTCTATGTATCAAGAAAAATTTTAATTTCTTAAACTTAAGAAGTGTCCCTTGATGTATTAGGTAAGACTCATGGATATATTAACATCTATGACTATTGCTGTTTTAAATTTGGAAATTTTCCGTTATATCTGCCTGGTTTTTTGTTTTTTTGATATGGAGTCTCACTCTGTTGCCCAGGCTGGAGTGCAGTGGCACAATCTTGGCTCACTGCAACCTCTGTCTCCTGGGTTCAAGGTATTCTCATGCCTCAGCCTCCAGAGTAGCTGGGATTACAGGCACCCGCCACCACACCCAGCTAATTTTTGCATTTTTAGTAGAGACAGGGTTTCACCACATTGGCCAGGCTGGTCTCGAACTCCTGATCTCCGGTGATCCGCCCGCCTCGGCCTCCCAAAGTACTGGGATTATAGGCGTGAGCCACCTCGCCTGGCCCTGGCATTGTTTTTTTACTGGTTTTGAAAGATTTGCTGACTATGAAAGCTATCCCTTCCTGACAGCTATTCTTGCCCATTCATGCCGGCACACCCTCTGTGAACACAGCTGTGATGCTGGCATTTGCTGTCAGGTTCCTGATGGGAATAGGACACCAGGCTTCTTCTAAATAGGACAAAAGAGTAGAAGCCTCCGTTTTGGTTCTGATGAAATTACATGTCTTTTTTTTTTTTTTTTTTTGGTCTTTTAACAATAAATGTTTCCAATGAATGTGTTTATGTTAAGGTTACAAGTTCATTTTGCTCATACACTGCATCAGCAATAGCCAAGTAAAAAGTTGTATTTCAGTACTTTGAGGTGTTGATGTATTGGAACTTGCCAAAAACAACTTGAGGTAGATGTAGGGCATCAGCAATGTAAAAAATCAATTTTTCTTTTTTAGGAAAGGAATACCAAGTAATAAAATGATGCCAGCCATTTAGTTTAGTTTTGTTTTGAGACAGAGTCTCACTCTGTCACTCATGCTGGAGTGCAGTGGCACAATCTAAGCTCACTGAAACCTCTGTCTCCCAGGTTCAAGTGATTCTCCTGCCTCAGCTTCACAAGTAGCTGGGATTACAAGTGTGCGCCACCACGCCCAGCTAATTTTTGTATTTTTAGTAGAGGTGGGGTTTCACCATGTTGGCCAGGGTGCTCTCGAACTCCTGGCCTCAAGTGATCCACCCGCCTCAGCCTCCCAAAGTGCTGGGATCACAGGCGCATGCCACCACACCCAGATCATTTTTGTATTTTTAGTAGAGATGGGGTTTCACAATGTTGGCCAGGATGGTCTCGAACTCCTAACTTCAAGTGATCTGCCCACCTCAGCCTCCCAAAATGCTGGGATTACAGGCATGAGCCATCATGCCCAGCCTGCCATTTAGTCTTTAATTTTCAACATAAGAGATTTTTAAGGAAATCAAATGTTTCTCACAATTGTAGTTTACAATTTTATTGCTTTGTAGGACAGACGCTATGGTAGTTTCTGGGGGCCATACGTCACCCTCTCTGCCACAGCTGCGGGATCTGCTGTGGGTCTCAGAAAGCTGTGGGATCTGGCAGTGGGATCTGGCAGTCTGTTTGGTGAGCCACGCCTCCTCAGTGGTGTTCTGGGTCTCTTTGAAAGTGGCTGGAGTGGATTTTTTTTTTAGTGTGATTGTTGTATAGTTACGGGCTTGTACGAAATTGAGAATAGAGGAGGATCAACCAGTGCTTAATACCTGGGAAAGAAAATAATTTTAAAAAGGAGTTTATGATTTAAAACTCTGGTTAAAATTTTTTGGTAGGAGTAAGGTTATAATATTTATTTTATTGGATGTTCTACATTAATTTCCAAATCCTGTCTTTGAACAAAAGATAATCTCTGTAGTTATTTACTGGTGTTAATAGTTTATGAAGAATTTGAAATAACTGATAAGCCTATGTACAACTACAATGGTAAACCTTAAATCAAAATATAAATTTGGAACAACATAAGGAAAATGATCACCTAATTTTACTGAAAACTCAGGATACATCGGGGGTCTTAATGTGGTGTTACATTTTGTTCTGGGTCTCTTGGCTACCAAGGAACCAGTGAGAAAGGCGAAGGACAGAGTTCCAGGATCTGATAAAAGCATTAAGTCAGCTCCTTAGAGACGCAGACACTCTTGGCAGCGAAGGAAAACTGTTTCCATCCCACACATTGCCCAGCAGGGATCCAAGCTTACTCAACATTTTTGGGCCCTGATACAGGTCATCAGGCCAGACCTCCTAGGAAGCTAACAAATATGACAAATATTTATCTTCAGAAACGTCATTATTAGCCAGTCACCTGAATTTGCCTTTTGCTTTTCCCAACTGAGGTTTTTGTCTTGTGATATTAGCATATAAATGACAAAAACACGGTGAATTTTATAAGCAGGGCTAGAAGTAATGCTTACATCACGAGTGAACGTGCTCATGTGGTCTTTCCTGCACATGGTCACCTGTGTTTCTGCGCCCATTGTTAGATGGCTGCACACGTGGCTCAGCCCATTCAGCTGCTCCGAGCACCTCCATGTTCCCCACACCACACTCAGAGGTGGCCGGGGGCACTGGTGCCTCAAACCTGGTGTCCAGCCACCAAGCTCACAAAGCAAACCTCAGTCATCCTAAGTGAGTATCCCAAGATTTAGTTTCGGTCCCCAATATCAAGGAAGAGTAAGTCCCTGTGTTGCAGTCTCCCAACTGTGCAAGTCAGCCTGGTGTGGCCTCCAGGCATTTAAAACATGGAAGACAGAAGCTGTCCCGGTGTACCGTCCGCTATTGTTTTGTGGATAGATGGAAGGAAAACAGTGGCCTACTAGGAAGTCACCAACCTTGACATTGAGGAAGCTGCTGCATATTCTTCTCCTCACCCTCGTAGCAGTTTGCTGGCTGGGAAGGCCCCGTGGAGATAAGTGGGGTGAATCTGCCCAAAGTGCGTGGTTTGAGCAACGCTGCATTGGTGTGGGAGGCCTGGGGAGCTGCATCTGCTGCTACTGAGCTCATTGCCTAATGCAGACACCTGAGCAGGGGAAGCATCACGGGGTGAGGCCTGGAGGCTCAGCATTTCCTGGCAGCATCCTCACACCAAAGCCTGCTATCTCCTGAAGGGCAGGGATACATTGAAAGAAACCACACCTTCCTCTCTGTCTGTGTAGGTGATTGTTTAGTGGGGCTCAAGTACCTGCTAAAGAGACGTTGTTATTCATCCAGAATATTTCATGAACTGATGCTGGCATTCCAGCTAAAATATCGCATGTCAACATGTCTGCAATAATCTATTTTTGAACATTTGACTAAGATGAAAAATTCTAGTGCCTTATATTCAGGTTTTTTTTGGCTTTGCATGTTGATATAAAATACTGTTTGTGTTAAAAACAAAGTGCAAGTTAGTGGTTAGAATGGAATCTATAGAAACGAAATTTAATCATCAAAATAATGGTCAACTTGCTGTTCTGAAATCCTTTTTCCTAAAATTTCCCAATAAAAATTAGAAATAGGAATAATCAAAATTTGTTAATATTTATTACAGATTACTATTAACTGATTACAGAAATTTGAATTTTAACCTTCCTTGCAACAGTGATACACATGCTAAGACATTTGGAATGAATTGGACACACTTATTTCCAAATGGTGATTTTTGTATAAGCTGCCAATTCACCAGAGAGAGAGAGAGGAAATTCCTAGTAAGGCCTCATTCCTCACATGTCTGTTTTGTGATCCCTCTGAATTTATTTCTGAAATGTAATGGATTTTATTCCCATTTAACCTTCACTGGACTGTTTTAATGATTTGTTTGTTGAACTTAGGGTTCCAACCCTGCAATTTAGCATCAGAGTCTTTGTACACTCAATAAACACCCGAAAGTTAGGTGATGGGTATTGGTAGTACATTCAAATCCTTCCCAATGTAGGGTACACTGAGTCAAATCATTTCATTTGAAACTTAAAAATTAAAATCTCCAAGTGATGGCTTTTCCTTTTCATTAGAACATGACTGGGGTCCCTCTGGCTTGCGGCACACACCCTCACTCAGACCCCCTCTCCATTCCGCACGCCTCTTGCCTGCCAGTGTGGGTGCCATGGCACAGCGTGGTGAATAATTGCCTGTCTTCACAGGAGGCTGTTCTGGAGCTAAAGTCAAGGGCTTGCTTCCTGATGTATGCACGCCTCATTTGGAGTCTGCCAACAGCCTAGGGGCTGTATTATTCATGCCTTGACAGAGAGCACTCACTAAAAGCCCTGGAACAGAGCCAGGTGCTGGCTGAGAGATGTGGAGCATTGCAACTTGCAACTGAGAGGAGCATCTATAATCCAAAAATAAATAAAAAAAGAAGAAACAGAGAGGAAGACAGAGAGAAAAATAGGAGTTCCTATATCTCCCCTTTACCAGTTTCACATAGATAGAAATTTCATTTGCATTAAAATAAAATATCCTAAAAATAATTGCATTTTTTTCTAACCACGCTTGAAAGTTTAACACAATTTTCCACATTTAATTGCAAAACTGATTTTAATTAGTAAGGCCCTGCATGTGAAAAATGAAGATCCACTTGGGTGCGTGGAATACATTGCAGTGTCTGCTGAATGCTCTAATTAACGTGTGGCTGCTGTACAATGGGGTACACTGTGGGATATTTATGAAAAATTCTGTGCACGCAGCCTCCAAACCAGGCTATCTGTGCTTTACTCCATGAATCCGTGAGAATAAATAGCTCTCCTTCATTCTTTATGAGACACATTGTGTACGCCTCACCCCCACACCCTCCCCGTAAGCTTTATGCACGCCCGTCCTTGTACTATTCATCACTGATATTATAAATCAGAAGATAGGGCATGCATATTATAACATTAGTTTGATAGCATGGCATAGTTGCACATGGAGCCAAGATTTTGAGGTCTAGGGGTTTACTTGGGTGAAGAAGAGAATCAAACAGGTGACGTCCAGGCTTGCTGTTGCTCAGAGGCCTGAGTACCCATAGGATTTGCAGACACAAAATTCAGGCCTGAGTACCCATAGGATTTGCAGACACAAAATTCAGGCCTCCTCTTTTGTTTTTTCTTTTGTTTTGTTTAGTTTTTTGAGATGGAGTCTCGCTCTGTCGCCCAGGCTGGAGTGCAGTGGCACGATCTCAGCTCACTGCAACTTCCGCCTCCCAGGTTCAAGCAATTCTCCTGCCTCAGCCTCCTGAGTAGCTGGGACTACAGGTGCATGCCACCACGCCTGGCTAATTTTTGTATTTTTAGTAGAGATGGGGTTTCACCATGTTGGCCAGGTTGGTCTTGAACTCCTGACCTCAGGTGATCTGCCTGCCTCAGCCTCCCAAAGTGCTGGGATTACAAGCATGAGCCACTGTGCCCGGCCCAAAGCCTTCTCTTTTGGGTGGTGGTTGCAGTCAACCTTTATTGTCACAGTAAGTCTTCTGTGTACAAAATGAACACCTGGCCATCATCCTAAAGAAAGTAGTTTGCCTGGTGCCTGTCTGTAGTGCGTCAGCCCCAGGAGACACACCTCTGGGCATGGCCTGTGTTGTTGTATTGTGAATGCAACATGATTAATTCGGTGGATTTAATACATGCAAAGCATGTAATGCATCTTAGAGCATGATTTTATTTATTTTAATTTTTTTAAAGGGACAGAGTCTCACCCCGTTCCCCCAGGCTGGAGTGCAGTGGCCTGATCATAGCTCACTGCAGCCTAGAACTCCTGGGTTCAAGTGATCCTCCCACCTCAGTCTCTCAGAATGCTGGGCTTACAGCTTATTTTTGACATTTGGTAAAAGGAGATATATTTTTTAAATAATTCCAATTCAAGGAGAAGGAACATAGTTATTTTCAGATAGGGCACTGAAAACAATAAGTATACTGATGAACAGTCTGTAATGTATATGACCTGTATTGGTCAAGGCCAGATTTCACAATTATAATCTTGTTCTGATTTCTTGAACTAATAATTAAAAAATATACAATTTGGGAACTTGGGAACATCAACAGAATACACAGAAGAAATTTGCGTGCAGTACAGCTGTTGTCTGAGGTTTACCCACTGAAACACCACAGTTCAGTTCTCACCACCCTCATCCATGTGGGGATTCTAGAAAAGGCAGGGCAGCCGCTATGGAGATCTTGAAGTGTGGAGAGAGGGAGTCCTGATGTGACAGTGGCCCAGCTGTGCAATTCCCCGCAGCCACAAAGCACAACCACAGAGCCCCCGGGAACCCTGAGCCAGCTCTCTGCCCTGTGTGCCTGGAGCCTCTGCCGACCACGGGATGCCCCTCTCATGGACACCATGAGCTCCTCTGTGGAGATCTCTGTCCATTGCAACTACTCAGGGGTGTGCACCCCACTCATTAGAGAAGCAAGGATGGCTGGTGAGATGGGGGCTGGGGCTGAAAGTATGAGAGTCCTCTCACCACACCCATCTAAGCTGGCTCAGAAGACTATCCTGGGTACAGTGAGGGCCTGGAATCTGCACTCACGGCAAATACTTCTGGAGTAGCCAGGTTCATGAGCATCGCTGGGACCCGGCTCTTCGAGTCCCCTATCTGGGGCTGTCCACCTGCTCTTATTACCAGTGTCACTCACAGGCACAACTTGAGGAGAGCGGGCAGTAATCATGAGGACCCTCCTGAGTCCGGCTCTGGGAAGTGGATGTTTCTTCTGTCCCCTCTGGCCTGCCCCAAAGAGAACAGCGCTTTCAGGGTTAGACCCCAAAATAGGACTGAAACGCCAATTTCCATATTCTCTTCCTGCCAAAATTAGTAAAGATTTAGAGGAAAGAAACAATCCCCTGGTCATAACGTTGCTTCAATAAGATACTGGTGTTTTCATCTGGAAGATTCAGTGTGACTTAGGATGCTGCTGCCTGCAGTACCTGGAAACCCACCTCAAACTGGCCTGAACAACACCGAATCACTGTCTTTCCTGAACTGCATGTTGAGAGGAAGTGCCGAGGATGACTTAACTCAGGCCTTCTGCTCCATCCTCCTGCACCTCCTGCTGTGTTCACCTCTGTTGTGGGAGAAGGCTGTGGCCACTCCTGGCTGGACAGCTGCCCTCAGTGTCCAGAGAGGGCTGCAGGAAGGCCTTTCTGGAAGCTCCCTGAAGAAAAGAGGATTTACAGAGATACCAACAACCAGGGTCCCACAGCCATTCCTGAGTGCCACTGACAAGCAAGTCAGACATCCTCAGAACCTTTAAGCCCCGTCCAGAGTGGGAGGCGGGGCCGCCTTCCTAGAGCCGGGGTTCCCCAAGTGGGGTTCCCTGATCCAGAACATCAGCGTCACCTGGGACCAGCTAAGTGAGAAGCTAAGGCTGGCACCGGCAATCTGGGTTTTAGCCACCCCTCCAGAGGGTTGATTCTGATGCTGCCTGAGTTTGAGAATCGTGGCCAACAAACAGGCCTGGACTCCTAATGAGACAGCATTTTTAGATAATGGGAACAGGAGGAATTTATTCTGGGTGAGCAACTCACACACAGAGCCAACGGCATAGACAAATCTGAAGACCAGCACGCATTCTGCCTGCAGCTCACAGACCTGGGGTCCGCATAACGGTGGTGGGGCGTTCCCACAGCTCCTCCCACCTGCCCGCATCCCCCGCCGGGGCCCAGCATCACTGTAGTCCTGCTTCCAGTGCCTTCACAGGGTGAGAAAAAGCCAGTGGTGCTGGAGGGTGATTTCTAATCAGGGACTTCTGTTTCACTTCTGTTCATACCGTGGACTGATGTAGCTGGCAAGCAAGGCAGTATTTAAGAACTGTGCAGGAGGCTATATTTTTCTGAGAAAGGGACAGCCGCTTTGGAGTGGGGTGAGGACTATGGGGCAGCAGCTTCTCTGGACTCAGCCTGGCCTGCTCTGGGGTGCCCCAGAAGCACCTAGGGGGCCAGGCCTCTGCTGCACACGCAGGAGGGGCCCAGAGGCTCTGGGTCACTCAGAGCCGCCCCCGCCCACCTGCCATCCACATATCCCCAGTGGACAGGATGGGGTCTGAGAGAGCAAGGCACTGTGGCCGCCTGGCTGTGTGTGCCGTGCAGCCTCTGCCTAAAGAGAGCCCAGTGAGGAGCCAACCACAAAGGCGACCCAGAGACCCTGTAGGATCCTAGGGCCCTCTTTTACCCTTATTCAGAAAGGACTGCCTGGGGGCCTGGCAGGCTCTGTGTGAGCCTTCGCAAGCCTCTGGTTGCATCCTTAAGATAAACGCACCCTCTGTCTCCTGCTGAGGGAAACTGAGCTCCCCCTACATAATACAACAGATTTTAAAAGATCCGTTCCTTGTAATTCGGTAGCCACTCTGCAGGGCCGTGAATATTATCTAATGCACTACTTGACATCGCCAGACACAGGCTTCCTATACACGTGGATGCATTTCCTGAAACTCTAGGGAGGAGAGGAGGGGGAAAATGAACATCTTGGAAGAAATTTTATTCATAAATAATACATAGCAATTCAGCGATGCCTGGATCACCTTGTTATTCCCTCGACCAATCCTGCGGCTTCTCACGCTTCTGAATGAAGTGCAGACGCTCTGGGGAGCCAGGAAGGGAAGCGGGCATGCGGAGAGGGCAGAGGGTAGTGAATCCTAATGGCTGCATTTATCGTCAGGAAGGCTGGAGAGTCCAGAGCTTTAGTCCAACCTCAACGGGGATAAGATCTGAGAGCAGAGAGTGGTGCTGCTAGAGGGGCCCAGCTGCGGGCCCTGGGGCTGGGCTTCCCTGAGCACCCTGGACACAGCCTCCTTGCCACTCCTTGCCAGGTGGGTGGAGTTGACTGTGTCCAGGAATGCAGATCTTGGGCCTCTCCTCTCTTTTCTGCCCCCTCCTCCCCTCCTGGGGTGCAGTGAGCAGGGAGCAGTGCAGGGGCCCGAGGAAGCTCCTCTCCTCCCAGGCTCCCTGAGGACACACAGACAGCAGGACTCTTTGCGGAAGTGGAGTCTAGGCTCCTGCCCTCCCCTGCAGGAGGCCCTTCTGGTAATAACAGCAACGTCCCAGAAGCACTCGCTGTTCCCAGGCAGGGCTCGGGGCCTGCGGCCTCGCTGCACCTCGTCTCGCCTGCGCAGCAAAACACCCCCTCTTTGGCCACACCCTCCCCCCATCCTCTTCCACCCTGGAACGACCTTTTCTTCCTCCAGCTCCAGTCAGGCCTGAAGTCCCTGCTGCAGCTGCGCAGAAGGCACTCATCACATTATTAGAATAAGGTGCACCTGCTTTGAGTGACTAATGAACTGAACTTTCCCTGAGGCCAGTATGGTTTTGGCAGAGAAGCTTCTTAAATTAACCCAAATTGATTTCTAATAAAGGAGGAAAGGGGGAGGATGTGAAGGCGCAGCAAAGGAGATTCCGGGGCTGAACCAGTGAGTCAGGGCCCTTTAGCACGCGTTCACCCCGGGCCGTCTCCCAGAGGGCGCATCTGGGTACATCCCCAAATGCAGGGAACTCTGAAGCCTGGACAGGCCAGGTGGGTACTGCCCCAGGGACGCAACCCCACTCACAGCACAGGGCTCATAGGGAAGAGGGCACCAACCATGGGGCTTTTCAGTATTTGAAACACTTTAGAACCTGAAAAGCTAAAAAGGAGTTTGCTTCTTAAATGTTCTTCACTGATTCTCCCAGAGGATATTATTGGCAATAGAAACCAAAAGAAATACATTGGCTCAAAGGCTGCTGAGGATTAAAGCGAGGACTAGAAATGATGAAAGAACCCATAATGCAGATGACAGCCTGTTATTAGTATCTGTTGTCACAATTCATCCGTGTAACCAAAAGCCACTTGTACCCCCAAAACTATGAAATAAAATTAATTTTAAAAAAGAAAAAAAGTTACTGGTGGTCGTTGCTTCCCAGTATCAACACATCTAGCTAAAAAGTGAGAAAAAAAATAATCTATTGTTTCAAAGTCACAATGTGCCATTCGTCCAGGGCATTGGTAACCACTGCTAGATTTTTCCTCTGATTTTTTAAGACAGTTTTGCTCTTCTTTTCTGAATTAGTCTCATATGATCGATGTAAATTTTTTTGTATTTTGTATTCTTTTTTTTTTTCACTTAACATTATAACATGAGCTTGTTTCCAAATACCCATTAAATGTTTTAGTTTTAATTTTCATGGCTGGCTTTCATCCTGTGGCTGTAATGTTATTTATGCAATTCTTTTATTGTTCAAATGTATTTAGTTTTCATAAAACATCTCCATATTGTGCATAAAGTGGGAAAAGTATCTTTGCAGACAATGTTTGTGTCTTTTCGTTTCTTCCCTGGGATGAATGACCAGGAGGAGAATTGCTGGGGTGAGGGAGGGGAGGGCATGGAGGGTTCTGTTTCCAGAAGAGCCTCTCTCCAGGAAGATCAGACCTGTTTACACCCACATCAATGGAATCAAAGGATGTCCCTGTTATCCTACTGTAGATCATAGAGAATATAACGATTTTCAAATTGCTTCCTTCTTATTCAAAACCGGAATTGTCTTGTTTTTAAAACGATCGTTTTTAAAGGAGTGATCATTATATTTAACAATGCCTTTGCTAGAAAATTCTGGAAGAAAGAGTGGTGAGTAAGTCAAGCGATGCCTGTTTCTTCCTGTGAATGATCTCGCTCACTCAGCGTTAGAGGAGCCCCCTGCCTCCCAGGCTAATCCTGGGCATGGTTTTTGCCATAGCTGAATAAAGGAATAGGCCACCAGGCAGAGGTGATGCTTCCTGCCAGGCAGAAATTAGAAAGCACTGATCTCATGCCCCTCTAGGGGTGTCAGGGCCTCTTGTTCCCAGCACAGGAGCCTGAAAGGGGAGCTAGGTGGCCAGACCCCAGAGCCAGCAGGCAGAGCCGCAGTGCAGGCCCTAGGGCGTCGTGAAGCAGGCAGTCCTGGTGCCCTCACAGGGCCACCCGGCACGTAACTGTCTCACACGGGTGCTTGGCAGCCTCGGATCTGTGAGCAGTTGCTCTGCATGCCAGGCAAAGCCTTTCCCTGAGTCCCTTGTCCGCTGCCCAGACAGGGCCACTGAAAAGCAGCAGCAAGCTCTGGGCATCTGTGCATCCCCCTGTCCGGCTCTCCTGAATCCTGAATCAGCCCGCGGTGCCCACATGCATTCGTGAGGCCTTGGGTTTAAGGTCAGGATGATGGCGGGGCCTTCATCTGCCCAGTCACCAGCTATGATGCCAAAAGGCAGAGGGATGGCCTACTCTCTTCTCTGGCTTCCCGCGTGTGAAAAAGGGACATGCCAGGGCAGGGGCGATGGGACCCCTCTGTCTCCAGCCTACCCCATCCCTGATAAACTCCAGGTTCCTCCAAACAAAGCGTTCATCTTTTGCAAGTCACAGAGTGCCTGGGTCCTCCTCTTTCCTGCCTGGTCCCTGCAAGTCACAGAGTCTGAGTCCTCCTCTTCCCTGCCTGGTCCCTGCAAGTCACAGAGTCTGGGTCCTCCTCTTCCCTGCCTGGTCCCTGCAAGTCACAGAGTGCCTGGGTCCTCCTCTTCCCTGCCTGGTCCCTGCAAGTCACAGAGTCTGGGTCCTCCTCTTCCCTGCCTGATCCTTGCAAGTCACAGAGTCTGGGTCCCCCTCTTCCCTGCCTGGTCCCTGCAAGTCACAGAGTGCCTGGGTCCTCCTCTTCCCTGCCTGATCCCTGCAAGTCACAGAGTGCCTGGGTCCTCCTCTTCCCTGCCTGGTCCCTGCAAGTCACAGAGTGCCTGGGTCCCCCTCTTCCCTGCCTGATCCCTGGGTCTTGGGAACAGTCCCCAACTGTGCATAGTAGTGCTGCTGGTGACCGGAATACTCTGGTGAATTTAATTTTCTGGGCACTGATGATTTGAGAGCTCTCACAGCCATTTTCACCCCAGGCAAATGGAGAATGGCTCTCCTAGAACAGTGAGGATTGCTTGGTGAGTGCTGCTTGTGGCGATTTCCTGTACCCACGGCTGTCAGTCTTCCTTGCCCGTGACCCCAAGCTCCTTGTCAGCAGGGGCCTTGTCCCAGACACCTCAGACCTGCCTCTGGAAGCCTTTCCGGAAGCACAGACACCTGTTTAGTGAGTGTTCCATGACAGGGAAACTGTGCAGGCTGGAGATAAGGAGGGCTCTGAGGATCACTCTTTGTACCCAAAGCCCTGAAATTTATATTATTCTTAGGTCCTTAATGCAGTCTGTTGTTTTTTAAATAGTATCTAAAAATGTATAATAACACAAAATAAATCTAGTTAAGATTTTTTTTAAGTAGAAAATTTTACCCTTGTTTTTCTTTGGATCAAAGAATAAAAATAAACAATTCAAAGTATTTTGGAGGCGTTTTCTTAGAGCAACTTTCGCCATTACAGGCACACCCTGTTTATTGCACGTTGCTTTATTGCAGTTTGCAGTGAAGTTCTGATTTGTACAAACTGAAGGTTTGTGGCAACCCTGACCATACAAGTCCATCAATGCCGTTTTTCTAACAGCACGTGCTCACTCAGTGTCTCTGTACCACGTTTCAATAATTCTCGCAATATTTCAAACCTTTTCATTATTGTTATGTCTGTTATGGCGTCTGTGGTCAGTAATCTTTGATGGTACCACTGTGATTGTTTGGGGACACCAGGAACCGCGCCCGTGTAAGACAGTAAACTTAATCCGTAAATGCTGTGTGTTCCAACTGCTCTGCCAACCAGCCAGTCCACCACCTCTCCCTGCTCCTCAGGCCTTCCTATTCCCTGAGACACAATAATATTGAAATTAGGCCAATTAACAACTCTACAATGGCCTCTAAGTGTTCAAGTGAAGAGAAGAGTCACACATCTCTCACTTTAAATCAAAAGCTGGAAATGCTTAAGCTTAGAGAGGAAGGCGTGCCAAAAGCCAATATTGGCCAAAAGTTAGGCCATTTGTGCCAAACAGCCGACTTGTGAATGTGAAGGGAAGGTTCTTAGAGGAAATTAAATTGCTACTTTAGGGAATACACAAATGATAAGAAAGTGAGAGAGCCTATTGCTGAGTAAGTTTGAGCAGTCTAGATAGAAGATCAAACCAGCCACAGCATTCTCTAAAGCCAGAGGCTACTCAGAACAAGGCTGTAACTCTCTTCAGTTCTGTGAAGGTAAGGCAAGGAAGATGTAGAAGAAAAGTGTAAAACTAGCAGAGGTGGGTTTATGAGGTTTCAGGGAAGAATCTGTCTCCATAACTTAAAAGTACAAGGTAAAGTAGCAAGTGCTGATGGAGAAGCTATAGCAAGTTACTCAGAACCTCTAGCTAAGATCATTAATGAAGGTAGCTACACTAAATCACAGATCTTCAATGTGGACAAAACAGCCTTCTATTGGAAGAAGATGGCATCTAGGAATTCCATAGCTGGAGAGGAAAAGTCAATATCTGGGTTCAAAGCTTCAAAGGACAGGCTGTCTCTCTTGTTCTGAGCTAATGGAGTTGGTGACTTTAAACTGAAGCTTATGCTCATTTACATTCTGAAAATTCTAAGGCCCTTAAGAATTATACTAAATCTACTCCACCTGTGCTTTATAAATAAAAGAACAAAGCCTGGATGACAGCACATTTGTTTACAGCATGGTTTAGTAAATATGTTAAGTCCACTGTTGAGACCTACTTCCCAAGGGGGAAAAAAAATTTTCTTTCATTTCTTACTGCTCATGGGCAATGCACCTGGGCACCCAAGAGCACTGGTGGAGATGCACAAGGAGGTGAATGTTGGCTTTATGCCTGCAGACACAACATCCATTCTGCAGCCCATGGGTCAGGATTAATTTTGACTTTCGAGCCTTATTATTTAAGAAACATATTTCATGAGGCTACATCTGCCATAGAGAGTGATTCCTCTGATGGACCTGGACATAGTAAATTGAAAATCTTATGGGAAGGATTCACCATTCCAGTTGCCATTAAGTACATTCGTGATTCATGGCAGGAGATCAGAATGTCAACATTAACAAGAATTTGGAATACATTGATTGCAACCCTCATGGACGACTTTGAGGGGTTCAAGACTTCAGCAGAGGAAGTCACTGCAGATGTGGTGGAAATAGCAAGAGAACTGGAATTAGAAGTGTTGCTTCTTAGGGCTGAGCAAAGCAGGTGGTTTCTTGAGATAAAATCAACTCCTGGTGAAGATGCTGTGAACATTGTTGAAATGACAACATAGGATTTAGAATATTCCATAAACCTAGGTGATAAAGCAGTGGCAGGATTTGAGAGGACTGACTCCAATTTTGAAAGAAGTTCTACTGTGGGTAAAATGCTATCAAATAGCACCATGTGCTACAGAGAAATCTTTCTTGAAAGGAAGTCTCGATCGATGTGAGAAACTTCCTTGTCTTATTTTAAGAAATTTCCACAGCCACCCCAGGCTTCAGCAACCACCACTCAGATCAGTCAGCAGCCATCAGCATCAAGGCAAGACCCTCCGCCAGCAAAAAGATTAGGACGCCCTGAAGGCTCGGTTGATCGTTCTCATTTTTTAGCAATAAAATATTTTTAAATTAAGGTATATACTTTGATTTTTAGACATAACACTATTTCACATTTAATATTCCATAACTTTTTGTCAAATATTTATGTATTTATTTAAACACCTACTCAACAATTGATTTTTGTGCCTCTCTGGGGTTAGGAACTGTGCAAACACTGGTGATAGACACAGTCTACTTTAGATTAACATTCTAGCAATAGAAAAATGCATGCAAGGTATTAGTACATTATAACCTTATATCTTAAAAATTAACAGGAATGATGGACAATGCAATTCATATCTTATTAATGTGTAATAGATGTATGTAGTTTCATAGTACATGTGATAATTTAGTACATTCATGTAATTCGTGGAGATCAAGTCAGTGTACTTGGGATATACATCACCTTAAATATTTGTCTTTATGCTAGAAACATCCAAATTATTCTCTTCTAGCTATTTTGAAATACACAATACATTATTGTAAACTACAGTCACCCTACTGACCTATCTAACCTTAGTTCATATTTCTTCTGTCAAACCGTATATTTGTACCCATTACTCAGCTTCCTTTATATTGTGCTGGGAAACCAAAACATCTGTGTGAGTTGCTTGATTGCAGTGTTCACTTCATTGCAGTGTTTGGAACCACGTCTCCGAGGCCTGCCTGTACTCAAGTTCTAGGTCTGGATCATTGTATAAAAGTGCCTTTCAATTTTAAAATCATAGACATTTAGGCCTGAAGTGGCTATTAAAAGAGTTTGTGTAGCAAGAGCCTGGGAGTCCTTTCATATTTTTCTGCCTACCTCTAACCTGCCAGTGTGGGTGCACGAAGCCCGATGGCAGAGGCCCAGCACACGCGTCTTATGCACAGCCAGGCAAAGGTGCTGTCAGTTCTGAGCAAGAACTGCTTTAGACACCAGCCCTGCCTTCTAGAGACACACAGGCTAACCAGGGACAGATACAGCTCACTGTGGCACAGGTGATCTTGCATGCCTGGGAATGTTCAGTGAGACCAAGAAGGAGTGGGTAAATAGTGGGCTGGACTTCCAAGTCAATACCTTTTTTAAATTTTTATTTTTGTTTAATTTTATAGATTGAGGGGCACAAGTGTGGTTTTGTGACACGGATACATTGCATGGTGGTGAAGTCTGGCTTTTAGTGTAACCGTCACCTGCGTACTGTACATTGTACCTGTCAGGTAACTCATCCAGCTGTTTTATTTCAGAAATTACAATATTTGGTAGGGAATCACATACAGCCAGGTTTGAAATGATCACAGGCTACTGTGGTCAGGTAGAAGATGATATGATACTACAGATTGCTAAAAATGTATTCCGCGATACTAATTGTTGAGTGCTAACTGCACGCACAGCTCTCTTTCAGAAACAGTGTTTAGGGACAAGGAGATGGCTCCCTGCCTTGGCAGCATGTGTGATGTCATCTGTGCAACATGGACAGTCACAGATGCACACATGCACTGGAAGTTCAGGGACATGCACAGGAGGGTCCAGGGAGGCGGGTGCACTGCGGGAGAAGCCCCAGGGACATGAGCACCCAGAGAAGCCTCTGAGCTGCAGGTGACATGCAAGGAAGGGTCCAGGGAGGCAGGTGCATTGTGAGAGAAGCCCCAGGGACATGAGCACCCGAGAGAAGCCTCTAGCTGCAGGTGACATGCAAGGAAGGGTCCAGGGAGGTGATGCATTGTGGGAGAAGCCCAGGGACATGGGCATCCTGGAGAAGCCTCCTGAGCTGCAGGTGAGGTTTTCCCGTGCGACCTCTGCTAATGTGGCTGAAACACTCAGCAGGAGACTAAGACGAGTCTGGGATGGCAAACAGAATATTGGCAGTATCAGTCTTATTTTCCTTCATGCCACTTACAAATGCATTACACTAAGCACGTTGACTTTAATTTAATAAATGGCTTGGACACAAAAATTTCAAACTTGACATTTTGAAAAAACTGGAAGTTAGAATACTTTTATTTAGTCCCAGCTTTGGCTTTAGCTAGAAGTAGGGCCTGGGACAAGGGGCTTCACCGTCCCCCGCCCTGTCCTTGGTATTTTCATGTGTGTAAAGTGCGGATGAGCACCAGGATTCTTCCAGGTCTAGTCCACATTCTGCATTCTTCAGTTGCCATGTGATGTTTTACTTTACACAAGGAATCATCACTTTTCCTCAGAGGCCATATCCTTTTTCTGCATGTAAAGCCTTGTATGTCGTCTTTCCACTGCTGTACAGTTTCTGCCTGTGTAGACAATTTCTTCCCAGGTAGATTGTACCAGCTCCCCAGAAGACAGATAAATCCTCTGAGGTTTCATCTCCCGTGTGCTCCATCTTACAATACAGCTCATGGGGGCCAGTCTTTAAATGCTTCCTGGAAAATGTTACTACCTATGAAATAAAAAGATAATAAATAGTAGGACAAATGACTGAAAATATATAAATAAGATCATTTGCTGCATGCCAATGGATGGCACTAGGTCTTCTTCTATCTAAATGTATAATTCATAATAAGATATGATGGCTTTGCCTTCATGGAAGCCCTCTTGATTACATCCTAATATTCATGGCCTCCACACCGTATGTGGCTGCACTGTGGACAGAGGACCGTGTCCCATGCGGGAAGAGAGCTGATTCAAAGAATGTGCAGCATCTCTATCTGAGCACAAATGTGTCATGGTGCACTGAGAGCTGTAAAGGAGGTGTGTGAGGGGCAGAGGGATGGAGCGGGGGCATAGCTCCATTCTCTGCAGGTAGCCAGGGGCTTCCCAAGGGAGGAGACCCTCCTGCTGACCTTTGAAGGAGCTATAGAATTGACTGGGAGGAGGTGTGTGGGATTCCAGGCTGAGGGAGGACCTTGCATGAAGGCACGGAGGCATAAGAAAACATCTCATGTCCACAAATCCATGCCAGCCAATCAGATGCTTCTCTGAGTGCCCAGATGTACCAGATGCTGGACTGTGACCCCTGAAGTCACAGCCCTGTCTCTACTCTCCAGGAGGGACTTTCACATCCAGACGGTCTGAGAGGTCACAGGCCTGTCTCCGCTCTCCAGGAGGGACTTTCACATCCAGACGGTCTGAGTTTGGTCTTCTCCGAAGGAGCAGATGTTCGTTCCTGGCTGTATCTTAAGGCACGTGGACCAGGAAGCCCAGGAGCATGATCTGGAAAGAGCAGATCCGCATGGCTTCTCAAACTCTCCACCTTAACATTGTGTCCAGCCTTCTCGTGGCAGGTTTCATTTTGTTTTTTTTCACAGCTATGAGATGATCTGACACCTATTGATTGTTGATGTCATCATGCATTCTATTAGCATTTATCAAACACCAAGACGCTGACATCCCCAGAGGGATTCAAGCTCCCCACCGATTCTTTTTTGTGACTGATGTTTTATAATTTATGAGACTGACCTATTTCCAAATGAAATCCAAGAGGAAGCCCCTTGCAATAAGAGCTGTTGAAGGAAACACTGGGGAATCCTACAGAGAATCCTAGAATGAGGGGCCTCTGCAGTCGGGTGGGCCGGCTGAGCCCCCACCTCTCATAGCATAGTGAACAGCCGGAAAACCAGAGAATCCTAGAAGAAGGGGCCTCTGCAGTCGGTTGGGCCAGAGAATCCTAGAAGAAGGGGCCTCTGCAGTTGGGTGGGCCGGAGAATCCTAGAAGAAGGGGCCTCTGCAGTCGGGTGGGCCGGCTGAGCCCCCACCTCTCACAGTGAACAGCCCCCATGGAACCGGGATCACGAGTGTAGAAAGCAGGCAGCACAGAGCGGCTCTGACGGAGGGCAGCAGCTCCTGGAGCCCTGGCCAGCTTGCCCAGAGGACCCTGAGACACCTCTTCAAGGCCCCCCGATTCCAGAAAACAGCTGAGGCCGCTTGAGGATCTGATGAGCCCTTTCCTATGACAAATGAGTCACCTAACACCTGTAGTGATAAAGCAACCCTATCTGGGTTCCATCTGCAGTGGCCACATCCTCGTCCTCCCGCTCCCTGGGTTCCATCTGCAGTGGCCACATCCTCATCCTCCAACTCCCTGGTTTCCATCTGCAGTGGCCACCTCCTCTTCCTCTGGTTCTCTGGGTTCCATCTGCAGTAGCCACCTCCTCATCCTCCGGCTCTCTGGGTTCCATCTGCAGTGGCCACATCCTCGTCCTCCAGCTGTCTGGGTTCCATCTGCAGTAGCCACCTCCTCTTCCTCCAGCTCCCTCAGCAAGTTTTCTGCGCAGACATGAAGGAAGCAATATTGCATTTCTCTAAAACAGAAAAAAAAAATGTTCTGCAACTCAGACCTTAGCGACAAGTGCAGTGACCAGGCATGGCTGCATTTGAAGACACTCCAGCAAAAACGCATGCATTTTCCACTGGGCAAGGAGGGGAAGCATTGGGGGCATGCGTGAGCTTCCCTCTGCCTTATCAGACACTCCCTGCTTGGGGCCCAGCTGGAAATGGGTTGAAGCCTTTTCAGCAAAACAGCTCGTCGTTCACCTTAAATGAGTGATATGGTCATTAAAACAAAAACAAAAAATAAATAACACACTGAGGACCTATTGTGTGCCAGGTGTGCACTGCAGGATGATTTTTCTCTGGTGCTCCCTGGAGACTGGGAGGCTTCTGAGGAATCAGCAGAGAGAAATAAATGCTCGGCGACCTTCATCTCAGAAGCTGGTGCCAAGGAGGAAGGAAGAGCTGCCCACTGCTGCACCTCTGTAATTCATAGATGACAGATAGATTGATAGATTATAGATGATAACGATAGATAGATGACAGCTGATAGATGATTAGATAGATAGATAGATAATAGATAGATAGATGGATGATAGGTGATTGATAGATGGGGAGAGGGAGAGATGATAGAGTGGGGAAGATTGATAGAAAGATGACAGAGGTAGGTGAGTGGGAGCTAAGCTATGAAGACGCAAAGGCGTAAGAACAATCTAATGAGCTTTGGGAACTCTGAGCAGGAGGTTGGGAGAGTGGGGGAGGGGGAGGGATAAAAGACTACATATTGGGTACAGCATATACTGCTTAGATAACAGGTCCACTAAAATCCCAGAAATCAGCATGAAAGAACTTAATGCACGTAACCAAAACCACTCATACCCCAAGAACTATTGAAAATTTTTTTAAACTTTCAAAAAAAGATAACAGAGTAGATGGATGGTAGATGAGATGACAGGTGCATAGATGATAGATGGATAGACATGCACTCACATCTCATGGCCTCACACTCAAGCCACGCGCCCAGTGAACCCTATCTCAATGGAGCAGGTGCTTGTTGTGACATGCAGCACCCCTCCCTGTGCCCGGCACTCTGCCATACACCTCTGGTTAGAAACTGGACTGGGCACAACCAGTGTCCCAGCCACATGAGGCATCCTCATGGCCCTGAGGACCCCTTCCTGCTCACACAGAGCCACGGGCTGCAGACAGATGGAATGGAGATACTGAATTAGAGAACACAGACTCTAGAAGGAGGAAGCACAATGGATATTTTGAACTTGTCCTCAAGACACCTTTCCTGTAAGATTCTACCCCATTTCCATCTGAAACACATGGATTTTTTTTTTTGCTTTTCACTAGATTACTGTGTGAGAAGAACTGCCTGTCCAAAACCAGTATTATCTGTCACAAGAAAATATTATATCTCTTGTCAACTTATATCTCTTGTCAACTTGTCAACTTGTCAAGTTTAGAAAGAAGATAGACAGGTAATCATGATGATGATGATAGATAGATGATAGATAGATAAATAGATAGCTAGATAGGTAGGTAGGTAGATAGATAGATAGATAGATAGATAGATAGATAGATAGATAGATAGAATAGGAAATATAGAATAGGATAGATGATAGATAGATAGATAGATAGATAGATAGATAGATAGATAGAATAGGAAATATAGAATAGGACACATAGAAAGAATAGGAAATATAGAATAGGATAGATAGATGATAGGTAGATAGATAGATAGATAGATAGATAGATAGATAGACAGACAGATAGAAAGAATAGGAAATATAGAATAGGATAGATGATAGATAGATAGATAGAATAGGAAATATAGAATAGGACACATAGAATAGGAAATATAGAATAGGATAGATAGATGATAGATAGGTAGATAGACAGATAGAATAGGAAATATAGAATAGGATAGATAGATGATAGACAGATAGATAGATAGATAGATAGATAGATAGATAGACAGCTAGGTAAATGAACAGGCAGACAGATAGATGGTAAAATAGGTAGATAGACATAGGTAGGTAGAAAGACATGTAGATAAGTCATAGGTAGGTAGATACAAAGATGGATAGATAGATGATAGGTAGATAGATAGATAGATACATAGATACATAGAACTAGGGATGATGAAGATCTACAGCTTGGAACATCATATCCATGACAAACATAACAAAAGCAGTCATATTAAGCTCTATTAAATATACAACCTAAGCTATATTTCCACATGTGGTGACTTTAGAGTGGGGCAGCATGCACAATTAAGAAATCTCATGGGTTTTCCTTGGACAAGTATTTCTAATGGTCATTTGAAAAGTACATAAATAGGATAAGAATAGCTGTGTCCAGCCAAGATATTATCAAACACCATATAGGCATCCCAGGACAGATGGGTTCAGTTATAAGGTTATGCTTCAACAAAAAAGTGCAGACATGGCAGCTTGTAACTGACCATTGCCACAGAAATTAAAATTGGGGAGATACCATGGAGCAAACGTTCTTAATCCTCTTTATAATAACCAAGTCTTAAGGTTTATTATTTGTAGCCTGATGCCCATTAAACTATTGAGCAACTTTGGAAATCTATGTGGAGCAACAGCTTGTATTTTGCTTGCACTAACTTGCTAGAAAATGCATATTTAATAAGCTTAATGATCTCTCTAGAGAGGCATATTTTGCCTGGATAGAGTGTAGTGTGGTGTGTATGTATAATATTTTACATATAATATATTTATATGTGATTGTAGGCATGATCATAATTCTTTGAGCTAAGAGTGTTCAAATGTATATCTCCATCATCAAAGTAAAAATAGAGATATCTAATCATTCAAGTACCAGAATTTTACATATTTCACAATTGAATAATTTCTTACCAACCACATCAAGACAAAGTCCTCTGTCCTGAACATCTAAAGAAGGGGCATCTTTAGCCATTTTTTTTTTTCTGCATTTTCTTATAACTTTTCCCTGGTGCAAACATGTAGCTCGTAGAATCATATTTTTTTTTTTTTTGAGATGGACTCTCTGTCTGTTGCCCAAGCTGGAGTGTGCAGTGGCTTGATCTTGGCTCTGCCTCCTGGGTTCAAGAGATTCTCCTGCCTCAGCCTCCTGAGTAGCTGGGATTACAGGTGCATGCCACGACGCCCGGCTAACTTTTTTTCTTTCTTTCTTTCTTTCTTTTCTTTCTTTCTCTCTCTCTCTTTTTCTCTTTCTCTCTCTCACTTTCTCTTTCTTTCTTTCTTTTTTTATTAAGTAGAGACAGGGTTTCACCATGTTTGGCCTGGCTGGTCTCAAACATCTGACCTCAGGTGATCCACCCATCTCGGCCTCCCAAAGTGCTGGGATTACAGGAGTGAGCCACTGCACTCAGCCAGAATCATACATTTTTATAAAGCTTGTTTCTCACTTTTTCAAATCAATTGTAATTACTATCATTCAAGGTGGTAGTACTGCTGTAACTTCAGGGGTCCCTGGAAAAGAGAATGGCACCAGTGCTATCCCATGAGTCTTTGAGGACCCCTGACAGTGGAAAGTGGAACAGCCACTTGCTGCTGATGTTGTCCCGGTGGTTGCTGTGAACACAGCACACCAAGCAGAGAATCTCTTCACAACTGCACTAAATGCAGGCCCATCGTCTGTGCTGCTGTGCTGACGTTCAGTGTGTCCTAGCACCTTCCTGATGTAGAGCACTGGTGTGGACGTATGCATGGTCACAAAGACAACACTGAAAATGTCATTGGGATGGACTGACTGCACGTGTGGTGTTTGTTTTCGGCAATATCCTCTCTGGACACGTTATTCTACGTGACTGTGGCTGGGGCGTCAAATGGGCAGTGGCCATGGCTGGAGCATCTAACGGGCAGTGAGTGCCAGCAGCAGTGGCTACGCAGCCTCGCGTTTGCCGTATGTTTTCTGACTCACGGTGACTTCAGCGTTTGTGTTGGCCTGGCAGGGGAGGTGCTTGCTTAGAGGGTGGAACGTCTAGCTCTGTACAACCTGAGGCTTTGACTTTGTGCATGCCACTTTATTTTCTAGGTGAAAAGATGGATTAAGTGATTTTCAAGCTTTCTCCCTCCACCAGATTTCTCCTGTCCTGAGGGTGTTGCACTAGTAAGTAGAGTCCCACTCACTAGCTTGTAGCAAACTGGACACTCCAGGGAGCCCCGTCAACCTTCTCAGGTTTTTCACTAAAATGGAACATCACTTAAAGAGCACCCTGGTAACCTGAATATATTCATACAGCAGCTTAGTTGGCCAATCTCACTGCCATGAGGTAGGTGGTTAGAATACTTCTGTGGTAACATTATCAACATTCTAGTCTTGCAAGTGGCAAGGGTGGTGAGTTCTGTTTTGGCAGAAAAGAGGCAGTATGATTTCGTGAAAAGCAGATGCTGATAGAAACACACCGAAGCACTGGCAGACCAGTCAATCCACTCAGTCCGTGGAAACAGAGGTACTGAACACCCACCCCTTTGCTTCGCACAATGGGACTTGGAATAATTAATTAGATGGCAAAGCCTCTAAAACCAAAAAGAAAACAGCTAAATTGAGACAATAAGATAAGCACACATGGAAAATCAAGAGCAACGCGAGGTGGTTGACACTTAGATGGTAAATGTCTAGCGACACAGAGTTGCTAACAACACATGACCCTGAATTCCAGGATGAGCAGGAATGACATGATGGAGAAGGGGGAACTTGAGATGGGTCTTAAAGGATCAGTAGGAGAGAAAATTCCAGCAAGAAGAATCATAAATGAGCATAGAGCTGTGGGATGAGAATGATGGAAAATGGGCAACAGTTGTGAAGGGTGACTGTGGACACGCAGTGGAATCTCACATGCTACAGCAAAGGGGTGACCAAATAGTTTAACTTCTTAAAAATTAAGTAGACGCTGGGCGTGGTGGCCCATGCCTGTAATACCAGCACTTTGGGAGGCCAAGGCAGATGGATCACTTGAGCCCAGGAGTTCAAGACCAGCCTAGGCAACATGGCAAAACTCCATCTCTACAAAAAATACAAAAATTAGCTGAGCTTGGTAGTATATCCCTGTGGTCCTAGCTACTCTGTAGGCTGAGGTGAGAGGATCACCTGAGCCTGTGGAGGTGGGTGGAAGGAAAGAGGAAAGAGGAAGGAAGGAAGGAAGGAAAAGAAAAGAAAAGAAAGAAAGAGAAAGGAAGGAAGGAGGGAGGGAGGGAGGGAGGAAGGAGGGAAGGGAAGGAAGGAGGGAAGGGAAGGAAGGGAGAGGAAGGGAAAGAAGGAGGGAAGGGAAGGAAGGAGGGAAGGGAAAGAAGGAGGTAAGGGAAGGCAAAGGTAAGGGAAGGAGGGAGGGAGAGAGGAAGGGAGGGAGGGAGAGAAGGAGGGAAGGGAGGAAAGGAGGGAAGGGAGGGAAGGAGGGAAGGGAGGGAAGGGAAGGAAGGAGGGAAGGGAAGGAAGGAGGGAAGGGAAGGAAGAAAGGAAGGAAGGAGGACAAAGGAGCATTGTTGGTGCTGATGGCTGGGGGTGGTGTGCCGTGGCACACAAGGGTTCGCATTAGTTCAAGTCTTTCAGCTTTAAAGGAACAGAGGCACACTTGGGAATTGGGAACTGGAATTCCAAGAAGAAAAAATAGACATATAAGAAACAATCCCAGCTGTCGGAGAACCACGTCTCCTGGAAAGCTGGTTTGGAAAACGTGCATGCGAGCCTCCCATTTGCACTTTATCTACCTCCAAGATGCGCGTCCACATGCATTGACAAATGGTCAAAGCCCGAGAGGTACCTTTACTCTCATTATTGAGTTCAAAAGAACTAGTGTTCTGGAATTGAAAGAGATTAAATTTAGTGATTATTGTAACTTTATTTGAATCTTGAATTACTATTCAAGACAATAAATATTTAATAACTGGCTACATCATTTAAAGTGACTTTAAAAAGATAAAAAAACAACTCCCTGCATTCCAGAAACTGAGATTATTTTTAAATTCCCTAAGAGGTTCAAGTAAACATTTTAAACAATTATTTGTTGAATGTTTTTCATGTATAGAACGTGTCTGTCAAGTTTAAGAAAATACATAGTTTTCAAATCAGCTATGCCTTTGTAACAATACAGAGAAAAAATAACTTTAAAAAATGTTAAAATATATTTAATGTAATATTTTAAAAGGAAGGAAGTATGTAGTTAAAACTGAATTGGTTTTATTAGTATATACGTTTGGTTGGAAATGCTAGTTATTTAATTGCATAGTTCAATGATTTCAACTATTTCTGACATCTTTTTAAGTGCTTTTATGTATTCTAGAAACGTATAAGAGTAACGCTTTAAAGGGCTAGTGGTGAGAAAGGATATCAACTGTTCTTAAGACATGAGAAAGGAAATAAGAAAAGGAGAACTCAGATTTGGGAAGCACCCCCGCTTGCTAGTCGTTGGGTGTTTCATGTGGACTGTTTTTCGTGTGCTGCCCTAAGTGTGTAGCATGGGCACTACCCTTCATCTCACAGATGGATAGACTGAGGCTGAGGTAAATACATCTCCCGCGGTTAAACAGGGGCAGATCCTGGAGCGACTTGGTGAGGTGCACAGACCTTGTGCTGATATTACTAACATTTACGTGGCTCTGGTTGCTGTTCATGGACCACTCAGATCTGGGTGATGACCCCAGCCTTCTCTCTTTCCTGTGGATGTGACCGAAGGTCTGTGGTTGTGTCTCCTGGGCTAGCCCATGTTCTCTGTTTCCTGTGGATATGACTGAGGGTCTGTGGGTTGTGTCTCCTGGGCCAGCCTCATGCTCCCTGGACCCATCCCCTGACCTCTTCATCTCTGTCCCCTCTGCTGGCCCCTTCTTCCCTCCCCAGTCCCCAAACCCCTGTGTCCCTAAGGGTTCAGGGTGGAGCCCTCACTCTTCCCAGGAAACTGCCTCTTTCCCCACCATGTCTACAACATCCACCCACTGACTGCCCCAAACCAACACTTCAGCCCTTCTAGAGGTCACCTAAGCTGAGACACCTCAAATTTAGCAACCACAGAGAAGTATGGTATTTCTGCATCTGAAAAAGAAGAGATTATAGAGAATCACCTGTAAGCCTCTGTTCCCAACCAAAACCAAGCCAGCAAAGACCTGAGTCTCCCGTGTCTTCCGTACCAGTGCACACACCTCCACCTGCCAGTTACCTGAGCTGGCAACCAGGCCGCGTCCCACATGTATCCCCTCACCTCACTCCTGCATGTCCTACCTGTACCTTCCCAGGCCAACCTATGACCTGACATTGCTCCTTAAATGACCTTCCACCATCTAGCTCTCCTTTCCTCCACCTCATTCTCACACCACAGCCACAGTGATGGTTTTGCAGGCTTGAGTCAACTGTGTAGAAGTAATCCCACTGTCTACACTGTCCGGAGCTCCCACGGCTCCTAGGAGGAACAGCACCTGGGAGGCCCTGACTGCCTGCACCCTCACACCTCCAGCCTCTGACCACCTCCTGCCCATGCAGCCTCCCTGAACTCGCCCTCTGGGTCCCTCTGTCTCTCTGCATCTCTCTGTGTCTCTGTCTCAGTCTCCTCCCTGTCCCACATCCATCTTGGTCCCCTGTGAAGCCTCCTCTGTCCTCTCTGGCAGGGTAACTGTCTGTGTCTCTGTGTCTGTGTCTCTGTCTCAGTCTCACTCCCTGTCCCACACCCATCTTGGTCCCCTGTGAAGCCTCCTCTGTCCTCTCTGGCAGGGTAACTGTGTCTCGGTGTCCCATGAGGTTGGGAGTAGGTCTGTATTGCTCAGTGACATGCTTTCCAAATAAAGGAATAAATCAATCATGCAATGTATTCACTCAGCACATATTTATGTGGCACCTTCTTACTATGTAACAGGCATTAGGGAAAAATAGATATTCTTATTTAGTGAGATCCTTACCATGGCCCAATAAGAAACAGGGTTGGATTAATATCCCCCTTCAGAGATCAGAAAATCAGGACATGGAGAAGGGGTTTGCAAACCTCCTCCACTGTTACTCAGCTCTGTGATTTTACACAAGTGACTCAAAAAATCTCTGTCCCTCAAAGTTAGGAATTACAGCAGAATCTACATCACAGGGTCACCGAGAGGGTTTAATGAATTTGTGTATATAGAGATTTTAGAAAGTGCCAAGCACACAGGAAGCACTTTCTAAGCAGTGCTGGTATTAACTGAGCTGGTTGAAAACCGGTGCTCCAGAATTATATTCAAATGCAGTTTAAATATGTTAAAAATTATTCCAAAATAAGTGTTTTAACATTGACCCAATGGAGGCTATTCAAGCAATACAAGAAAAATACCATCTCTAAAAGAGGTGGTTGTGGGGAATCACTGTCAGGCCTCTGAGCCGACTGGTCAATCACCCTGACGTTCCGAGCCCCGCTCTCTGGTGGGAGAGGCCCACGCACAGGACACTTCCCACCCTCACCTCGTTCCTCTCTCCACGGCGGTGATAACAGCAGTTGGGAGCAGAGCACACGCTGCCAAGTTTGGTTTTCAGTTACTTGAGACCTTATCCCTGTTTATATTAAAATTGGATAAACAAAACATTCAATAAAAGACCTTTATACATGACATGGAAGTGCGAGAATGCACTACATAATGTTGTATGTGTATGAGTTTGTGAGGGAAAGCCATGGCCAGCAACTGGTTTCTAGAATAACCAGATGCAAAAAACTGGAAGTTGTTGACACCGAGTTAACCACAAAAGAACTGTGAAAGCTACAACAGCAAAAAGACATCGTGAGGCATCCGCATGGGCCCAGGAGGCATGGCCCAGGCTGGCTTGGAGGGGGTGGGGGTGACGGGATGCCAGGCCTCCATGTGTAACCCTGCGTAACCTAAATAGGGTGAAAACATGGAAAGGCCAGGTTTTCTCATTTCTAATCCAGCATGCGTTTGCCTTTTCACTCTACCCAAAGTGTCTTGGACTTCCACTCCTGTCGCTGGCTGCTGCTGAATTGTGAGAAGTCCAAGGATAAGACAGCATGGTTTTCTGTGAGATGTGGCCACTGCTAGCTTCCCTGCCTTGCTTCTGCATTGAGAATCATGTTATGGACACACTCTGGAAAAATGACGGGAGGGGTATTTTGTCAACAGAGAACTATTGAGCTACCGTGATCTTACTAGTGATCATATTTACGACTTCTTTGAAGTTTCAACTGTGTGAAAAAAGAGACAGTGCATTATTTTTGGAATCTTAAAATATCATCATCCTAAAAATATCCTAAAGATATAAAAATATCTTTTTAGATTTATATCATAAAAAGAGATATAAATCTAGGAGAGGATATGTGAGTAAACATCATTCTGTCAGTGCATTGTGGATGTTGAACTCAGTCTTGCAGAATGATGTTCAAATACAAAGGGCTGCCTTTGTGCCTCAGAGGTTTGCAGTAGCCAGCTGCGGAGCCATGGAGGTGACCAGAGTGCACAGCATCTCTGAGGCACTGACAGGGTGAGCTGAGGTCCTGGGCTGAGCCCTTCACTGGTGTTGCTGGGCGGCACCACCAGTGCCCCCACATCCTCCTCTCTTTCCAGATCACCGCCCCATCAGCAGACACGCTGTTCACAGAATACGAGGGCAGGAGGATACACACTCCCCAAACTCATGTCCCAGAATTGCTTTCCAAGGCCTCCATTTGAAATATTCTAAACCTTTGGAGACCAAGAGGGCTGTGTTGATTTAAGCAGGGCCTCGAGCCACGTGGAGTTGAACACAGATGTAATGGAATGTGCCTGGTGGTTGAATGTGTTGCCACCATGGAAGTAGATACCAGGAACTGCAGTAGGAGAATGGATCAGAGAGAGAAGGGACAGAGGGTACTTGTTTGTAGTTGGGGATACGACTGTATTCACGCTTTACATTAACAAATAGAGAGCAAATCGTGAGCAATGAACCATGTCAAATGGCAGGAAGCACTGGAAGTTTGACGCCAGATGATTCCAAAAGTTGCTACGCTGAATCCAAGAGCTTGCAAAATGTAGGGATAGGAAAGTAAAACCAATTCAAGTGAAAATAGAAGACTAGAAGGTACTGAAACGTACACTTCATCAGAAAGTTCCCACCACGGGAAGGGAATCATTTAGGAAATTTAAAACATGTAAAGCTTTAGAGAGTAAAGGAACAGCCGACGCTTCTATCACATCGATAGGTAAACTAAGGCCCAGCCGGAGTCCGGGTGCTCAAAGAGGTGTTAACAACACCAAGCCTGGAGCTCACGCCCTTGGTCGTGTGGTGTGCTCTACACATCACCACCCTGGATACGCTCAGGCTGTTTGTGAAATGTTTCACATATTAAACCAAACCCTGCTTGATAGGATTATACCAATATTGTCCTGGCAGAGACCAGATGAACTCCTCACTTTTCTTTTCCATGTGTACTTGACTTTCCACACACACTCACCTTCTCCAACTATCTTGATCAACTATTTTTTTTCTACTCTTGCTTATTTATTGTCCCTCTTCCTCCACTACCTTCCCATGCCCAGCAAGTTCTAATGGAGTAGGAGCCATGGCAGCTGCCAGGAGATGGAAAAGCAATGAAAGTGGGCGGGCCCTCTGCAAGGGAGCCAGCCAGCTGCAGGTGCAGGGGAGTTCAGAGGACATGTGAGCAGGAGGCAGCCCGCCTCCCACGCCTCGATGGCCCAGACATGTTCTCCAAGGTTGGGACTCAGACACCCACCACAGCAATGCCCTACGGCCCAGACCCCATCCTCTCAAACGTCCTCCTAGCCGGATACATTGTCCTCCAAACTCTCAGCTGTCCCAGGTGATCATGAGTGAAGCCCAGTTGTGCTCACTTCTAACTGCAGCATCCATTCTAAGGAAAATCTCCACTCCCCTCCTCTAAACCTCATGGGGCCAACATCGCACAGTCTGAACAACAAGTGAGCCATCTTGAAAAGGAGGGCGGCTGTGCGTGTGAATGAGCAGGGAGAAAATGAAACAGGAGCCCCACCTTACCCCCAGTCACCTCACTGAATAGCACCAAGCCAAGTGGGGTGACATCACTTCCCAGCAATCGGGACTCATAGATGGTCACGGTGGGCCTAGTTATCTGTTTTAGTGAATGGTGCTGTGCAGGTGGCCTCAGTGCAGAACAGACTGTGTCAGACAAACATATTGATGCACTGATGAAGGAGAAGGAAGCTGGGAAAAGCTCCGGTCATTATGACCCGCGACACCAAGGGCAGGCTCTGGAGGAGCCATCCGTGCACAGCTGCATCTATTATCTGCTAACTGAACAAACACAGAAGGTATCCACCAGAACAAGTCTACTCAGATACAGGTGGCCCTGCGAGGAGGTTGGTTGGTGTTGGGCTTAGACTTGACAGGTTGTCCGGTGGTGATTCAGCATGAAGGTGTGGCTGGCTCTGAGATTATTATCTCAGATTATCCCCTCACAAATGAAAATATAAAAGGAATCCCAGAAATCTGTTTATTTCATATTTGAAATGTTATGTAGACTATAGATGAATTTTTTTTCTTGAATTATCTGGTGATTAAAATTGTTATTCTTGTTTTGCTTATTATGTTTTTAAGGGATGATAACGTTTCACCCTAGTGTTTCAGGGCTGATAGAGACTTAGAAGTCATCTAACTGCCCTCATCTTACAGACTTAAAAAGTGGCATCCAAATTGATGAAGGGACTCCCTGAGTCACGCAGCAAGGTGGCAATGAAGTCCCTCAGCTCTTGCCCCTACCCCATGCTTGTGTCTTCCTGGGCAGCGGTCCCCATCCTTTCTGGCACCAGGGACCAGTTTCATGGAAGACAGCTTTTCCATGGTTTGGGGGTGGAGAGGATGTAATTCAAGTGCATTATATTTTTTGTGCACTTTATTTTTATTACTACAGTGTAATATATGATGAAATAAGTTTACAACTCACCATAATGTAGAATCAGTGGGAGCTTGTTTTTCTGCAACTAGATGGTCCCATCTGGGTGTGATGGGAGACAGTGACAGATCATCAGGCATTAGATTCTCATAAGGAGCACACAACCTACATCCCTCACATACACAGTTCTCAGTTCTCAGTAGGGTTCAAGCTCCCATGAGAATCTGATGTGGCTGCTGATCTGACAGGAGGCAGAGCTCAGGTGGTCATGCGAGCAATAGGGAGCAGCTGTAAATACAGAAGAAGCTTCGCTCGCTTGCCTGCCGCCCCCTCCTGCTGTGTGGCCCAGTTCCTAACAGGCCACAAACCACAACCTATCAAGAAAAACTGGCTTCCTAAGAAACATAAAATTGTTTCTCTTCCCTTTCGCTAGTGCAATTGGTCTAAATCGTTTTAGAAGTATTGATAGAAGAAACAAACAGGACAATCATTAGTTTCCAAAACTTTAAGGAGCGACATGTTTGTTGGATAATTGGATACCTGAATAAAAATAAAAAATAGCAAAAGTTTCTTGTTATTATCACTATTACACAGCAGTTCCTATCATTCATGGAGTACCTAGCAGGTGCCAGATTCAGTACTAACCTCTTTACATATATATATATTTTTTCATTTCATCCTTAATGCAGCCATGTGAGATTAGCATTTTTCTGACTTTACAGCTGATGATGTTAATGTATAAGGTTGAACATCTGTCCAAAGTCAGTTGACCAACAAGACCTGCCATGGGCAATGCAAGCTCCTCCTGGTCCACACACACTGTGTCCTGCTCTCACGCTCTCTCCCAGCACCTTCTCACCCAGGGTCTGACTGTACCAAGGAGCTCCCTCACGGCCCTTGGTCCTCCTGGCCTCTCTCATCTGTCTCATGATCTGGGCACCCTCCTCAGCTCACTTTCTCATCCCAGTCCCCACCTGAACATGGCGCTGGCTGTCTTCTGCTCCCCGCATCTCTAGCCTGCACCTCCTCTCTTCTGTCCTCCGCTTCGCACCTATCCAACATGCATTTTAATTGCATTATTGAGTGCTTGAAAGAACTCGTATCACTCCCTGTTTCCTGGGTCAAAATCCAGAGTCCCATCATTCATCCACGAAGTTGATTGGACCCCGCCGGACTCTCCACTCTGACCTCCACCTCCTGGCCCAGCCCCGCTCTATGCTCCAGCCTTTGGGGTTTGCTTTTGTTTTAGTTTTCTGAGCCCCTGGTGTTCTTACATATGTTCATGTCTTTCGCAGATTGTTTTAATTGGGATGTATTGAAATGCTTTGTTTCCCTCCCAGACATCCTTTACATATCTGTGAAAGCTCATCAGCAGCCTCACCTCTTCCTGAAAGCCTTGCTAGCACCCGTGCATGCCTGCCCTCTGTGTACAGGACATAGAGCCCTCTGCACGTTTTCATTATGGGATTTATCACACTTCATCCTTTCATTCCGCAAATGCCTATTGAGTGTCTATGACATGCCAGGTGTTTGGTGCATGGTGTACACAGGAGTGAGAGGTTCTAAAATGGTATTTGTGACTTGTCTAAATCCCTTGTTAGAGCATAAAGCCTTGGTGTGAAGATCTGTGCCACTCATCTCTGAACTCCAGCATAGCCCATGACCCAAAATAGAGGAGTTGCCCAAATAGTACACACTGGTCAGGGTCATGACTGAATGATCATTCACTACCCCAGATCCAAAGCCAAGCTAGTCAAGGTGTGCAGGAGCCCCCCTGCAGAATAATGGGCCAGTGAGAGAGGCCACACCTCTCACCCTGCAGAATAATGGGCCAGTGAGAGAGGCCACACATCTCACCCTGCAGAATAATGGGCCAATGAGAGAGGCCACACATCTCGTTCTGCATAAATGGAGTATTTGCCTGCGGTAGTTTGCCTCTATGTCTCCCCTAACCCACCTATTTTTTTGTAGTATATATATTATTTCTACAACAAAAGTGAATTTGTAATGTAGCTTTGAAAATCATTCTTTCTCAATGAGAACACTTGGAAACAGGATGGGGAAAATCACACACTGGGGCCTGTCGTGGGGTCGGGGAAGCGGGGAGGGATAGCATTAGGAGATATATCTAATGTAATATACCAACATGGCACACATATACATATGTAACAAACCTGCATGTTGTGCACATGTACCCTGGAACTTAAAGTATAATAATAATAAAAAAAAGAAAATCGTTGTTTCTCAAGGAAAGATTGTGAGCTTCTGCTGTAAGGAAGGGTCTCATCCAAGCCTGGGCCAATTTCAGCGTGATTTAGTGGTGATTACCGCTAACACTGAAGTTGTTTTCTGGAATGCTGGCGTGGGACTAATAACATCTAAGACTGAGGAAGTTCTGCAGAACTTTGAATGATGCAGTTGCTTTCATACAACATTGACAAGCCCTAGGGCTCATCTTGTTTCAGGAGGTTATCAAGTCTAAAGATATAATTTAATCCATAAAATATACAAATCCAAATATATCCAAAGCTCTTTCACGACATAGACATTTTTATATTTTACATAAATATATATGTAAATATAATGTGATTAAAATAAATCTTGCTTCAGATGTATATTATACATAGTATATATTTGGTAAAATGTTTCATAAATTTGTATTGTCAATTACATGTTATACACATTATGCAAACCAATCTCATGAATTTTCGTAGGATCTCTGGAATTATAGGAACGAGGAACTAGGAGACTTGGACTAAATGTGAATGGTAACTAGACAAATGTGAGCGGTATTTATTTGCACTATCACTTCATTAACAGATTTCAGCACACTTCGGGGAACATGTATGTTATGTCTCTCTGGTGTTTGTGCTGATGACATTCATGATAAGCCTTTAAGTACCTTGATCAAGGCCCCCATTGGTCTGATTTTAAAAGACAGTAACACAGATATTTTTTTTCTCTCTCTCCCCTGCCTTCTCTATTTTTTTAATTAGTGTATATGGTTGTCCCTTGGCGAAAAAAAGAAAAACACAAGATAAACAGCCCCAGGAACCTGCTCCTAAACGAAAGCCATTTGCCGTGAAAGCAGACAGCTCCTCAGTGGATGAGTGTGACGACAGTGATGGGACTGAGGACATGGATGAGAAGGAGGAGGATGAGGGGGAGGAGTACTCCGAGGACAATGATGAGCCAGGGGATGAGGACGAGGAGGACGAGGAGGGGGACCGGGAGGAGGAGGAGGAGATCGAGGAGGAGGATGAGGACGATGACGAGGATGGAGAAGATGTGGAGGATGAAGAAGAGGAAGAGGAGGAGGAGGAGGAGGAGGAAGAGGAAGAAGAAAACGGTAATCTTTAAAATATTAGCAAAGTAACAAGTCGTGATTTGGGTCCACTGTTCAAGGTGAATTGCCGGCTGTTACTACGAATGACTGGCATATAAAGAAATTGTTCTTCTTGGTCAATACTGAGAAAATTAACCTCTTATATGAACTGAACACTTCTGTTAAAGAATTCTTCAGATTCTCTGTTACACTTCAGATTTTATGTCAGTCTAATTTTTATTCAGTTTGGTTGTCAGTAATTTACTGAGATATTTATGGTGTACTTTTTTGATTAGCTTAACAAAATGTATCAAGGAAGTTAAGTTAGCCGACCTGGTCTTTAATTTTACATTTTCCTGAATGCTGTATCCATGAGATACAATGATTGGGCAAAGGGCAAAACAGTGTTGTTGGAATGGCTTAGCCCAGGTACCTCCTCAGGGGAGTTGGAAGTCCTGCCTAATGACTGGTACATCAACCAGCAAAGTGGGTTTTGTCTGTAGATTGCCAAAGCTTTGCTTGAGTGATGGTCACATAATTGGGATGAAAGGAAGTAGTATTGCTACAAGATAATCAGCCGGTCATCTGCTTCCATATGTGAGAGCTGTTTCTGATCTGGGGTTTCCGGTGCTCTGAGACATGCCAGGGAGAAGGCCGCCATGCTGTGTGTTGGGAATGTTCCCGGCAGTGCGTTTACGGTGACATGGCTTTCATGTCCAGTGTTCTGTTACTATCCGACGCACAATACCACTTCAGAACTAACCCTTTCATAGAAGTCATTTCTTCTGAGGAAAGAGGTGGGAGTTTTGTGGTTTTGTTTGTTTGTTTGCTTGTTTGTTTTTTTGCAAAGCCTAGCTATCATCTTTATTGGCTTAGGGTTTTCCTCATAGAAATGCCCAAACATGTTGTAAGTGAAGGGAATTTTCTTTCTTGCCCCTCTCCCTTGGGCTCAAAAGTTCTTCAAGAATCTGATTACCAGGAGAACTAATTTCTGGACACAAAGGGTAGTTGTTTCAGCCAGTGGGTAGGGCCTCCATACATCAGGGAGATGTGAGTTGCTTGTTGCTAATCTCATGTGCAGGCTTAAATTACCACTCCTCCTTCAGAAGTCAGAGGAGTTTGTACTAGGAAACCTGAATTTTATGAAATAATCCTAGATTGTTACAGTGGCTTAAGATTCCTATGCAAACAATCCATCACTTACTTACATGTACATATATACACAGGCACAGATAGATATACAGAACATAGATAGATATGTATATATACACATAGATGCATATGTACACACACATAGATAGATATGTATATACACATAGATGCATATGCACACACACATGCATTACATAAATTAAAATTAGTCTCCCAAGATTTTTTGTCTCGCTATGGTAGAATGCTGGGTAGAGAAGGCCTATCAGAACACCTATCAACAGACTTACCATCATCGCTATTAAATCTACCAGGGACACAAGGCACCAGTGTCATTCATGAGATGCTAAGAATTAAAATAATAGATTTGTGTAGTAAAATATTTGGAAAGTAGATCAACCTGGCAAATTATTTCTGGACACTGTATTAAGTGAGTGTCATTTTGAGTGACTCATTAATTGTGGAGGCTGATTAATGATTTGTAACTTGCCCAGGGCTTACTAGAAAGATGGTATACAATGTGGCTCTTTCACGTTCTCACCCGTTTGGAAAGCAGGAGGCATTCATGTTTGGTGCGACGGATTAAGATAGGAAATCTGTAAATAGGTATCGTTTACACCAGGGGCCTTAACCAGGTTTTAAGTTTTGCTCTTCATTTTCTAGAATTAAAAATTCAATTTTAGTTTATTTATGGTCAAATGTAAATATTTCTTTAAAAATAAAAAGTGATGTACTTTGAAAGGTAGTCAGAAGCCTTATTGAAATAGCTTTAGAATGTGACTGCATAGGGTTTGTCTATTCTCACTTGAACACTTAGGATATAATTGTTTTTAAACGCTGGAAAGCAAACTAGAATTAAAGACATTTTTGCCAGAAAAATGCAAGTAAATGGGCACCCAGTGGATGTGTGACAGCACCGCCAAAGGAGCGACTGGCTGATCGTGCCTCAGGACCCAGGATTTCTAACTCTGCGGCCAGACCTGGCATGGTGCCCACCACTCATGTGGTCAGCAAATGCTGAGTCCAGAGCACGGAAGACAGGAGGTGCTGAAAGCAAACACTTGTGAAGAGGTAGCAGGACCATGAAAGAATTCATAGTTAATTGTGGGGTGCCTGGTTTCAGAATTCATGTTCAGCAGCTGGCTCCCTAAGGAAATAACTTCTATTATCACCTATGACAGGACTTTTAAAGGAATCAAGTGAGCTACTCAGGAAGGTGCAGCCACAGGGAGATGTTGAGAGATAACCTACCTGCTAGCAGTGTGAGACAGGTGCACCCAGTTTACTGAGCATCCTGGCAGGGTGCAGCCACAGGGAGATGTTGAGAGATAACCTACCTGCTACCAGTGTGAGACAGGTGCACCCAGTTTACTGAGCATCCTGGCAGGGTGCAGCCACAGAGAGATGTTGTGAGATAACCTACCTGCTAGCAGTGTGAGACAGGTGCACCCAGTTTACTAAGCATCCTGGCAGGGTGCAGCCACAGTGAGATGTTGTGAGATAACCTACCTGCTACCAGTGTGAGACAGGTGCACCCAGTTTACTGAGCATCCTGGCAGGGTGCAGCCACAGGGAGATGTTGAGAGATAACCTACCTGCTAGCAGTGTGAGACAGGTGCACCCAGTTTACTGAACATCCTGGCAGGGTGCAGCCACAGGGAGATGTTGAGAGATAACCTACCTGCTACCAGTGTGAGACAGGTGCACCCAGTTTACTGAGCATCCTGGCAGTAGAGCGTGATACTCCACTCCCTTTCAGAGAGCCTCTCATGAGAATCCCAGATCCCAGGCAGCCACTTAGAAACAACAGCATTTGCATGCCCTTGCGGGGCCCTTCCACCAGGTTTCCATTGCCACAGATTCTCTGGAGGGACACCGAAGGCTTGTTTGATTTCTAAGGCAAACAAATGCATTTCTCCTAAGACATAATCACCTGAGAGGCCTGACTCCTGGAGACACGCTCACGAAGGCTTTCTCTGGGAGAAGGACGTCTCCATTGGAGGAGCCCCACGTGGGTGTTTCAACACCCCATTTAGCCAACGTCACCTGCAGGTACTCCAGCTGGATGGAATATCTTCTAGTCTCTTATACCCCATCAGGGTCAGAAATCTCCAAGCAGCTTCTATATCAAAGGAACAGGATAACTGTTGATAGAACAGTCATTTTACGTGATCAAACTCCTAGTTACGTTTAATGTATTAAAAGGAGGCTTTGAAAGGCATACATCAGCCCATCTCCTGTTTGAATGTTCTCACTTGTTGAGCACGTTACTCACTTGTTACCTCACTGTTAAATGTAGTGCCAAAATCACTATCAACAAATGTAAATGTCTGCCATGACAGCAGCATCTTTAATGTGAGATGTGCAGCGTAAGTACGGGAGATTCCATACGGTGCCTACCAGAGACGTCCTTTTGTCCTCCCTTCCAGTGGCTTGGCAGAAACCATGCACTCCCTAAAAGCTGGGGGGTCCCATTCCTCTGATCGCTGGAGTTCTGGGTCAGCATCCCGAGGCTGGCCTTTCATGTTCCTTGGGTGACACTCTTAGTGACTGCTATGTCCCTGGGCCAGCAACCGATTCCCCTGCAGTTGATTGTGCTCCTTTTCTAACACAGAGAAGCACAGACGAGACCTGAGATTAAAAGGAAGCCACGTGGCCAGAGCACAGAGCGGAGTGTGACTCCCGCGCCCATCCTGCGTGGCACAGGGTGGCCGTCTGAGTGCAGAAACCAGGGCGTCGTGACGGAACTGCTGGGACAAGGTCATGCTGGCCTCAGCCTTGCGAGTAGAGAGAAAGTCTCAGGCGATTTATCCCGGCTGGATGCCATTATTTGTTCATCCAGTCGGGTATTTTCACCTCTATAGTAAACTGAAATGTGGACTTTACTAAGAGGTTTTGTTTCAGATAAAACAAATGTATACAAACCCCCAGATTATTACAATAGGAACCCACAGGTTATAGAAGGACTATTGTTTATAATTTAAGATTAAGTATTTATTTTAATTTCAAGGATCCTCCAGCATTGTTGCTTATATGAATCAAAATAGTCCTAATAATGTAAGTTTCCAATAGGCATATTTAATCACATTATTGAATTTGATCTTCACATTGATTGCATAAGATGGGTAGGGCAGAAGCTCTTTTACTCTCATCATACAAATTAGAAACTGAGGCTAATTAAGATTATATTATTTTCTGTAGGTGGGGGATAGGTAATCAAACACTTTGCATGGTTTTCCTTGTAATGGAACTCGTGTTCTCCTGATCACCTTCTGCTTATTTGAACAACAGGGGATAATACCTGAGAAACTCATTTCAGATTAAGTTCATATTTAATTAAGCAAAGTTATATTTATTATACGTAGACCTACCATAGGCTGGTCTTTTGCATGAAGAATTTTGTTTTCAGAATACATCATTACAGTCTAAGTCTGCACCAATTAAAAATCCCCTTGTTATCCTAAAGTTAAGAAAGTTATTGTTCAATGGCCATAGATTTTTCTATTATCAGATCTTTTTATGTTATGATAAATATTTTTTGGATTCATGTGATTTGAGAAATATATAGTAAATGGATATATAATACCTAGCAAGGTATGGTTTATGTTCATACTCCAGTCCACTAAAATATCTCTAAATCAATGTATACACACACATACATATATTCTTTATAGCAGACATTGCATCTTCCCTTAGACAGGAATCAGCATTTCCTGAGGAAGAGCCTAGCAATGTGCTTTCTAGACTAAAGAAAGCTTGCGTGTGTGCAGCTGCCTTTAGCACATAGATGTTGCTTTAAATGCTCTGTTTCTGGAATACTTTGGAGAATATATGAGGTTCTTTCTTCATTACTCTTTACTGAATCTCAGGGCTGCCTTGCCACTTGATCACGGGGCTAAATCCGGTGACACGCAGGTGTCTTCCTTTTCTAAAGTCTTCCTGGCTTCCTGTATCGCGTTCTCCAGATCAGTGACCCAAAGGTGTGCGGTGGTGTCCTGGGCTGCTGGCCTCTGAGGAGGAGGGGCTGCTTGAGAGGAAATCTGTGTGGTCACCTTAGGGCCTTCTCCACGTGCGATCTGATGGCCGCGGACATTAGGGCCTTCTCGACTTGCCATCTGATGGCTGTGGACGTTAGGGCCTTCTCGACTTGTGATCTGATGGCTGTGGACATTAGGGCCTTCTCGATGTGCGATCTGATGGCCGCGGATGTTAGGGCCTTCTCAGTGTGCGATCTGATGGCTGTGGACATTAGGGCCTTCTCGACTTGCGATCTGATGGCTGTGGACATTAGGGCCTTCTCACTGTGCGATCTGATGGCTGCGGACATTAGGGCCTTCTCGATGTGCAATCTGATGGCCGCGGACGTTAGGGCCTTCTCGACGTACGATCTGATGGCTGCGGACGTTAGGGCCTTCTCGATGTACGATCTGATGGCCGCAGACGTTAGGGCTTTCTCGCTGTGCGATCTGATGGCCGCGGACATTAGGGCCTTCTCGCTGTGCGATCTGATGGCTGCAGACATTAGGACCTTCTTGATGTGCGATCTGATGGCCGCGGACGTTAGGAACTTCTTGATGTGCGAAATGATGGCTGCAGCTGCTCTGGGCAAGGCATGGAGGCCGCCCTGAGGCAGAGTCGATGTGGGGGTCAGGGGAGTCGAACAGGAAGCAGGGGCTGCTTTTGTTGGAGGAGTGTGCCCTGACTCTTCAGCCAGCTGTGGGATCACCATGGCCAGTAATCTGTGCCTGTTCCATTCTAGTATCAGGCTCTGTCCTCACTGTAAATCAGTCCTGTGCATGGGACAATTTTCTAACGGGGTGTTTCCACTCCCCACCTTCTTTTTTAAAGGGAATTCAAGGCAGAACTCATGCTATAAAAATTCCTTCTCACAGAAACATTTCTTTTCTCATGGTAAAGTTCCCAGGGTGTGTTTTCTTTCAAACAGGATGAGGTGCTAGCCCCAAGTTGCTAGAGCATCCTGGTATTTGTGGAAGACAAATTTTCATAGGCTTGAGTTTTCACAGGAGGACAGCATGGAGGGGGTGAGGGGTCTGCTGTGTGGCCTCTGAACTCCCCAGCTTCCCTGCAGGACACCATTCTCCATATTGATTAGCCAATTATCCTCTCCTGTCTTTCTCAGGGAAATATCCCTGATGAGGAAAGCAAGTTGAAACGCAGACAGACTGTGAAAAGCAGAATTAGCCAACCAGTTTTCACTGCAGTCAGCAGAAAAGGCAATGAGTTCTGAGACCAACATAGAAACAAAGATCATATGTTTGGTATGCGAGGCTTCAACCAGAGGAAGACTGTGGACACAGTTGGGAGAAAGAATATGATGATTTGGTATCATCTTAAAACTAACCTCTCCCTGCATCCACGGAGGCATTTTTAGGACATGGCATGTGCAGCTACGTTGAAGTACATGGCACTGCATCTTGGGAATGAGTAATCATAGAATTAGACATTTTTAGGTGTCAATATATGATTTTAAAAAACCTAAACTCTCTTCATGCAAACTGTGCTAAATTATAGAAATATAATTTATCCTATTTTTCATAAACCTTCAGGTACTTTGATACAAAGCAAAAATCTGGCTGTAAATATCATGCCATGTACATTTAAGATGCAGGTAGAGGACGGGTGTGGTGGCTCACGCCTGTAATCCCAGCACTTTGGGAGGCTGAGGGGGACAGATCACCTGAGGTCAGGAGTTTGAGACCAGCTTGGCCAACAGGCCAAAACCCTGTCTCTACTAAAAATACAAAAATTAGCCGGGTGTGGTGGCACATGCCTGCAATCCCAGCTACTTGGGAGGCTGAGGCAGAATAATTGCTTGAACCTACTTGGGAGGCGGAGGTTGCTGTGAGCCGAGATCACAGCCTTGCACTCCAGCCTGGGTGACAAGAGCAAAACTCCATCTTGAAAAACAAAAAAAAGATGCAGGTGGATGCATAAAGTCCTGGGGAAACTCCTTTTAGCATGATAATGAAAACAGAAAATGTAAGATAGTGGGGTCGAATATGTTTCTGTTCAATTTGCTTATAAAGTCCACTCTAAGAAAATAACAGTTTATCTGCTATGCCTTGTGAATTTAGGTTTCATTCCAAGTTCTGGTTTATCCACGGGTAGATGGAGTTGAGGAATGAGGTGTGTTTCCAGCTCTGGCTGTGTCACATGTCCTAAGCGAGTCACCTAGCTTCACTGGACCTCAGTTTCACTTAAGATTAGGATAATAGTACGTGCCCTTCCTTCACTTCGCTGTCTTATTTTGAAGCTTAAAGAAGTTGCAGAATATAAAAACGATTGAGAGATGGGAAGCAGTTCAGAACCATAACATCACAATTGTGATTAAGGACAATTTCAATATGATATTATGCTCCCACCCATTTATTCATGCTCTTCTGTAACCCTGAACCTAACATCCATGACCCCCTCCCCACACGCAGCAAGTATATCATGTATATTAAGGCTGCAAGAGTTTAAAAGATTCAGAATATCATGACAGCTCATTTCAAAACACGGTGTGTTTTTTTTCTCTGTGCCCAGAAGGGCACTGGGTTGCATGCAGACACAAAACTAAACAGAGTCACCATTTTCTGGAAGAAATACATAATACAGTATGGAAGAGGTGTGTATATAAAAAATACAAAGCATGGTTCTTTACAGGGGGCAGAATTAGAAGTCATAAACTGAGGTGGAGGCTTTAAGTATTTGATTTGAAAATAAAAACATACATTTCTGAATACTGAGGCTCACTAAACTTCAGATTGCTAAGAAAGTGGTCATGTTGTCTCTGCAAGCTCTGCCGAAGCAGATCAGAGTCTTCTCTTTGACACGGATGAAATATGGAAGACTAGAGACAAAGAGAAGGAACCCTGATGTCCTCTCAATTTCCCTCCCAATCTAGCACATTTATGTGAGCAGCCACCTGTGTCTCAAACCCATTCTGGAAAACAGAAGAACCAGAATTTTCACAGTCTTATCTCTGCTCCCCGGGTTCCGAGCACTGACAATAAAAGCAATCACTCTGGGGACAGGGAGTCTTCACGGTCATCCAACTGATCCAGAAAGTCTTTGACCTGTGCCTGTGTGTGTGTGTGTGTGTGTGTGTGTGTGTGTGTGTGTGTGTACATGACAGAGACAGGGGGTAGGGGGAAGAGAGAGAGAAAGAGAGAATGAGACAGACAGAGAGACAGAGACAGTGGTGTAATTCGTTCGAATGTTTCAGTCTGTCTCTATCTGAGTAGCTGTTGACTCCAAACAGCTCATTCTCTGGGTGGAAGAATGTGACTCTTATTTTTTTAATCCCTTAATTTATGTAAGCCAGATACCTAAAATGTCATCAAATAAAAAGACCCTCAAAGCTTTATAAATAAATGAGACTTCATGCATTCACCTTTTAGCTCATAGAAAGGACAGCATTGAAATCACTGTAGCACACAAGAACATGAAAGCGCTGTCCCACATGTGTGCTGCTCTGCTGGTGGGCCGTTTATAGAAAATACATGTCATATGAATACATATCTATAAATTACATATATGAGGTTGTATATATATATATATATGTTATAAAAATCAAAATCAGGCGGGGGGCTGTGGCCCACGCCTGTAATCCCAGCACTTTGGAGGCCAAGGCGGGAGGATCACGAGGTCAGGAGATCGAGACCATCCTGGCTAACACGATGAAACCCCGTCTCTACTAAAAATACAAAAAATTAGCCAGGCGTGGTGGCGGGTGCCTGTAGTCCCAGCTACTCCAGAGGCTGAGGCAGGAGCATGGCGTGAACCTGGGAGGCGGAGCTTGCAGTGAGCCGAGATCGCACCACTGCACTCCAGCCTGGGCGACAGAGCAAGACTCCATCTCAAAAAAAAAAAAAAAAAAAAAAATCAAAATTAGAGCCCAGCTCCCTCTGAACTTCCACCTCTGCATCCATGCTGGCCAACATGGCAAACCCTAGACCAATGTGTTTATTTAAATGTAAATAAGTTAAATTCATTACAACTGAATAATGTTAAAAATTCACTTCCTCGCCACACCAATCGCATGTGGGTTGGCCTATGTGGCTCATGGCACTGTGCTAGGCAGTGTCCACACAGAATGTCCTGTCACCTTCTATAGCACACCTGGGCACTGGGCACCCTGTCCTGGGCCTGTTGCCACTGAGCTCAGTGCAGTCTCTTCTCCTGATGCTCCAGAAACCCCATCTAAACATGCACACACGTGTGCTTGAAGAGCCACACGCACCACAGTCTCCTGTGATCTGTTCCAGTCTTTGGATGAGGCAAATCACTTCAGAAAAAACTTCCCTTACACATTAAGCCACTGGGTTCCTCTTTCTTTGAATCCAAAATTGTTCAGTCTTCGGAAGAATTCAGAAAATAAATTTTTGTTCAGTGTTCAAAGTGAAGCGACATTAACAACTTGAAGCCAAGGCATCCTCACCCCTCTGCGTTTTTTTCTGGCCCAAGTTGTGTTTTCCTCAGCCTAGGTGGTATTTCTTCCATTTTGGGGCTAGAATCTGTGTCGCCTGAACTTCCTCCGAGTAGAAACAGAGATACCTAGGGACCAGGTCTTCTCTATCACCTGGGAGCCCTGGGGTAATTTCCGTGGCTCTCTGAGCTCTCACCTGGGTTCTCTGCAGAAGGGCCCTGTCATCTCGGTGGGGGCTGTGGAAGCTGCCTGGTCCATTAGACCAACATGAGTTGGATTCCTAGATGTATGTCCTAGCCATATGACCTTGAACTCCTCCTCAGATCCATCCCTTCATCCACAGGATGATGAGAACAGTGTGAGGTGTGAAGAGTGTGTCACTCAGAGGTCCTCCGTGAGCCTCCAGGGAGCCTCCCAGGCACGCTGACACAGGCAACCTGGCTTCTGCCTGCTGGTGCCATTGTTCTCCTTTAGACTGTGCATGTGGTTGGCCCAGGCTTCCCTGGCTTCAGCAGAAGGCATCCAGGGTTGTGTCTTGATGCCAAGTTGGTGTGTCCCAGCCTCAACCTCCCAGCCCTCCACCTGCCCTTCCAGCACACTCCACCAGCACGTGGCTCCACTGCTCCTGGAGCTTCAGGCACACAACCCTGGGCCTTGGCACCCTCTCTTTCCTCCCCCAGAACACTCTCCCTGGCATAGCTCACTTTCCCACCTCTTCAGATCTCTGCTCAAGTGGCACCTTCTCAATGAGGACTTGCCCGACCCCCCATCCCACGTACTGTCCGTTGTCTTTTGATTTTGCTTCATTTTTCGTGGAACACACGTCACTATGTGGCATCACAGTATTTATTACTCTCTATTTTTACCTCTTTCACCAACTGCAATGGAACAGCCATGACTACAAGGATTCTGTTTCTTTGGTTCATTGTTCATCTCTAAGTGTGACAATAAACAGCTGTTAAATGAATAACTATTATTCTGTTAGTTCCCTCCTCCTCCCCCCAGTGCCATGCCCAGCAGAGCTTGGTTGTGCAAAATTGTGATCATTACATTTCTCTTGGATCTGATAAAAGGGTTGTGCTACATTGCCCTCTCCAAAGACTTTGCAGTTTTCAGTTTGATGAAAGTATCTAGGCACCTCCATATCTCACCTAGGTAAATACATGGCTCATGGAATTTCATAAATGCCTCCTATCTTAAATAGACGTTTTCCTCCGTGCCTCAATTCCCTGTGTAAGATCATTCTTCTGAGAGACATGTTGTTGCAGCTTAATCAGCTGTGGGGGATCTTCCAAAACCTGAGCCAGTGCCTCTCTAAGGCTGCTATTACCTCACACCATCAATGGCCATGGGAGTGTAGGCAGTGTCTGGCCTGCATGCTTCCTTTCGGTCGTCAAGAAGGCTTTTGGGCAGTGACAGGAACCGAGATGACTTTAGAAATATGTGACTTAGTGGGGCATCCTCACGTATGTGTGAAGGGGGGACAGGTGCCTTCCTGGGTTCCCTGAGCCCTGCACTGAGGGCGTGGACAGGAGTGAGGTGATGCACGCTCCTTTCCTGGAGTTGAGGAAGGCATTGCACCTGCTGCACGGAGTAGATTGATTTACAGAGACAGAAAGCAAAAGACAGCAGCCGATGCAAAGGCACAGGGAAACAAACTTCAGTCCAGAGAATCCCTTCTATTGGTGGATAAGTAGGTCGAGCTCCTCAACGCACAGACATTTATGGTAATGAGACGGAGGCCCAGAAATAACCATACAGAGAACAACACACACAAAATGGCTGGGAGTGTATTTTGGGTAATTTTCATATAATGCACCAAAACCAGCTCCCCAGTAATTAGCACCCAGAAGAACAAAGAAGCGACCACACAGACCCTGCAAGGCCCAGCAGACGTGGGCATCACTGAGGGTGGAGGAAGTACTTGGAAGGCGCAGCAGACGTGGGCATCGCTGAGGGTGGAGGAAGTACTTGCAAGGCGCAGCAGACGTGGGCATCGCTGAGGATGGAGGAAGTACTTGCAAGGCGCAGCAGACGTGGGCATCGCTGAGGGTGGAGGAAGTACTTGCAAGGCGCAGCAGACATGGGCATCGCTGAGGGTGGAGGAAGTGTCTGCAAGGCCCAGCAGACGTGAGGTATTCAAAGTGCGCACTAGGCATCCTCTCTGGCACTGGTATCAATCTCTCCAGGTGTGTCTGCTTCTCTGTCTGCCACGGCAGATGAGGAGCAGAGGGAAGGCCCAACCTGGGAGGGGAGATTTCCCCCAGGCCGGCCCCACCCTTCTCCTCTCTAAGGGATGAGTGGTGAACTGCTGTCTCAGCAGGACCCGAGGCCATGACAGGCCATTTTCCCACATGCAGGGTGTGTGCAGACAGGACCATGGACCTGCACAATCTCCAAAAGTCAGAAAAAACAGTGGCAAAATGCAGCACATAAACCACAGGTCCTCCGGCCCCTCTAGTCAGTGTATGCAGTGCGGGAAGATGGTTACTAAGATGTAGTATTTCTGCTTTTCTTTGTTAAAACAAACATCCTGGGGAATTATGCTTATGACCTGGGTGAAAACTAATCTGTACAGCAAACCCCTGCAACACGCGTTTACCTATAAAACAAACCTGCACATGGACCCCCGAACCTAAAAGTTTAAAAACATGCCAGTCAATCCTAAATATTTTTATAAGCAATAGGGAAATCATATTCCAGACAGCATTCATTTTAAACAACTCTTAAGAGCAACTTTGAGTATTTTATCAGTATCTGAAAGCAAAATTCAGATACCTCCTCACCTGTACTCACAGCTCCCAGCAGCCCAGCGCTGTGCCCTCCTCGTGCCCAGCAGCCCCGACGCTTCTGCCCGCAGGACCTGGGCAAGGCGTGTGTGCCATCACAGAGGATCTGATGTGGGTACCTCACCAGTATTTGAAGCGTTGTGATTGCAGGGAGGTCGTTATGGTAGGAAAACACCCTGTGGTTTAGAAGAGAAAGAAAAAAGGAGATCAAGGTGGAATCAGATTATGTCTGCATTTATTGAGCAAAAGAGGCAAATGAGTTATCAGAGAAGAGAGGGCCCCCACAGGGACCACAGGGGTGCCTTGAGAGGCAGGTGTGCCGCTCTGCTCCGTGATATAGTGCCACTCCAGCAGTTCAGTGAAAGAATCGGGGCGCCCAGAAGTGGGCTTTCCAATCAAGTGACAGGTATTGAGGAAGAGATCTGGAATGTGTCATGTAGCACTTAGTGCAAAACTCAGTCCCTCCGTTCCATCCCCAGCTGTAGTTCTGTGTCCTTCCTGAGCGCTTACTCAAATTAGGGGTCTGAGGAAGGGTTCTTCTTGAGTGGAGCTGCCTTCGGGCGGGCCTCCTTGTCTCTCCAGCTGAGGGAGCATGCAGGACATGAAGCCGAGATCTGTCTTTCTGACTCGAAGCAGATGAATGCCTGCTAAACACGGATCTTCCTATGTCTCAGAAAATTATCTTAGAGATGACACTGCGTTGTGACCCTCCGAATATGTCCCGGTTTTGAAAGGTAGAGGAAAGGCTTGAGATGTAGCAAAACCAAGATGGCAATTCTAGACTCGTCCCTGTGGAAGGAGTATGAATGGCAAGCAGGTGACTTCAACTCCCAGGACCTAAGTTTCTTCACATATTAAATTTTGAAGGCATGATCTCAATAATTCTATCTAGCACTAAAATTCAAAGAAAATGGCAATGGCCGGCACTGGAGAAAATGTCTGTGCTAATCTATACTCAAGATGAATAAGACTAGTGGGAGCTTCTGCTGGGAGAATTTTAACCTCTGTTAACTCAGAAATCACTGAACTGTGCATATGGACAGACTATTCTGAAAATTTCCTATGATACTGGAAATAAGACACACAGAAGCACTGCTGAGTTAGATGTAGTAGGGAAGCGTGACGGTGATGGCTAGAGCGGAGCCAGGGACAGTGCGGCCTGGCAGGGAAGACACGTGCATCCCACTGTCAATGCCGCGTCACCCTCCATGTTCCCCTTTCACCTGCGTTGAACTGCAGGGCTCTGAGTTAGAGGGCGCCTCAGGGGTCTTCTAGTGAAGGGCCTCACTGGCAGTAGAGGATGAGGGAGGCAGAGGAGGGGTGCGGGGATCTCGTGCTGGAAGTGAGAATAGCTGATCCCGGAGCCAGGCCATGTCCTGTGCTGCCGGCAGCTGAGGGGCGCCGAGGTCAGCGCCGCACCTAGGAGAGGTGCCCGACTGAAGGCCACCCGGGCTGGGAAAGTGACTTCTCCCCTCTTATGAAAGGAAAGAGACTGCAGTGTCTCAGCATGCGCCTGGGGCCTTTGAAGCGAGAGGGAAATGAACTCACGCTTCTCCGCCTGGTCCTGGCCAGGGGAGTAGCCAGGGGCTCCACATAAACATGCGACCACTGCCTGCATAAGAGTCAGGGGGTCCAGGCCTGTCCTGTACCCCCAGTTCCCTCCCTGCACATCCTTATCCTGGCTCTCAACTGTCTCCCACCCTCCTACCCATGCAGATCCCTCAGGCTTCCCAGGCACCTGGAGTGGCGAACCCAGTGTCTTCCTGAATATCAGTCCGGAGTCCTGGATTTTCCTAATTTTCTAATCTTCTTTCCACATCAGAATGGACCCAAACTCCACTCATCAGGATCCTGGTGGATGGCAGGCTCACTAAGCTGGCAGTTCCAGCACAGCTCTGAGTGGTTGGTGATACAACCAAGCCTTCAGTCCATAAATCAATGCAGAGTATTGAAAGGAGAAAAAAAAACTCGGAAGATAAATGCAAAAATAGCAACAAAAACATTCCGAATGGTGAGGCAGAAGGGAGCGGCGTTACTCTCTACTATTAAAGTGCTGCATGTCTGGCTAACTAGTGTAGAACGTGCCTCCTGGGAGGCCCTGGGGTGAGAACTGTGCAGGCCTGCTTGCTCTGGAAGTGGAGGCAACACTGTGGAATGTTCAGGACTGTGCTACACCCAGAACTCCAGGTGGCTCCAGCTCTGCTGTTTCACAGTGAGTGATGGGGTAAACTGTCAGCCTCTGTGGTTCTGTACTGTCACCTTTCAGAGGGAGCAGTAGGTGCCCCAGTGCCTCTCATAGGGTCATCAGGGGACCAGACTCAGGTGAGTCAGACTATTCTGTAGTCACCAACTTCATTTCCTCTGCACAGAAGGAAATGTGGTATATGAAACATTTATGACCAGGTGCAGTAGCTAACACCTGTAATTCCAGCACTATGGGAGGCCGAGGCAGGCAGATCACTTTGAGACGAGCCTGGGCAACACAGTGAAACTCTGTCTCTACAAAAAATACAAAATTTAGCCAGGCGTGGTGACACATGACTGTAGTCCCAGCTACTCAAAAGCTGAGGCGGGAGGGTCACTTGAGCCAGGGGGAATGAGGCTGCAGTGAGCTGTGATTGTGCCACTGCACTCCAGCCTGGGCAACAGAGCCAGACCCTGTCTCAAACAAACAAAAAGAAATATATAGATGGTTTATGTGGTTTGGTTTTTTTTCCTTATCATTGCGATTGCTATTAAAACACCATCATCTTTTCATTAGAATGAATGCATTGTCATATTTCTGTATTTATAAGTCAAAATATATTTTGATATTGATTTATTTATGTAACAAAACACCACCTCTGTAAAGCCATAGAAAGCAGTGGTCCTTCATTATTTGAAACTCACTGGAGTGCACCTGCAGACCAGGTCTCCTCCGACCCGGGGAAGTCTAGGGCGATTTTTGCTTTGGAGTACAGTCCCCTCCTGTGGCTTCCTCTATGTTTTCTATTCAGCTGTACGTTTACTTGCCTGGGTCCTGTGTCAGTGACCAGAAAGAACAGTAGCTCAATCAGGACTAGATGTTGCAGGAATCAAAAGTTGTGTATCTTAGGGAGAGACACTAAGAAGCCAAGCCTGTATATAAAGTTGTAATCCAGAGTTCTGACTCTACCAGACTCTAGTGAGGAGGGTGGAGGATAAATGGCCCACAGCAACCACGTTTCTTTTGTTTAAGAAGATGTTTTCATTTTCTAATTGTAACTATGGAGCATAAATTGTTTATAACAATCTGACTCAAAAGAGATAAAATTCAACCCTAAAACGTTTCATAAATCTCACTCATGGAGGTGTTGAAATCTCATGTGTAATGCAACAGAAGTCAGGTTTGTAGAATAACTGGCTGATAGGAAGGAAGAAGAGCCCATGAGATCAGCCACTGAATGGGCTCTGTCTTCTGGGCTCAATTTTCTCACCTGGAGTAGTTGGGCCAGCTCTTCTCTGATTTCCGTGCCAGTGCGGTAACTCTGTGAGTCCACCCAGCGGTCAGCCCCAGGCTGGCCCCCGCTCACAGGAGGCTCCTGCTCAGAGTCTGTTGCTCTGTGGCTTTGCTGGATGACAGATTTAAAATAGAAAACCAAAAAAAGGGAGCTGAGAATGCTTTGTTCTTCTCTTTAAACCTCCATCTAAATATGTGTTTTTACTTAGAACATAAACTTGTCCTTTAAGATAATTTCCTGATAAATTGCTCTTTTATCACACATACATTCTCCCTATTTGATAGAACAATAGTCACTATATAGAAACTAGTAAAATGGAGGCCAGGCTCAGTGGCTCATGCCTATAATCCCAGCACTTTGGGAGGCCGAGGCAGGAGGATCACTTGAGGTCAGGAGTTCAAGACCAGCCTGGCCAACATGGCAAAACCTTGTCTCTACATGGTGGTGCACACCTGCAGTCCCAGCTACTCAGCAGGCTGAAGCAGGAGAATTGCTTGAACCCAGGAAGCAAAGGTTGCAGTGAGCTCAGATCGCACCACTGCACTCTAGCCTGCATGACAGAGTGAGACTCCATCTCAAAAAACAAAAACAAAAACAAAACCTAGTAAAATGGCCTCCTGCTTTTTGAGGTTGGAATGTTCATTTTGTGGATTGTTTGTATCACATTTTCAACCCCAGACTGGCCCAGAAAATTCTGATCTAGTTCCCATAGCCCATGCCATCATGTGACTAATTTCATTATTAGCCTCAGAAAAGCATACCTGGAAGGGAGTGTGTACAACCAGGGAGGGAATCCCAAAAGCTCACTGTGAATGACTTTGAATTCCAGATGAGGCTGATGCCCAGCAGGGATTCAGAGCCTGCTTGTTGATGGATTGACTGGCTGTTCCCCTCCATGAGCCCACATAATTAGGAGCTGACTTCATTTCACATGTGTTTTAAAAGAGTTAAATACCGGTAGCTTGAGAAATTCCATTCACCTGCCAGGCTTTGAGGCCACCCACGCCATCTTCACCCGCCGTCCCCACATTTGCTGCCGCTGGGAGAGGCTCAGATGACACTGAGCAGGAGGAACTTTGAAGAAGGGTAGAAGCACACGGCAGGCTCTGTGCTCAGATGCCAATATGCTTTCCACTGCCTGTTTCCAGATTTCTTCTACCAACGGGCTGCTCTCCCCAGCAGTCGGCTCTGGGGCCAATGATAAGACAGCAAACTGCAGTCTTTAGGAGGCATATCCTGTGACATGGTTCTTGTAGGAGATCTGACAAAGGGCCAGGAAGTTTTACTATCCCCACTGAGCTAATTAAGTCTTGGAGACTTGGGTCACCAGCATCACACAATTAGAAAGCAGCCAAGTCATGATGGGCGCCGAGCTGTAGAACTTCTAATTTCATATCAATGCGGTATGAGGACGAACCGTGCCCTCAGTGTGCTTTGTGATTAGAGTATAAAGCTGGAGATGCATCGGAGGTGGTCCGCGTTCTGCCGGTCTCCAGACGGTTCAGGGACTTTCTCCTTGGCTGCTCTCAGCTTCACCCGTCAGCATGGCTGTGACCCTGTGTGAAGAGGCTTGTCCATTTTTGTTTTAATTTTGTCGGGGGAAGGTAACTTATGAATTGAGTGGAGAAACAGATAAATGTCTGATTATCAAAAAGGTGAGATGTACTTCTTAACTACGTGCTGCTGAAGGGAGAATGTAGGGGGGAACAAACTGAAGCTAATCCTGAGATTTGGAATGTGGAGAATGACCAATGTTGTACATAACACATTTGTAGGAAGGTGAGGAAGTTCATAAGGTGGGAACCAGGACCTGTTCCCCCTGCAGGCTTTTTGTGGCTGTAGAAGCAGCAAGGAGGATTAGACAGGCTTTTTCTTTCCTTGTTCACCACTTTCAAGGTCTTGCTTCTTTTCCAAATTCTTCAGGACCACACAATGAGTTCCATAAAGGAAATGTAGGAGAACATCATGAAAATAGTGTTGCTTGACTGTGGTTTCTTCTTTGACTCAACTTTCAAAATGCTCCAACATGTGGCCTGTGCTTTTTTGTTTTCAAATCATAGCTTATCATTCATCTCGTGGTTGGGTCTTCATAGACATAGTGATTCTGGCTGTTAAAACTTACCTATTGTGCAGAGGTAACACAGCTTGGTTATTCTGAGGAAACTTCTGTAATCACAGCCCATGAATATAACAAAGTGCATAAATTGAGAGGAGAATATTTCCAAATATTAATTAAAATGGGATTGACTTCAAGTCCTAAAAGCTTAAACACTAGGGTATAGCAAGGGGTATGTTGGAGATTAATACTTCCACAATGTTTCTGATTCATTCACTAGTTTGATTTTCTTTCTTTTTGCTGCTCTTGGGGAATACTTTTATCCTTATAATAAAGAAGATGATTTATAGGAATTATCCAGAAGAAGGGCAATATTTGTTTCACACAATTAGCGATTCTCTATGTCTAATAAAAGGTAAATTTGATTTGCCGAAGTTTAGAAAGGTGTGTCAGATCTTAAATATTTGTTCCTTCAGCGTGGGATAATAAGGATATTATTTTCTGTTATTGACATATTGAACTCCAAGTCTTTTTTCCACCAACCTTTTCTGCATAAAATCCATAGAGAAAACACCAGAGCCCCCATATCTCAGTTTTTAGTGTACTGGTATTTTGTAGAGGTCAATATACCTCATTTCTTTAAATTGTTAATAAACTTTAGACATTTTTCTTACTCTGGATTTTTAATCATAAAAACAAAGAACAGATGTGAAAATGGCATGCAGTTAACCAAATCTAATCTAAGGGTACAGATACATTTAGGAACCCTTTTATTATTACTCATATTTTGCAATGTACATGGAAGCAATGACCTAGCATGGTGATTAGAGGTACAAATCCCAAATGCTCTTTGAGTGTGAAACAGAATATGTTTGAGATAAAACATAGGGGTTTTATGTAATTTTTAACATGGTCTTTTTAAAGAGTTTTTCTAAATACGTTTTTGAGATTAAGCATGACACTTACTCACACATTATACCCGCTCACCAAGCTTTTCCTGAGGCTGTGAGATGGAGGAATGTGCCAGCTCTGCCTGTCCAGTCAAACACTGTGCAGTAGCTGTACCAACTTACCTCAACCCCGCCTTTTATAGGCCTTTGGCTGCTGCACGCTTTCTCTCTCTCTCACTTTCAAACCTGTGGAGACACAGACAGAGGAATCAGATTTACTGTCTAAACATTTACTATGGAATTTCTGTTGTTTCACTGTGTATCATGATAAATTGTCTTGAAGGTATGGATTCAAAAGAACTCTTAATTCAGCCCCAACATGTGCTTATGAATCTGAGCTCCCAATGCAGCCGGCACCCCTGCCTGACTCTCAGGAACCTGAGGCTGTCCTCTGTGTTGCCTACACGCCACTGTGAAAATAGACCATTTAAAAGCAATTGCTGCAAACATCTGCTTCAGAGTTGGCAACAAGTAAAGTTCATGAACTCTTAGAAAGCCTAGTAATGTGAGGAGCACAGTTAATACACATCTGGCGAGGCTATAGATAAAGCAAGCCAATGGAGAAAATAAGTCATTCTTGAAATGTATGAAAAATACAAAATTAATTTTTAAAATCATATTTGCCACATTGACTGGTTTATCTTAAGATCCATTAAAGAAATTAATAATTCACAACAAGTATTTTAAATGGCCTTCTGCTTTTTAGCAACATCCGTTTTCTTTATGTCAACTTTTTCAACCCAGCTGCAAATGGGACTTACAGTTCTGTGAGATGATAGACGGTTTGACTTGCAGTTAACGTGCTATCCATGCTGTTGCAACTAAGCTTCCAGTTCTAGCCACTTTTTCCTTTTCTTTTCTTTTTTGTCTTTTTTATTTTCTTTGCAGAAGACCATCAAATGAATTGTCACAATACTCGAATAATGCAAGACACAGAAAAGGATGATAACAATAATGACGAATATGACAATTACGATGAACTGGTGGCCAAGTCATTGTTAAACCTCGGCAAAATCGCTGAGGATGCAGCCTACCGGGCCAGGACTGAGTCAGAAATGAACAGCAATACCTCCAATAGTCTGGAAGACGATAGTGACAAAAACGAAAACCTGGGTCGGAAAAGTGAGTTGAGTTTAGACTTAGACAGTGATGTTGTTAGAGAAACAGTGGACTCCCTTAAACTATTAGCCCAAGGACACGGTGTTGTGCTCTCAGAAAACATGAATGACAGAAATTATGCAGACAGCATGTCGCAGCAAGACAGTAGAAATATGAATTACGTCATGTTGGGGAAGCCCATGAACAACGGACTCATGGAAAAGATGGTGGAGGAGAGCGATGAGGAGGTGTGTCTGAGCAGTCTGGAGTGTTTGAGGAATCAGTGCTTCGACCTGGCCAGGAAGCTCAGTGAGACCAACCCGCAGGAGAGGAATCCGCAGCAGAACATGAACATCCGTCAGCATGTCCGGCCAGAAGAGGACTTCCCCGGAAGGACGCCGGACAGAAACTACTCGGACATGCTGAACCTCATGCGGCTGGAGGAGCAGTTGAGCCCCCGGTCGAGAGTGTTTGCCAGCTGTGCGAAGGAGGATGGGTGTCATGAGCGGGACGACGATACCACCTCTGTGAACTCGGACAGGTCTGAAGAGGTGTTCGACATGACCAAGGGGAACCTGACCCTGCTGGAGAAAGCCATCGCTTTGGAAACGGAAAGAGCAAAGGCCATGAGGGAGAAGATGGCCATGGAAGCTGGGAGGAGGGACAATATGAGGTCATATGAGGACCAGTCTCCGAGACAACTTCCCGGGGAGGACAGAAAGCCTAAATCCAGTGACAGCCATGTCAAAAAGCCATACTATGGTAAAGGTAATATTTCTACCTAACGTAAGTTGCCTCATGAAAACATGAGCTAGGGTAAAGGATGTTGGTGGTAGTCTACAGTTAAAGTGTGACTCACACTGAATTATGTCTCTACTGCACATTCTTAGAGTTGATTCCAGAAGGATATTTTGTGATTACGTTTCTGACAAGCAAATAAAATATTTGTCTGAGAAATACATAAAGCAGCTTAACATCATATTACTAGAGCAGATGAATAGTAGGATATTTCAGTGGGAAATGCATTCCTTGGGAAGACAGGGGTAAAGCACAGACACATCACTTGATAGAAAATATTAGGGTAAGCCTGTGCTATTATAAATGAACCACAATCTATGCTGAGTGGCAAGGGTTTATGTAACAATTAGTCAATCCGAGATAAAGCACACATTTTATAAATTGGATTGGGGAAATGGCATCATGATTTGTAAAATTATCAGCAAGTGACAGTTATTGATGAAACTGCCCTCGTAGAAAACACCCCTGATAGAAATTGAACAGTAACTGAATGACCGATAACATAAGATAAGGGCAGTGACTGCACATTAATTATCTTAAGATAGTAAGGTAATGGAAACCATTTGCTATGCAAGGCATGGTGTGGCCTCAGCTAAGATCAATAGCAATTTCTTTAGGATATTCATTCCTTTTAACTGATTCCATTCCATTGTGGAAACAGTTATGGCGCTTTTCTCAAATATTAATTTATTATAAAACACTCAAAAACTATCCAATATGATAGTTTGAGCTGAGTTTTCTTTTACGAAATATGTGGGCACATGTTTGCATATGTCAATGTATTTAGCTATCTTTACATATATATGTATACTATATGTATGTAAGTAGATCATGTGTATATGTATCTCCAACCTGAATGATTGTCTTCATGTTTGTAAAGAAGACGGTGTCCACTTTCAATATGAGGCAGGTTCTAATTCAGCCTCATGCATAACCTTGACTTTGTGGATATCTCCATCACAATATTCTTTTAGAACTCAGTAAGAAGCAATTTAAAACATGAAATTGGCAGTTCATTAAATCCCTCTATGTTAGCACCCAAAAGATCCTTTTATGTTTTTTATTACATTCTATTCACTACGAATCCTGAGTTTCCTCACTGCGAACCCAATAGTGAGGTTCAGGAATTTACTTGAAAATCAGTTGCTGTATAAATTTCAAGCAATCAGAAAAACTGCACTTTTTCCCACTGTGGCACAGACGTGTATTCTCCTCTCAATGTGTGCACCTACCTTCTGCGGCAAGCTAGGCATCGCTACAGCCAAATGCAAACTGTAGAGGTACCTTAGCCAGAGGCTCGGGGACTCTCGGCAGGTGCCTGGGCACAGACAGCGTTTCAGTCGCAAGGTGAAGCTTTGCCCGTTGCAGTGTTGTTATGTAGCGAAGGGATTGTTTTTTAGAGGAAAGAGAATCAGTAGACTCTCTAGCTCAGTAGAGCTTCAGGCCTGATTTGGGCATTTTAAAGACTACGGAACATAGCATGCATGTTTAAAATTATAGTGCCATCATCGTTAACAAGATGGGCTAAAATTATCTATTAGAAATTTTTAGTTGAATTTTTGAGAATCATACAGGAATGAAACATTTTTATTTTGGGGAAGAAATAGTGTCTTCTTTTCATGTGATTGCTCAGTTGGACAAATATATTTTAGGCTTATGTTTTAGACTCCCAGATCCTAGATCTGAGGATGGAGTTTGGGCATGAAGTAATGTAGCGTGTGCTGTGTCAAGGGAAGGCTGATTGAGCTTAGGCTTATGTTTTAGACTCCCGGATCCTAAATCTGAGGATGGAGTTTGGGCGTGAAGTAATGGAGGGTGTGCTGTGTCAAGAGAAGGCAGATTGAGCTTTTTGCAAATTCTGTGTTGCGGTGGCTTCTTTGGTTTCTTGGTCCCTTTAAGTTCAGCGGCTTTATGCAAATTTTGACTCGTTTTGTTTTTTGTTTTGTTGTTTTGTTTTGTTTGCAAGAAAATGGAATTCAAGGTGCTTGCTTCCCCTGTATAAATGGGGGTTGGGTGGGAATGAACAGTAAGAACTGAGATGTGCTTTTTCCCTCTTGGGAGGAAAGGTTGCAGATTTGGACTTTCCTGTAAGCAGAAGGCCTTGACTCCAGTCTCACCCAGCTGTTCCAGGTCTTCCTGCTCTGACCAAAGCTCATTTCCGTATCTGTCAGTGTCTTCCACATTATTCCAAATGTCCTTCGAGATGTCTGTAGTTATATTCAGAACCAAATACATGCAGCCAAGCAAGGCCAACAAAGTGGAGCAAAGAAACTCCCTTAAAAAAATAGTGCGGGTGGATCACGAGGTCAGGAGATCGAGACCATCCTGGCTAACACTGTCTCTACTAAAAATACAAAAAGTCAGCCGGGCGTGGTGGTGGGCGCCTGTAGTCCCAGCTACTCGGGAGGCTGAGGCAGGAGAATGGCGTGAACCTGGGAGGCGGAGCTTGCAGTGAGCCGAGATTGTGCCACTGAACTCCAGCCTGGGGGACAGAGCGAGACTCCGTCTCAAAAAATAAAATAATATTAAATTAAATTAAATTAAAACTAAAATTGTGGTACTATCTCACCAACACAGCCAACAGAGAATTCCTGCAACCACTAGCATGTCAACAGGCTCTATTTTCAGACACTCTGTTATTTTATTAAAAATGGAGAGAACACTTGTATTCTCATTTCTACACAATCTTCTCAAACTGATTTAAATTATCAACGAGTAACATTTCCAAAATCTTGAGCTAATGCAAAAGGCCTGGATCATGGACCTCCTCTGTCATCTACCCAATTGCCTGCTCTAACAGAGGGAAGGGAGCAAGCTAAACAGCGCACTTTTTTTTTCTGTAAGTTGTTGCAAAAGGTGTTTGGTTAAATTGTTGGTCCCTTTGCTTGCTTGGTTATTTTGTGTTTGCTTGTATGTTTGCTTTTGAGATTGCAAGAGAAAAGAAACCAAGGGGAGGTAACGGTGAAGGCAAATAGCATGACCCCACCTCAACCAGGACCTCATGCATCGAGAGGAGACTATACCCTTGTCGTCTTCCAAAACCCAAAATGCTTTGGAGCCACATTGTTTTCATGCAAATCCCTACTTAATTTCACAACACTTTCGATATCTGTGAAGTCATATATTTTGTTAGGTAATCCTAAGTGTCGTGGTAAAATAGGGTCACTTAAGGACGAATAATAGATACACCTTACACTTTTTTGCACCAGCCACTAGCCATTTACATCTAGTTCAAAATCTCTTATCTCAAGTTTATGATTGTCAGTATTTCTTTTGAAACTGTTACTGTGCACTTACTACTTTATATTTGTAGTGATTTATATCTACAGTAATTTATACCAACATTATTATGAAATTACTGAAAAGGCAATAAAGTGCTAGGCATTTTTGTTTGCAGGTGTAAGAGAAGTTTCAGTAATGTAATTAGAAATTGAAGCCACAACCACATAATTTTAGATTTGTTCTCAAAGATTCTTCTTGACATAATGGTAGGAAAGTAACGGATGATTGTACAAATGGTATTTCCCTCAACACCAGTGCTGGCTTAAGAGTTTCCAGTACAGGAGAGGCACATTATGCAGAATAAGATGCTAGCTAAAAAAGAAAAGGGGAGTGTTTTTATATGAACATGATGGCATTTGTCTATTCCTGCTAGTCCTTTGTCTATTTGAAGTTCACCTGAACGAATGAAAAGTCCGTAAAAGTTCAAAAAATTCTAAATCCAGCTTTTATTGATATAAAGTGAATTCTTAACTGAAAGTAAAACATGTATTTTCTAGCAATCATGATTGGCCTGATTAATGGAATATCAAAAAGAACTAATCCCTAAAGAAAATTTAACTATTGCATTTCTGGACTAAATAATAATAATCGCTATCTGTTGGTGATCTGAGCAACTGGTTTTCAAAAACTGGCTAAAAATACAGTGTTTTGCACACTTAGATTTACTGTTTGGTCTGAGCTTTACTTTAGAAATATTATCTGAAGTTATTATATTGCATATTTATGAACTGTAGTCAATTCTGGGTATAGAAATAATTTTATTAGCAATATCATTACATTTCTGGCCTCTAGTATTGAATTTTTTTTTAACCGAAGCTCTGCCCTAATTTGCCCTTGACTGGTACTTGCAGAGAAGCCGACAGGGCTGTAGAAACCCATTACTTCTTAATTTTGTGTATGCATGCACGGCATTCTACGAGCCTTCCTCTGGTTCCAAGTACAGATGAAGAAATCAAAACAAAAGGCTGCTCCCGTGGCTTCTGAAACATGTTGATTACCCGTCACCTCTGTCAGGTGGGCTTTCCACCTTTTTGGTCATTTGCTTACAGTGCCTTCTGAGAGTTCAGTTTATTTTCAGAAAAGCGCTGAATTGGTGTGCTACGAAACAATGTCACTTGACCTCCGGAGAGCAAATTTCAATGTCAGTAAAATCCTGCAGCTTCTAGTGTATGCGATCAGAGCACTCAATAAGAAAGAAATTCAGCTAAAGAGTTTTTGAATGGAATGACACTCTCTGGTTGAATTTCATGGAAAATTGCTGAATGATGATGGCACAGAATTTCGTTCTCTAAGAAGGTCACTGTCTCATCACGATTTACGTTGATTCCTTTGAGCAACACAGCTTATCATGTAACACACGGGAAAATAATGAATCAGAGTTAAGGTGAGGGGTAGGCTTTTCTTTTCTTTAGAATAAAAATTAAAATACTTTATGATTCATGATTATACTGTGTAAGGTTGAAAAAAGTCACCCAAAACCAAAGAACTATCTAAGCAAAAGTCTGATGTCACAGCCTAGCCCCCGACACCTGCTTTATTTCTTTCTTTAGCAAGGTTTCTTCAGATTGTGAAATAATCACATTTGTCTTTGATTGGTAAACATTTATTCTCTTGGCACCTGTTGTCGCTTTTAGATCCCTCAAGAACAGAAAAGAAAGAGAGCAAGTGTCCAACCCCCGGGTGTGATGGAACCGGCCACGTAACTGGGCTGTACCCACATCACCGCAGCCTGTCCGGATGCCCGCACAAAGATAGGGTCCCTCCAGAAAGTAAGTCCACGTCTCACCGCTACCCTTGGGGGTGCAAACACCCATGACTCTGTCTCTGTCATCCCTCTTACCTGACATCATCTCCATTGTACGGCTCGGTGCGACCTGATTTAACTAGGCCCCTACTTAACTTGATGGGCAACTGATCCAGGATTCGTGGGCATGCCAATGGCACAGCCCCAGGAGAGTGGTGCACCATGAAGCCCACCGCCCCTAACAAAGCTCCTGCACAGGCCTGGGTTCTAGTCCTGAGTTCAGCTCTGACCTGCTCTGTGACCTTGGGCAGGTTGCTTCCAGGCATCTTTTCTCGTAATTACAGAATTGAATTCGATGGCCTCTAAGACGTCCCTTCCAGCATGAAACTGCCAGGAATCCCAGAGGAGAGAGGCCTTGAGACAGACATTTCTTGCCCAAATATCTGGATTTCTGTACATCATCCAAATGCATATTTAGATCTGAAGTTTTATTGCATTTCACCTGTAAAGTCTGTCTCATGTCATAGTTGTCTCGACATTTCAACACTATAGGTTCTTCAATAAGGAAGGAGGTTGAAATCAGATGGGTTTTGATCTTAAGCATTCTTTTTAATTAATTAGGTTCTGATCATGTGGAATAAGTCCATGAATATAGCTAAATTTTTTTAGAATTGAAATGATATACATCTTTTTTTGTTTATCCTTTCAGCACATAAAGTATGCCAATAAATTAAATACCGCAGCTAGAATTGATGGTTCAGGGAAAAGACACATTCTCAGAAATGAGTATATGAGTTTAAGGTTCTGGTTTTGAGTCTACGGCATGGGAAGAGTTTCCCTTACTGTCTAAGACACAGTTTCTAGTGGGGAACATGTCATAACATGGCTTGAGAGATGACAAGATGACCAGTTAACTACTTTAAGGCCCTTTTGAGGACTGTCCCATTAAAATGGGTAACTTTGAGATACTTGAGAGCAAAACCTGTCAGCACAAAGAAACGTTCTCAGGAGCATTTGGGACTTAGGAAGTTTTTGCTGAACATTTTCTAGTGAAAGATCTTTAGATGCAATTATGGCTCCAGGTTTTCAAATGGCTCCTCAAAATAGCAAACTTGTGTGTTTTGTAACCATCTTGTGAACAAGCCTGAAGAGCCATAAAAATAAACAAATCAGAGCGAGTGGCTCCAATCCCGTGTGTTACATGAGCAGGAAGACAGCATGGTTTGACAACAGCTTCCATGTACCCAGCACACACTTGGTGCTGGGACGCAGCTCACACCCAGCAAACACAAGTTCACTGAACCCGCAATCGACACTGCAGGGCAACACCCCCCCTTTCATTCGGATGAGGAAGATGAGAGTCAGAGACTCTGCCACCCTTTCTTTCCAGAGGTTAGCCAATGCCTGGCAAATTGAGGATATGCCATATCTTCTTAAACAAATCTGAGCAGGTACTAACTTACTCAAGTAAGCTCCGGGCTAAGATGTAAATCCGTATCCGACTGACCTCTGAGCCTGTCTGTCTCCTCTGAAACCTGGGTTTGGTGTTCCAGTTTCTGTCTGAACACACGATGTGACACCCAGCACCTTGCAGCTCTCTGTACTTCATCTTCCTCATCTGCAAAGTGAGGCAGGAGGACCAAGCTCTAGTGTTTTAAGAAGAAAGAGTTTCTTTATGTGTTTTATAAGACCTACATTTTCACCTTCAAGGTAGATTATCAGCTCCTTTTTATGGATGGGAAATTCTTCTGACTCCCTGTTTTCACAGGACAGGCCTAAATGAAGTGGGACTGTGGAGTGGGACTGGCAAGGTGCCCTTCGCGCCGGCTGCAGGTGCCTCCCAGGGCCAGATCGCTCTCGGAGGCAAGGAGAGTCAGCTCTGACATGGGCGGCACAGGTGCATGCCAGACAATACAGAGGAGGCTTCTCAGCCTTTGCTCCTGTGCGATTCTTTATAACACCACAAGCATTTACTAAAACAATTAGAGAATTCCATCCATAGAAGGCTTTTAATTTTTTTTTTCTGGGCTAGTTTCCCCTAATCATCATTTCTGTCCAACTAAATTCCATAAAGAAACCAGCAGCACACTGTGTCAGGACCACTGAGGACACGCCATTGCCCGAGACACTGTACTGGCCCTCAGAGAGCTCCCAGCCCGGCTGAGAGAAGGACATGGGCATGAGGCCGGGGCTCTGCACGAGGCCGGGGCTCTGCACGGTGGGGACTCCACAGCATGGTCTAGGCGGGATGGAGAACTGCTCCCAGGGCCCCCAAGGCCGCCGTGAGGTGATGCTCCAGCTGTCCTGTGTGAGAGGCGAGGAACCCACAGCATTTTCTAAAGGCTGTTGTAAAAGTCCACACAAGAGATCAGGGCATGGAAAAGACAGTGGTTGTGGGAATGGAAAAGCTGGGGCAGATTCACGAAACATCCAGAGATAGGCGGGCAGGCTGTGGAGGGCAGCACACGTGAGGAGTAAGAGAAGAGGGGAGACCAAGAGGATGCCAGGGATTATAGCCTCGGTGAACTTAAGGACGCCAGGGCCGATAATCTGTACAGAAAGCTGAGCAGCAGGGCCACATTTGGTGGAGAACCGGGACTTGTATTCTTCCCACTTGAGTTGGAGGAGCTGCATGATATTCTGCAGGGTTTGGGAAGGTGGCTCTGGAGGCCTGGGGAGGTCAGGTGCAGAGGTGGCTACCTGGATACCGTCCTTGGAGTAGCATTCGTGGAAACTGATGGTGGAATTGCTTAGGGAGGAGGCATAAAGCAGGAATGAAGGAGGGTCCATACATGGGAAGTTTGGCCATGAATGTATGGTAAGATGACGCACAGAAACAGGAGCAGGTGGAGGAAAATCAGAGAAACAGAAAACCAGGAGAGGAAGGTGTTTCTGATAAAGCCCCGTGTGTCTGAGAGGAAGAACTGCAGGGGTCACAGGGTTTTTTTGTTTTTGTTTTCGTTTTTGTTTTTTTTTTAGACAGAGTCTCGCTCTGTCGCCCAGGCTGGAGTGCAATGGCGTAATCTCGGCTCACTGCAACCTCCGCCCCGTGGGATCAAGTGATGCTCCTGCTTCAGCCTCCTGAGTAGCTGGGATTACAGGTGCATGCCACCACGGCTGGCTAATTTTTGTATTTTTAGTAGAGACGGGGTTTCACCATATTGGTGAGGCTGGTCTCGAACTCCTGACCTTGTGATCCGCCCGCCTCAGCCTCCCAAAGTGCTGGAATTACAGGTGTGAGCCACCACGCCCGGAAGGGTTTCTTGAGTAAAAGCCTCTTGTTGACGCCGAGAGACAGATGTGAGAAGAGGAGAGAGGGATAGGAGCTGCACATGCTGCAGAAGTTTGAGAAATGTGATTGAGATGGATGAAGTAGCAGCAGAGTGTAGACCAAGGATAGCAAGCACACTCCACCTCAGGAGGATTCAGGGGCGAGGCTGGGAGTGTGCATTCCCACACAGCAGGAGAGAGGCGTAAAGTGCACTTGCCATCTGGACCTCAGGTCAGAGTGACCCCCGTGTGCCATCCCCAGGGAAGACTGCATGTGAAAAGTTTACCATAAAAGGAAAGGAAAGGTGCAGGTACATGTCAGAGGGGAGCAGTGTGAAGAGAAGCATTCGTGTGCTGTTGTCACACGGTGGTGGACAAATGATAAAGAAGAAAGAATGAACGAAGTAGGTAGATCGACATCCTGCAGGAAGGAGGACCACGCACATGCTTCCTGGAGAGGCCTCCCTGTAGGGAGGAGCAGCACTTCTTCCTCTGGGACAGGGAGGAAGGGGGCAGGGAACTGTGCTTGGATCCTCTCAGAAAGGAACCCTCCTGTGACCCCCTCCAGCCAGGTGCCAGCACAAGATGAACCAAAGGTGGACTCACTTTGATCATTCATTTTTCTGACAGCACTTACTAGGACCTACCACATCCAGGACAAGCCAGGAACTGTGGGAGCGATAAAGCTAATACCAAAGCAAACTCTGCTGAAGGGACTGCCCAGCAGTAAGAAGACAGGGTGTGGACTCAGATAACAGCAACACCATGTGGATGTGGGATTCAGTGCCCAGCAGACTGCAGGGGAAAGAGAGAGGTTGTTCTAGAGAAGGAGGAAAAGTGTCAAAAATACAATTACATAACTAGAGTAGGCAGATCTGTTTTGAATAGACCTTCCATGTTCACCTGGCCTCAGGTAAACCTTGCTGTCAGGGAAAGCCACCACCCCATTCCCCTGGAGTTTGGAGACAGCGGGCTCAGAGGAGCAGAGCATGATGCAGACAGGGTCCGTGTGGGGGTCCCTTCGTCCCTGCTAACCTTCCCCCAGAACCCAGAGTAGTAGAGCGTTCATGAAGGACCAGAAAAGAAGGAAGACACAAATAATTCAGGTCCAACACCACTGCTGGGAAAATTCAAGCAGCTCTCCCCTGCCGACCAGCCAGTAGCATCCTTGCACCACAAAAGGTGTCCATGCAAGAGGCCTCTCCCGCTTGTTAATTTCACAGGGTAAAAACGCAGACGCTTACTCTTCTAGCTCATCCTATTTAAAGAATAATAAAGCACTTGATTCCTAAAGGAAGAGTGATTATTTAATTCATTTTATTTAAAATTAAGGTTTGTGGTTCTGTATTCATCTACCCACCACACGTTCATAATGCTGTGTGTTTCCAAAGCACAGGCATGTTTTTAAAATCCCCAGCCTCTGTGTTGTTCTATGGCTAATCAATACTCCATGCTTGTGCATGGGTAATATCTGTGAGGCCCTCGCTCCCCTAGCCCATCAGGAAAGAGTCAGTTCTGTGTTCTCTGAACTCCCCAGCTCCTGGCTCCAGCGCCTCTGCTGTGTGAGGCCCTTAGCATAGAGTCCCGTCAACCTTCTTTCTCTGGCCTTTCATGTAGGGTCTGTAGGGTCCAGTCAACCTTCTTTCTCTGGCCTTTCGTGTAGGGTCCGTAGGGTCCAGTCAACCTTCTTTCTCCTCCCATGTGTGTTTTCCTGGCCATGCCCATCACAAACGTTTGTAGGACTGTCTATCATGAGCGACCTGGCCTTTGTTAAATGACTGCATTTTCATGTGCCCTAACCGTGCCTCTGTTTTAACACTGGCTGTTCTCTTTGCCTCTCCCTGTCAAGTCCTTGCCATGCATGAAAGTGTCCTCAAGTGCCCCACTCCGGGCTGCACGGGGCGCGGGCATGTCAACAGCAACAGGAACTCCCACCGAAGGTAAGCCACGCGTGGGTCACTGGTGTGGGAGGGAGCACCGGCTGCTCTCCATGCCTTCTCCTTCCTGGGGGGCCTACCACGCTCCATATGGTGCTCCCCACCGTGCTCCCCAAGTGCGGGCACCTCCATATAATGCACGGGAGTGAAAGCACTCCACGCCCTTGTGGTGCAAACTGGATGGTTTTAGTTGCCCCACCCACCTTATCATAGCAGGGTATAGTATCAGGAGTGGAAACCATGACCATTTACAATGGCTGGAAGGAAGGAGACCAAGCCTTCGCTGTCCTCCGAGGTGAAGACAGGGCTGTCCTAGTGTTCATTGGACAGGACGTGGCCTGGAATGCAGCACGCCTGTACAGTGTGTAGCTTGGCTTGGCTGCCCTTGGAATTCTATGGAAACCCCAGGTCACAAGTATGGACGTCTTCAGAAAACCTGCAGATGTTTAGCAGGTTGGGGGGTGGTCTGTGGGAGGCTGGGGTGCCAGGGAAATAGATTCTGGACTCCTGCTAACCAATGGACTCAGAACCACTCTTTTGTTTGTGAAAGATCTGAGTTCTCTTTTCCTGTCCTGTGCAGACTTGATAAGAACTACTCAGCTGCCCATAATATTGCGTTCTTATCTGATAACTTTTTTTTTCCCAGAGGCCAAAAAGTGATTCTTTTAAAGTTTGTCTTACAGTCTATGGTTTTATGAGTTCACGTAAAATTGTATCTAAAAGAAGGAAACTGTTACAAGCTTCACTCTAATTTTTGCTTGTCTGACTGGCAAACCTGGTCCTTTGTGTTACATTTATAATGAAACAAATGACCACTGTGCCCTCCAGAGACATTCAGGTGTTTAATCTGCAGAAGCAGGAAATGATCGATAGGTTGGAGAGGTGCGTGCTGTGTGCTGTTCGATGCAGCATCCGCAGCGTCAGGGCCTCCGTCAAACCTCAGCACAGGCGTATTTTTGGGATATGACACATATATGGGGTGAGCGTCTGTGCATATGAGCAGATACGTATGTAGACACCCACAGAGCAGACACGGTGATTTCACATAAAGTGAGCTTGCACACAAAAGAGCCCAGCTGCTGTCTCCTCCGTCTAGACTAAGCCTGAACTATTTGGCTCCACAAAACATTTTATTGCAGTCCTAGAAATCATTCTGCTTTCCTCTCCACTTTCATTTCCCTGCTTGTGGAGAACACCAAAGGGCTAAAGTCAGACAGGCCCCCCAGACGCCACAGTCAATAGCATTTAGGAAATCAGCTTGGAGCTCCATCTTCTGGTAACAGTCAATTCATTGCCATTCTGGGGCTTCAAAACTCATCCTACCCAAGCTGTTAATTCTTCATCTCCAGAAATGGAATCTGTCTACAGTTTTCACCAGCTATGTCCTCCCGAATGCATGGGAGCTGGGATGCTCTCATTGGGAAGGATTGAATACACCTCACACATAGCACTGCCGCCAGCATTCTCTGCTGGAGACCAGCAGAAAGCATGCACCTGGAAACATGACTACCTCCCCCTCTCCCAGTCCACCCATCAGGACTGCCTGTGCCAGGTTTGGGAAACTACCCCTCCCTCACCAGCTCCACCTGCATCAGGGTCTTGGTGCTAAGGGAGGATTAGTGTGCTGTGAAGGTGTTTGAGGCGGGACCATTCAACCCGCTTTCTGTGATTGCAGCCTCTCCGGATGCCCGATCGCTGCAGCAGAGAAACTGGCCAAGGCACAGGAAAAGCACCAGAGCTGCGACGTGTCCAAGTCCAGCCAGGCCTCGGACCGCGTGCTCAGGTACCCAGCAGGAGTGCACCATCCGTGAGCTCTATCCATAGTCTGCCCCACACCTCGGAGCGCTGGGGACACCCGCTCAGGGCATGTCCCTACAGCAGCAGGGGCAGGGACTGGAGGGCGGGGCTGTGCTGGAAGCCGGGGCCAGGACCCCTCACTCCAGGCCAGGCTGTGTGAGGGCAAGGGTGTCATTCTTCCCCTGGTGTCTGCGGATTCGCTGTGACAATTTACATGAGAGAATTGGAGGAAATCATTTCTGGTTTTGTTTCTGGACCTGGTATTTCATGAGTCTGAGTGCTAGATGAAAGGGAAGCTTTGAAAATTACTGAGATGTCCAAGGTAATTTTGTCATATTTTGCAGGATAGGGCCTCACACCAACTAAGGCTGGTGCTGATGTTTCTGACGATGCCAGGGGTATGAGCACCCTGTGCACACGTGTGGAAGCTCTCGCGTGCAAAACCGGCAGAGCTCCCTCCTGTTACGCCCAATGCCCTGAGGTGTAGGTGGGAGTAGGTGTTGTCACCTCCGTTTGGCAAGTGAGAAAATCCAGAGTGCGGAGGTTAAATGACTGACCCGAATGTTACAGTGGGTCAATCAGTGTTACAATGTCGCAGATCATCCGGCTGAAACCACTGTTTTATTGAAGTTTTGGGAGGATAAGCTCCCCATTCACTCAGCCCTTCTATACAGCTTTCATTCTTACGTGTTGTTTGAAATCCTCATCTACATGAAAACTATGACAATTGTCACATATCCTGCCTTTTCACACAACATCACAGCAGAAACACGCGTCCTTGTCTCTATGTAATCATCTTAATTGTCATCTTCACAGCTACGTATATTCTACTGTTCAGATGTACCCCTCAGTGCCAAAACTAGGTTCTAGCTTTGAGGCATTCAGGCTGTTTCCTGCTTTTACTATTAAAGAGAGGGCAATAATACACATTTCTTTCATATATACAGCACTTTGCTTCTGTTATTTCTTTGGCTACTCAGAAGGCTGAGGTGGGAGGATTGATTTGAGCCCAGGAGGTCAAGGCTGCTGTGAGCTGTGTGATTGCACCACCATACTCTAGCCTAGATGACAGAGCAAGAACCTGTCTCAAAAAAATAAAAAAGTAAATTATTTATTTAGGATAAATCTCTTGGAGCAAATCACTGGGCAAACAATATGAATATCCTTTTTGTTCTTGAGTATTATTTCATAACATCCCAAGAAGCTTCTAACGTAGTAATTAAACTCCCTTCCTCCCTGAATAGAAAAGTTAAAATCTTTACAGAAAATTATAAATATTTATTTAAGCAAAAATAAGAAAACAAAGCCATCTATGACCCTACTATCAAGAGATAACTCCTCAATAAATTGTGGCACAGCTACATCTAGAGTTTTCTGCATTTGGGGTCCTGGCCTGAAGTGCCCCCAGAGCACCCATCTCAGGAAGCCACCCTTTCAGGGAAATGCACCCACCTTCCATATGGCAAGACCAAACACTGAACAACTCATAGGCCACCCTCCCTCTCCCCATCAGCCCACAGCTAATTATTGGCAACATGAAAACCACCCCCACCCAATAAAACAGACCAACCCGCGGGGCTGCGTAATCCAGCAAGGAATCGTTATTGGTCAAAGGAGAATTTGAAAGTTGGTAGGGAGAAATTTGTTGCTGAGGGCTTTTATGAATTTTCTTCAGCCTACTTTGGCCAGACCCCCAAGAAGCTGGAAGAACTCTAGTATCTGGCCTTTCTTGGAGTCACCAGGTGACTGCACTGCCCACCTTCGGGCTGCCCTGCTCCCGGGGACTGCTCTGCCCACCTACAACTGCCCACCTTTGGGCTTCCCTGCTCCCGGGGGCTGCACTGACCACCTACGACTGCCCACCTACAGGCTGCCCTGCTCTCGGGGGCCAGCACAGAGTGGGGATTTCAGGGAGAAGCTCATGGCAGCTGGAGACCAGGCATGCATGTAATTGTGAATACCACTTTGTTCAAACACAGCCTCCACTCCGATGTTCCGGCCTGAAGCCTTCTGTGCTGCTCCTGTGGCTTCATATGCAGCATCCCTGTTTCTGGATTGGTGCAAAGAAAACCCCACCAAATGCCAACCGAGCAGAGGCTGGGAGTAACTACTGTGCAGCTGCAGCCGTTCTCCTCTGTGCCTCTGGCTGGAATGGGAACCAGGCCAGGACAGGGCTTTTAACAAGAAGAAAGAGACGCTAGTCTCACTGCAGTGCGAGGTCTCGGGCCAGCCCAGCAATGCACACTGACCAACCACAGCCATTCCTGGTTGTTCAGGGAGGCGCTGGGTGCTGGGCCCTGCACTGGCCCTGCGTGAGACTCCTGCGGGCTTTCCGCCTCCATGGGGCTTACCTGGCATGCTGGGTGTGACAGCTGGAGGACAAGTCCCTGTCCCAGCATGTCTGTATTCCCCACAGGGTCTCCATGTAGGGGTGCTCTTTCAGTGGAAAAGGAAGAGACAGGAAGGAAGAAAAGAGAATGAAGTTAAACCTACAGTCATTTAACTAGTTACGATTCAAAAAGTCTTTAAATAAATCGTTCAATGAACAAGAGCCTGAGACTTAAGTAGGTGCTTCCAATCCTGGCCAAGTCTATAGCCTCCTTCCCAGTCCCAGACTTGCAGCCTCTGTCAGGGTGTGGCGTATGGCCCTCTAGCTGAAGCCTCTCCTCCCCTCCTACCTCCCTCTGATCTGGTCCTGATCTTTTTAAGGCTTGGGGATTATGCTTCTCCCAGCCTTTGGCCTTCCCCGCCAGGGGAATAAACAGATTGCCCTTGGGCTGATCTGGTCCCAGGCTGCCTGCCAGTCTCTTGCTATTCCCTGAGGGTTCTCCTGGCTTTTTTGCCTCCTCACCTTTGGATGCTGAGTTTCTTTTCCTGGAATGTTTTCTTACCACACCGCCCCCTCCCACTCCCCGCACAGATCTTAACCTTAAAAATCAACCCATTCTGTAAAACTTACTTCAAACATCCCTTTCTCCATTCAAACATAACTGAATTCCATAGCCTGGAGTGTTCTCTCTTCTCCAGAATTCTCATAGCATTTGGACCCTTGAAATATGATCACATCACCCATGGTCTTTTGTTTTTTTTTTTTAATTAAAAAAAAAATTTTTAGAGACAGGGTCTCACTCTGTCACCCAGGCTGGAGTACAGTGGCACAATTATGGCTCACTGTAGCCTTGATGTCCTGGGCTCAAGCAATCCTCCCGCCTCAACCACCTGAGTAGCTGGGACAATGGGCATGCACCACCACACCTGGCTAATATTTTTTTTATTATTTTTTATTTATTTATTATTATTATTATTATTTTGGAGAGACAGGGTCTCCCTATATTGCTCTGGTGGGTCTCAAACTCCTGGGCTCAAGTGATCCTCCTGGCTCAGCCTCTCAAAGTGTTGGGATTACAGGCATGAGCCACCATGCCCAGCCTGCCCCAGCATCTTTTAAAGCAAGGCCTACAGGTTTATTCATTTATGTACCATCATATTATCTGGGAAAATGTCTCAAGGACAATAGACAGTCAATTATTACATGATTTTATTGATTTGACAAGAAGTAAATCGGCTAAATTAATGAAATCGCAATACATGTATTGGTGATTTGGTAAATAAATTGGATATTTAACCAATATCCAATTTACATATATATAATTGGATATATATCCAATACTGCTATAAAAGTATAGATATGGCTATCAGTCTAAAATCTGACTTTCTTTTCTTAAAAAATTCAGTTATCAAAACTTTGTAACTGCACCAAAACCAATATAAATTTATGAAATAATCAGAGTAAAAAGACATTATCTACATGGATGCCTATTAAGTCAGAATTTATAACAGCAACAAAATGAAAAAGTTGGAAAATAGTTAAATAGTATAATATTCATTGATTTCAATATCATTCTGCTATTAAGAACTGTTTTTAAAGCCTGAGAAACAAAAAGGGAAATTAAATCTCATGTAAAATGGAAGCATAAAATATGTAAAAGTGTAAGATTCTAACTATTTAAAGTAAATATAAAATGCATTAAGTTAATCATAAAAAATACACCAAAACCTTAAAAGTTTTTGTCTCTAGAAGATCTGTAGGCGATTTTTTAAAAAATAGCTTTTGTGTCTTCTAAATATTTTTTCAGTGAATCATAAAAAAGCAAAATATAATCATGAAAATAATCATAAAAAAGCAAGACAATAGTTTTAAACCTGTTACCTGTAAGGCAAGTATAGATGATTTTGGTGTGCCTGTGTGCATCACCTTTAGGAAGAGAGCAAGGACTCAAGAGAAAATATATTTATTCAGACACACAAGAATACTTGTGGAAAATAAGTTAGGAAAGGAACAAATCAAAACCCCTCAGATTTCCATCCCCAGGGAGAACAATCAAAATATTGTTTGCACATCAGTTGCCAAAGAGTTTCCTTCCTAAACAGTACACGTTTGTACCTGCTGATATTATAATTTCATATATCTGCTAAAATTTCACATTTGTGCTAGAGGTACAGGCAATATTTGCAGATCTTACTGATACTAGTAATCAAGAAATAGGATCTTACTCAAAAATTACTGTCTTCCTCCAGGTGTGGTTGCTGGCGCCTGTAATCCCAGCACTTTGAGAGGCCGAGGCGGGTGGATCACCTGAGGTCAGGAGTTGGAGACCAGCCTGGCCAACATGGTGAAACCCTGTCTCCACTAAAAATAGAAAAATTAGCTGGGCATGGTGGCGGGAGACTGTAATCCCAGCTACTCAGGAGGCTAAGGCAGGAGAATCACTTGAACCCTGGAGGTGGAGGTTGCATTGAGCCGAGACCATGCCATTGCACTCCAGCCTGGCAACAGAGCAAAATTCCGTCTTAAAAAAAAAAAAAATTACTGTCCTTCCTAAGCTGACTATGAACCTAACACTAATACATGAATTCACCACCTTTTGTTTTTTCCTGCTTGGTTGGGTCTTTATTTGGAATACATTTTATATAATTTAGAATGATAAAAATTCAACAAGAAACTCTCTGCTTTTAAAATTCAATATTTTGTTAGCTTTATAGTGTGTAAAATGATGCTGATGTGAAAAGGTCTGTAAGTATTTTTTTGAAAAAGGATCACTTGATGCCAAGGGTTCAAGACCAGCCTGGCCAACTTGGCAAAACCCTGTCTCTACTAAAAATACAAAACTTAGCCAGGCGGTGGGTGGATCACGAGGTCAGGAGATCGAGACCATCATGGCTAACATGGTGAAACCCCGTCTCTACTAAAAATACAAAAAAAAATTAGCTGGGCACAGTGGCAGGTGCCTGTAGTCCCAGCTACTCGAGAGGCTGAGGCAGGAGAATGGTGTAAACCCGGGAGGCAGAGCTTGCAGTGAGCCGAGATCGCACCACTGCACTCCAGCCTGGGGGACAGAGCGAGACTCTGTCTCAAAAAAAAAAAAAATTAGCCAGGCGTGGTGGTTCGTGATGTAATCCCAGCTGCCTGGGAGGCTGAGGCAGGAGAATCACTTGAGAAAAATACAAAGATGGCAGATGAGACTGTAGGATGTTACGATTAACAGTGCATCTATGGCCAGGCGTGGTGGCTCAAGCCTATAATCCCAGGACTTTGGGAGGCCAAGGTGGGTGGATAACTTGAGGTCAGGAGTTTGAGACCAGCCTGGCCAACATGGTGAAACCCTGTCTCCACTGAAAATGCAAAAAAATTAGCCAGGTGTGGTGGTGCACGCCTGTAGTCCCAGCTACTCGGGAGGCTGAGGCAGGAGAATCGCTTGAACCCAGGAGGTGGGGGTGGCAGTGAGCTGAGATCATGCCACTGCACTCCAGCCCAGACCACCAGACCGAGACTCCATCACAACAACAACAACAAAAAAAAGAATGTGTCTGTATCTGATTCTACAAAACCTGACCAGCTCTTCAGTGTCCAATCCATGAAGCCTTGAGCCCGGTGAGACTGAGGAGCTGTCGAGGGGGAGGACAGAACGCAGGACCCTTAGTGCACTGTGGGACCCTGCATGGCTGTGTCAGAAAAAGGACATCTGTGGAGAAACTGGTCAGATCCAAATACAGCCTCTGGTTTAGGAAAGAACTCCATACTAATGTTAGTCGCCTGGTTTTGCTCTTGTCTGACGGTTATGAAGATGGTCACATTGGTGGAATTTGGTGTCAGGGTGTAAAGAAAACCTCTGTACAACTTTTCTGCAAGTCTAAAGTTATTTCAAGTATAAAGTCTAAAAACTCCTCTTATGAGCTAGACCGATGAAGAGGTGGACACACACACGCGCGCACGCGCACACACACACACACACACACACGACATGGTGTCTATGAGTGAGCAATGACCCAGTGTCCTTCCTTTTAAATATTTTATTCCAAAGACATTAAGAAATGACTACTAGATAAAAACGTTGAATGCATATTCTAGTACTTGACAAGGTACATTACCACCTAGCCTACCTCATTGTCCAGTTAGGTACATTTTGATCTGGTTCTGTCTCAGTCTATGTCCCTAAGAGTATTTCTTTACCTCATCTTACTTTTTAAGGGGGATTTTTTATCGAGGCAACATCTTTGTGTATAATTCGGCAACTCTTTGTAACCGTTGCAAAGAAATTTCAGGACTGGAATTGTCCCCATCCTCATATCTCATGTCATCACCAAGCCACCAGACCTCTTACAGGAAAGAGGGAAAAAAGGACATATTTAAAGATTTTATTTCTTGTCCTTTTTTATTGCCGAAGTTGACTGTTAGGCAGTTTATTTGATGCTATATAATTAAAAGACATTTTGTCTTTTATTCAGAAAATAAAAAAGTTGTAGTTTTAGTGCAAGGTTCTGATTGTTTAACACATTTAAAAAAGTAAGATATTCTAGTTTTAATGTGAAGCTCGTCGTGTACAAAGCCACAGGAAAGCAAGCTGTTGTTTGTTTTCTTGTTTACTTCCAGGCCAATGTGCTTTGTGAAGCAGCTGGAGATTCCTCAGTATGGCTACAGAAACAATGTCCCCACAACTACGCCGCGTTCCAACCTGGCCAAGGAGCTCGAGAAATATTCCAAGACCTCGTTTGAATACAACAGTTACGACAACCATACTTATGGCAAGCGAGCCATAGCTCCCAAGGTGCAAACCAGGGATATATCCCCCAAAGGATATGATGATGGTAGGAGGTGCACACTCTTATACATGAGAGACACGTTGCCATTGATGATGTTGTTGTTGTGTATATCAATGTCCTACAAATTAGTTGAGCGGTGGTGGTCACTCAATGGGTACCAAAAGAACAGGACTTTCATAGCACAGCCCAGGAGCTGAAAGCCCCTCAGGTCCACACAGCTGTAGGTGAGCAAAACTTCAGGGGAAGGAAGGAGATGGTTTCCCCTCAATAATTCCGAGACAGCGCACTCGGCTGCTCGTGGAATGTGGAGAGGGAGAAGCTATGGACTGGCTTATTGTCTTTTGTGGTACTGGGAAGACAGTGCCCTTATGTTATACGCTTCCTTTAAATAAATGCCTCTGAGACAGACAGTGCAGGGGAGAGCAGGCAGCCCTGGGCTCCCGGGAGCTTTGAGGAGCTCTGCACCCATCTCCTTGGTGTTCTCAGCCTTGCACGCACATGAGAACCATCTGGGGAGATTTTTTTTCTTAATTCTCATGCCCAACCTGCCCTCATGACCAATAAAATCAGAATCCCTGGGGTGCTCCCTGCACGACACTACGGCACCCTTGAGAAGTTCGCCAGTGATTGCCGGGTAGCCAGAGCTGGTGGCCTCCTTGTCGCCTCTTCACAGAAGACCGGCACCGGAGTCCCCCTGTGACTGGGGACGATGGGGCAAAACAAGGCCCAGCCTGGGGTGCTGCCGGCAGAGCCGTAGCTTCGTCCCCTGCTGGCTTGTGGCAGCTGTGGCACCAACAAAATAGAGCTCATGCAACAAACACAGTGCCACGGGCTTCATGGGAAAGGGGTAGTTTATTTTGACCAATGCTTATTTGAACCACTACCTAGAGTATGAACTAGTTACCATTTCACTACAAAGCTAGTTGGTAAGTAGCTTTTCATTAGAGGGGAAGACTGTATTTATTTAATTTTATTTATTTATCTAACCATGTGTCTGCTTTAAATTCTAGGCTGTATAGACGTAATTGCCAAGTTTTACCAATTGGGACTTGGGGTGTAAATGTTCTGATGATTTAGAAGTCTTATCATGATGCTCTCTAGCACAGGGGAAGGAAATAGTTTTTTAAAAAAGGTCATCAAGCTTTTCTTTGAAAAAGATACTTGGGGCTGGCTGCAGTGGTTCATGCCTGTAATCCCAGCACTTTGGGAGGCTGAGGCAGGCGGATCACTTGGTGTCAAGAGTTCAAGACCAGCCTGGCCAACATGGCAAAACCCTGTTTCTACTAAAAATACAAAAATTAGCCGGGCATGGTGGCTCATGCCTATAATCCCAGCTGCTCATATTGTGCTGCTGCTCTCCAGCCTGGTGGACAGAGCAAGACTCTGTATCAAAAACAAAGAAAAAGGTACTTAGTTAAAATCACAGTACACATACACACACAATATTTAAACTGAATGCTTGGGGACTTCAGAAACCATTTTTATTATTCTACAGGAATTGCTGCACATCTTTCTAAGCTATGGTATTTCTTGCCTTAATAATAATTTATTTGTATAGTGAATGAAATTTAGTATTTCTTGGAGGTATCATATATTGGTCAGAAACAGACATAAATGGATAAAAGGAGTGACTGTAGCGTATAACAGAAATAGTTCTGTTGGTTTGTTTTGTTGTTTGTTTTGTAATAATTTCAGGTTTCTTGTCATCTCATTTGTTCATCTACAAGTGAAGGATCAAAAGAAATTAAGTTCTCCTAATTGAAGGCTGCTTATATGATTTCCAATTCATTGACGTTCTACCGGGATTTGATCCATTCTTTCACTAGATGTTCATGTTTACGCACCTGTTTTTTTGTTGTTCTTGTTCCGTGTGGGCTGATTTCTTTCTTCAGCTTCATTGTTAAGGTCAGACTCCAGCCTGAGAAGGAAAGGGGGCTTCTGGGTGAAGTCATGACCAGCAGAGCCGTCTCCAGGTCACGGTGCCTTTAGGGCACCCGAAGTCAAATCCACTGAGCAGATTTTCGGTGTCATTCTTAGGAGCCGGATGCTACTGGACAAGTTAGCCTAGTGCCATGGGTTTCTTCTGGAGCAGAGAGGAAGCAAGAGTGTCCTCTGCTGACCTTGCGAGGCTGCAGTGAAGATCAGCCGAGACAGGATGGGTGTGAGGACGCACTCTGTGGCGCCATCACATGTTAGTTACTGGCATTGATCATCGCATTCCCGGCAGAGGCCCTCCTGTGGACACTAAAGCTGAGCCATGCTTTGCAGCCGACCCCCTAGAAACAAGCATCTATTGAGCAGACAGGCTGAAAGCTGAATGTTAGGGCTTCAGGAAAACAGAGCAAAGGAAATGCAGCCTCTCGCCACAGTGCAGTGAGAAAATGAGCCGGCCCTCCACTTATTTGTGTACAAATTTTAGAGGCGCAAGTGTTACACGGATGTATTGTGTGGGCGTGAAGTCTGGGCTTTTAGTGACACTCTGCTTCCATTTCACTAGACTCATCTGACAGATTTTAAAAGCCTCCTGGCCGGGCGAGGGGGCTCACGCCTGTAATCCCAGCACTTTGGGAGGCCGAGGTGGGCGGATCACGAGGTCAGGAGATCAAGACCATCCTGGCTAACACGGTGAAACCCCGTCTCTACTAAAAATACAAAAAATTAGCCAGGCGTGGTGGCGGGTGCCTGTAGTCCCAGCTGCTCAGGAGGCTGAGGCAGGAGAATGGCATGAACCCGGGAGGCGGAGCTTGCAGTAAGTGGAGATCATGCCACTGCACTCCAGCCTGGGCAACAGAGCGAGACTCCATCTTCAAGAAAAAAAAAAAGCCTCCTGGAAAGTGCCCACTAGGACAAGACTGGCTGGTAGGTTGTTGATGGGGTGTAATCCAAGGAGATCTGGCCCCACTCCTGGGGACCAGGTAGGAGATTCTGACTGCAGAGTGACTGCTGTCTACAGTTACTCTTCAATGTATCTTTGCCAACACTTGCTTCAGGTGCACAAAGAATTGAGTCATTGTTCCTAAAAAGAGGCAGAGAAATGGGCCTGTCGTAAGGGAGAAAAGTACAGATCTTAGCAACCAAAGGTCAGGGCCATGGAGATACAGAATGAAATAAAACATAGGACCTTCCCTACAGCCTTGGAGAATCATCTCTTAAATCACACCAGCTGTGATCAAACCACTCACAAAATCTTCACTTCACCAGCTGCATCCTTCCAGACACAGCACACCAGTGCTTGCTGTCCATCTGTCAATCTGTGTCTGTCTATGTGTCTGTCTGTGTGTCTGCCTATCCATCTGTCAGTCTATCATGCCTTCCCTCAGGATACACAAGATAGTGAAACACACACTGCTGCCCAGTGAAGTGAGGAGTCCCTCTGCCTGCAGGATTAGCGTGTGCTTTACCAAAGTGGCAAACTTTAGGTAAGATCGTAGAGTTTGAGCAGAAATCATGCAAAAGTAGGGAAACACACAGGATGGTGAGCACAGCCAGTGGTCTGGAGGCCAGGACGGAGACCCGTGAGAAGGAAGAACAGGGAAAGCTGCGGGGGCTGCTGAGGAAGGGGCTTCACGTTGTCTATAGGAAATAGAAATCCACGCAGGCTGACAGAGGGGCTGAGGGGAGGAGGACTGAGCATCCACTTGGGTGTCTGGGCCCTGCCCTCTCCCGGGAACTCCAAGCCACAGCCCACCCACCCTGTTTTGCATGGTGAGCTAAGAATGGCTTTGACATTTTTAAAGAATTGCAGAAAAGCACAATTGACAAATAATATTTTCTGATCTATAAAAGCTGTGTGAAATTCTGTTTCCATGCCATGCATAGGGTGCCGTTGGCACCTGGCTGCCCTCAGGGCTTGGCGGGCAGGCTGCGGTTGCTCCCACAGTGCAGGGCAGAGCCAAGTGGCCACAAAAACAATCGCGCAGTTCCCAAAGCCGAAACATTTGCTACAAAATCCTCTCCAGAAAAAGTTGCCAACCCCTGGCCTATTATATCTCCACCTTTGCTGTGTCTCCAGGCAACACACCCCACCCTTGGGGGCCTAATCCTGTCAGGTTACCAGCCCCCAAATGGGCTCTGCCCATGTTCTCCTTTTGATTATTCCCAGCTTCCAAATTCTCCAGCGCTCAGACCTTCCTATCATCTTGGCACTTCCTCTTCTTTGCTCCCTGCCCTCCTGGCCACACAGACAACTCCCCTGACTGCCTGGGCAGCTGCAGACTCAGCTCATTCTCTCCTTCATGACTCCTCTGGAGTGCACCTCCCTGGCCCTCTGTCTCCAGCCCCACCACGCCCGCCTGCAGAGCTCCCTTCTTCCCTCCACCTGCCCGACTTCCCCATGGCCTCTCTACCTGAGCAGAGGCCGCTCCCTGGTGAAGTTTTCTCCTCCTGCAGGCAGTCCGCGGCCCTTCCTACCACTCTCCAGCTGCCTGCGTCCATGGAGCTCGGTGCCACACTCTGCCCTGCAGCATGGCTGTGTCACCTCTTGGGTACCACCTGCCAAGACGGCCTGTCTTCCCACGGGCCGCAAGCTCCTGCTAGGTCACAGGCCGGGTCTGCAGATTCGCTCCACCCTCTAGGGCCAGGGCAGGCCAGGCAGGCAGTAGCTGTGCCAAGGACACTGAGGAAAAGAGAGCCTGAAACCTGGACCTCGACGCCCTTTGGACATCAGCTCAACTCTAGCAAGTAGACCGTGTGCCTTGGAGATGTCATCCCACAGGCTAGAAAGCTCCATTCTTTCCCATGTAAGATTAGACGTCCGTATTTCAACTTACTTGAAACACTAGTTGGACGTGTGTAAAGACTATGAGACTCAGTGCCACAGATTAGGACCTGAATCAAGTTAGGTCTAAAGATCACTGGGTCCCAGCTAGTGGAGACATCTCCATGATGGACATCTTGTGATTGCATTTGTCTGGTTTTCATGGAAATTCATATTGTGGAGACATGTTTATCTATTCTCTGCAAGAAAAGGTGAATACATAAGGCAATAGGCATTTCTAGAACAAGGCATGTACATTTAGTAAGAATTTCACAAGCAGAGTAGGTGAATGAAAAGGTCCTACCTGGAAGGTTTTGTATTTTTTTGTTTTGTTTATTATTATTACATCAACAGCTGTATTTAATCACACAAATCCTGTGTGCTTTTCCTTTTTTCCTGCAGTAGAGGAAATGGAATAGTTGAAGAGGTATTTTTAGGATGGTTTAAGATCCAGCGGCTGCTCCTGTTTGAAGGCAGCTCTGGCATCTAGAGTTAAAGCTGCTGCATTGCTCGTAACATACAGTGATGTTCTGGGCGCCTGGAAGAACATTAACACATTCTTGTCTGCTGATGGACTGAAAAAAAATTTGATCAAAAAATAGCTCTGGGCCGGCGTGGTGGCTTATGCCTGTAATCCCAGGACTTTGGGAGGCCAAGGCAGGCAGATCACCTGAAGTCAGGAGTTTGAGATCAGCCTGGCCAACATGGTGAAACCCTGTCTCTACTAAAAATACAAAAATTAGCCGGGCATGGTCGTGGGCGCCTGTAATCCCAGCTACTTAGGAGGCTGAGGCAAGAGAATCACGTGAGCCTGAGAGGCAGAGATTGCAATGAGTTGAGATCATGCCACTGCACTCCAGCCTGGGTGACAGAGTGAGACTCCATCTCAAAACAAACAAACAAACAAAAAAAAAAAAAGTTTTGTTTGCGAAAAGAAAAAGAAAGTGCATTCTGTCATTGTGAAACTGCTCTCATCAGACCAAGCATCCTCTGTGCTGGAAGAGGGGGAACAGAGCACCCTCAATTTGAAGCCCCTGCTCTGCAGCGCCCCCTGCTGTCAGGGCACTGAGCCGAGCAATGCTGATTGTGGTCCAAAAGATACTGGCATGAAGGGCTGTGCTGACATTTTACAAATAGGGATAATTATTAGGACCAATGACCTTCCTTTCCTGAGCAATTTTAACTGTAGGCCCTCTTATTTTTATTTTTGTTTTAATTAAAACTTTTAAATGACATTTTTATATTCAGTAAAGGATGCATGTGAAAGTAGATACTGTCTTAGTTGCCCATTTGAGTGCAGTGAGTTGATAGGCACATCAAAAGACTCTTGACAGTTCAGTCACCGACTAAAATTCGGTACCATCCACTTGGCGTCATCTAGTTGTAGCATCTTATGAATTAAATATCTGGGAAAGTCAATGCATCGTCACATCTACATTTTATAACTTCAGGATAATTTAAGGTGATTCAAGTAAGATGAGAGGAAGAAATGCAGAGAGTCGTTTTAGTTAAAAATTCTTTCAAGTAAAATGTTGTCACATAGAGGTAGCATTTTTCTTTTTTGTTTCAACTTTTATTTTAGATACAGAGGGTACCTGTGCATGTTCATTACACGGGCATATTGCACCCAGGTAGTGAACACAGTACCCAAGAGGTATTTCTCCAACCCACTCCCCTCTCTAGTGTCCACAGTGTCGATTGTTCCCATGTTTATGTCCCTGTGTGCTCTATGTTTAGCTCCCACTTACAAGTAAGAACATGTGGTACAAAGTTTTCTGTCCCTGCATTAATTCATTTAGGTTTGTGGCCTCCAGCACCATCCATGTTACTGCAAATGACATGACTTTAGACTTTATTGTTTTTATGGCTGCATAGTATCACAGAGTGTCTATGTACCGCATTTTCTTTATCTAATCCACCACTGATGGGCGCCTAGGTTGATTCTGTGCCTCTGCTATTGTGAAGAGCATGGTGATGAGCATACGAGTGCATGTGTCTTTCTGGTACAACGATCTATTTTCATTTGGGTAAATCTCAGTAACAGGACTGCTGGGTCTAATGGTAGCTCTGTTTTAAGTGCTTTGGGAAAACTTCAAACTACTGTCCAGTAGCTGAACTAATTTGCATTTCCACCAAGAATGTATAAGTGTTCTCTTTTCTCCACAGCCTCTCCAGCATCTGCTGTTTTTGGCTTTTTAATAATAGCCATTCAGACTGGTATGAGATGCTGTCTCACTGTGGTTTTGATTTGCAGTTCTCTGGTGATTAGTGATGTTGAGCATTTTATCACATGGCTGTTGGCCACTTGTATGTCTTCTTTTGAGAAGTGTCTGTTCATGTTCTTTGCCCATTTTTAATGGGGTTATTTGTGGTTTGTTTGTTGAAGTATTTGTTCCTTATAGATGTCAGATATTAGGCATTTGTCATCTGACATAGTTTGTGAATATCTTCTCCTATTCTGTAGGTTATCTGTCTGCTCCGTTGATAGTTTCTTTTGCTGTGCAGAAGCTCTTTTGTTTAATTAGGTCCCTCTTGTCTATTTTTGTTTTTGTTGCAATTGCTTTTGGAGACCTAGTCAAAAAAAATATTTGCCAAGGCCAGTGTTGAAAAGGGTATTTCCTAGGTTTTCTTCTCAGATTTTTATAGTTTGACATCTTACATTTACATCTTTAATCCATCTTGTTAATTTTTGTATATGGCAAAAGTATGGGTCTAGTTTCATTCTTCTACAAATAGCTCAGCCATTATCCCAGTACCATTTCCCCACTGCTTGTTCTCATTGGCCTTATCAAAGATCAGATGGTTGTAGGTGCGTGGCTTTATTTCTGAGTTTCCTATTGTGTTCCATTGGTCTGTGTGTCTGCTTTTACACCAGTACCAAGCTATTTTGGTTACTGTAGCCTTATCGTGTACTTTGAAGTCAGGTAGAGTGTAACCTCTGGCTTTGTTCATTTTGCTTAGGATTGCTTTGGCTATTTGGGCTCTTTTTTGATTTCATAGAAATTTTAGAATCATTGTTTTTCTAACTCTGTAAAGAATTACGTTGGTAGTTTGATAGGAATAGAATTGAATCTGCAGATTGCTTTGGGCAGTATGGCCATTTTAACAATATTGATTCTTCCAATTCATGAACATGAGACATTTTTCCATTTATTTGTGTCGTCTCTGATTTCTTTCAGCAGTGTTTTGTAGCTCTCCTTGTGGACATTGTTCACCTCCTTGGTGAGCTGTGCTCCTAGGTATTTCCTTTTCTTTGTGGCTACTGTGAATGGGATTGCCTGCTTGATTGATGGTGAGCCTGGATGTTATTGGTGTATAGAGATGCTGGGGTAGCATTTTCTAATTGATAAGATACTGAACTCTCCCAGACAAACACATCGTTGATGGCAGTCGAGGCTCTTTGTGGACGTTGGGCAGCCTCAGTCTCCACATCTGTGAAGCAGGCATGTGGTAGCATCTTACAGGGTGGTGGAAGTCTAGATGCAATCCTGTTGGAGGATGCTGTGAGCACAGTGTAGCAGGAGTCACTGTGAGAGGGGCTCATGACGAGAAGTCTCTGGGCGTCAGCGGGAGCTCCTGCCACACCTCCACACCCACACTCCTGAGCATCGCCCTCACCAACGCTGAGTGCAAGGTTGCCAGCCGACCTATGTCAGCTGCCGTTGTTTGTTGCATTAACTTGTGTTATTCCTTTAATTTTTTTTAGGAATTGAAATTCCCTCATTTCAAAACAAAAGTGTTATTTTTTTTAATTTATGTGGGCAATGTTTTTTTTTTTCCTAAACCAGTGGCTAGCCCTCACTAGTAAAAACAAAACCCCATATTATTATTTCATTTCTCCTACAATTATTCTACTATTTCTTAACAAAATTGTAAATTATGTAAAATCACAACCTTTAGTTCATATCCAAAGTATCACAAACTGCAAACTGGTTTGTGACGGTTGCTTAGGGTGGATCAAGGTGTGCACTGCACAGGGCCCGTGGGGGTGCCCTTACAGCCTCTGCTGTCTCCCTCTGGTTGACTCCTTTGCAGCCCCACGGTGGTCTCTCTCAAAGGCCCTGGTGTGGGCCTTGCTCAGACCAGCAGCCACTGCCCACCCCGCCCTGCACTGCTGGGCTCCCTAGAGGAGGGGCATCCCAAAGTAGAGAGAAGGGAGGGGCACACTGAGGGACACTCAGACACGCTTCTCAGGGACAGCTGTGCCCCACCAGCCATGGGCCCACTCTGAGTGGCTTTGCTCATTCAGATTAGCAAAACACAGTCATAATATCAACAGATTACTATTGTATTTCATGGGTTTTGTGGGTGCGGATTTGAGCCTCTGGCTCATGCACAGGAATCTGGGTGTAAAGCGGTTACTTGCTTGGGGAATTCTCTGTAGCTTTTGGCAGAGGCTGAGACGAAGACAGCCTGGCCAACTCCCAGCCTGGGCACTGTCCTCAGTCTTCCTCTGCAGAGGCCTGTGCATTACAGAATCACCAATAACACACCTCTTCCCCATGTCCTGAGAGCCTTCAGTCCCAAACCAAACCTTGTCAATGAGGACTCCTTCTTTTTTCCCTTTGTATCCAAATCCAGGGCAATTTCTTAGCATTGCTCATAATGACCGTATCAGCAATGTGAGAAAGCTTTTTGCTTCACTTAGCTTTGTTCTCTTCTTCCTCTGTGGGAAGGAGTCCCTGGGGAAGCCTGGCTCCAGGTTCAGAGCTGCTGCCGATGGCACAGAAGACACCGCAGGAGCCATGACCAACTGCGAGGTCTCCCTTTCCTTGTAGCAACAGACAAAACCATAGTTTCCATCAGAATTAGGCAGCTTGGAGCTTTGCCGATTAGGACTAGGGCAGCCCTAAGCACCAGGAGAACCCGGGCTAGAGTGTCTCTAGCCTATCACCAAGTTCTCCCAGCTACACTCACAACGGTCCCAGGGAAGCAGGCGGGGATCTCTTGGGGAAGAAGGTGCTTCCTAAAGGGAGGGGCTCACTGACGGAGGGATTTAGGACATGGGAGAGACCAGGTCCACCTCTGAGTAACTCTTCACTCTGCTGGATTCCAAGAGAAATGTCTGGCCATGCACAAATGAAGTCCTGTGACATTAACTGGCAGGGATAACAATTAGTAAAGAAGGACCCATCGGATAAATCCTGGACTGAAACATTGTCATGTACTAAAGGAGATTTAAATAGCTCTAACAAATAACCCTTGCCCCTCAGTGCTGGTTTGGCTGTTAGTGAGTGTGGTGGCTCAGAAAGGATTACTGGGCAGTGGGAATCGTGTCAGTGAGGGTCAGTGCAGGGAACAGAGAGGCCGTGGCTATGAAAGAGGCAGCTGCACACGTGCCCCGCGTGTCTGCCACCACCAAGTGGCCACTCAGGTGTTTCGACATTTATCCTGAGCTTATTCTCTATGTGCATTTCCCCGTTTCACTCCCATGGCCTGTATCAGAATTCTAGAAAAAAAAGGATGTTGGACTCACCCTATCTGGTCTGCATGCCCAGCCAGAAATCCACCTCCCAAAGCACGTGGTCCCCACAGGCCCAGAAGGTGGCTGCCGGGGCCCCTCTGGCTGAAAGGAACAGCCCACCTCTTGACAGATAAGGGACCGCGGATCCAGGTTGGGTCACCAAAAGTGCTCACGAGCCCTCATGTGCTGCGGAGGAGCCCCACTCACGCTTAGGGCCTCGACTGGGATTTGACTGGGCTGGAATTCCCAGTCACTTCCCTACACCCTGCGGCTCCTAAAAGCTAGCCAGCCGTGTGTCTGTCTTTCGAGGGACCAGGTGACCGCCTGTGCTGGGTGTGAGGTGCAGCCTCTCCAACAGGTCGATGAATTATCCTCCAGGGCAAAAAAAAAAAAAAAAAGGAAAAAGGAAAAAAGAAGAAAAAAGAAAGGAGCCGGAAAGTTTTGTTTTGTTTTCGTTTGCCTGTTGTTTGTTTTCTTTACGCGTAAGCCCCAGCACCCTGAGGGCCGTCCCACGCGGCTGTGTGTGGCTGAGGCCGGGGCGGGCAGGCCCTGCCGTGTGCTGTCTGCCGTGTGCCCTGCGGCCGGGGCCTGAGTCATCCCTGTCCCTGTCTCCCCAGCGAAGCGGTACTGCAAGGACCCCAGCCCCAGCAGCAGCAGCACCAGCAGCTACGCGCCCAGCAGCAGCAGCAACCTGAGCTGCGGCGGGGGCAGCAGCGCCAGCAGCACGTGCAGCAAGAGCAGCTTCGACTACACGCACGACATGGAGGCGGCCCACATGGCGGCCACCGCCATCCTCAACCTGTCCACGCGCTGCCGCGAGATGCCGCAGAACCTGAGCACCAAGCCGCAGGACCTGTGCGCCACGCGGGTACGCGCGCCTGGGCAGGTGGAGCCACCTGGCGGGTGGGGGAGGCCGGGCCGCGGACCCAGCCACCGAGACACGCGGCGCTTTCGGGGCAGCTGTATGGGGCAAACGCCGTGATCTCCTAAACCATTCTCGCCACTGTGAACAATTAGTGCAGCTTCCCTTAACGCAGCCTGAACACACCATTGTCCAAAGCGCATCCATTTTCTAAATCAGAGGCAAGGGTCAGATCTTGTAGATGAACGTGCGTGAATGGATCCTTCTCTCCAGGATCCAGAAGCATTTCTGTAAACAAAGGACACCACGTGGGCCTCCTGTGGTCTCCAGTGACCGCACAGAGCATGCAAAACGAAGCGTGGGTCTCCTTGAACTTTGACAGGAAGTTCTGCTAGCACCATTGTCACGTGAAATGCAGGGATCTGCCTATGGACTCCTGGGTAGCAGGGAAAGGAAGTAAAAATCAGACTTCACACCAAGGGATCAGCCGTGTATTTACAGCCAGCACTCGTCAGTTCCACATTTTCATGGATGCTATAGTGCTATGAAAGGCATAGGAAGAGTGTCTATTTTTAATTTTCTTATCAATTGAACCAGTGCTTATGCTGGGCAGGAGAGAGAGCGTTTAAGATGCAGCACAGACCTGGGAGACAGCTGCCTCGCCGAGGCCACCAGGCGGCTGGGGAGAACCAGGCGGTGCCAGGGAGCGGTCAGATTGTGTTCTCAGAGGAGACGCTGAGCAGCGGACATGTTCACCTCCTCTCCTGATAAACAAAGGGCTCTCCACTGTGTAGCGCTGCCTGGCCATGTACCTGAGTGGACCACACTGACAGTGGTTCTTGTAAATATTTGTAGTTGGTATGAATGAAGAAAGGTCAGTAATCTTACGTTTTGCAAATGTTTTTTTCTTCTATCAGTATATTTAGTCCTAGATATTGGAGAAGAGTCAGGTGCATGCAGTTTTCATGGTGATCAAGGTTGCAAAAATGCAAGGTTAGCATGGAAGAGATTCTGTGGCAACCACAAAAAAAATAAAATAAAAGGCAGAGACCCCTTCCAAATTTTGTTGCACTTTCTTAAAATTAAACTAAGACTGAGAGAATAAATCCAACATTATAAAGCTTAAATTAGTATCAAAGCTTCAAATCAGAGTACACTTTGACAAAGAGAGTTCAGGCAGAATGATACTGTATAATTTATCAAGGTAACAGCTCCGGGGATGGAGGTCTCATTCCAAGCATCTTCCTTCTGCTGTTGCATCCAGAGGAGAGAGCTGCTAGACCCTTGAGGAGGCAGCAGCTTTCAGACCAGCTCTGAAATCAAATTTTGCTAAGGAGAGTGTCACTCTTTGGGGAAAAACATGCAGGATTGTTAGGGGTATTCTGATTTTTTTTTTTTAACTTTCTGTCCATGTGTCCATTCTTCTGACTCTCTTCCTGAGAGGCAAGTGCTGCAGAATTATTGATGCATTTCAAAGCATCATTTAAAAAATGAAAGAGCCTCACCCTGTACCTCTTTGGGGTTTTTTTTTAAGCCAGTAGACTAAATTGCAGGTTTGCTGAAATCTAGAGATCAGACGGTAATCACTGTAGTAAAGGTATTTTTAGCTACAACTGCAGATCTTCTTTCGTAAAGTGGAAAATTATCTTCATTATAAAAGTTCTTATTACAGCCAGGCGCAGTGGCTCACACCTGTAATCTCAGCACTTTGAGGGGCTGAGGCGGCTGGATCACTTGAGGTCAGGAGTTTGAGACCAGCCTGGCCAACATATAGTGAAACCCCATCTCTACTAAAAAATACAAAAATTAGTTGGGCATGGTGGTGCAAACCTGCAGTCCCAGCTACTTGGGAAGCTGAGACAGGAGAATTGCTTGAACCTGGGAGGTGGAGGTTGCAGTGAGCCCAGGTCGTGCCACTGCACTCCAGCCTGGATACCAGAGCAAGACTCTGTCCCTCAAAAAAAAAAAAAAAATTGTATTACAAGGTAAATTTTAGTTTATTCTCTTTCCTTCCTTCATCCTTCTAATTCTTTTGTTATCCTCCTCCCTAATTCTTGAACTATTAGCATCAATAAAAAAGAGAATTTTTAAGCTGATATATGTGTGTTTATACACACACACACATGCACATACATGTATATGCACACATGCATACACACAAAATTTTTATCTCTTAGGTATTTGCAACGGTAATAAAATTAAAATTAAGCACTTTGTAATTTTCTTCTGAACAAACTCTAAATCAGAGATACAATAGGACAAAAAGGAAGGAGAGAGAGAGGATAGACAGTAGATAAATAGGGAAATGGAGGGAGGGAGGGAGAGAGGGATGGCGGGATGGATGCCTGGATTCTCCAACCAATTTTGCAGCTAAGCGTGGGATAGCAGGAATGTACCACCAGACAAGGCCTGTCCGCCTTGGGAGTTTAGGCCAAGGAAACAGCAGCGAGGGATTCTGTGTTGAACGCTACACTGGCTGACGGCAGGACTGTAATCTGGGAGGAAGGACTCGTGGTGTCACAAGATGCCGGGCCAAGCACAGTCACTATGTCTTTCTACCGACAGAACCCTGACATGGAGGTGGATGAGAACGGGACCCTGGACCTCAGCATGAACAAGCAGAGGCCGCGGGACAGCTGCTGCCCCATCCTGACCCCTCTGGAGCCCATGTCCCCCCAGCAGCAGGCAGTGATGAACAACCGGTGTTTCCAGCTGGGCGAGGGCGACTGCTGGGACTTGCCCGTAGACTACACCAAAATGAAACCCCGGAGGATAGACGAGGACGAGTCCAAAGACATTACTGTATGTCCTTTTCATTGAGCCTGTGTTGACTGCCAGACTTAAAAATGGGGCCCCAGCTGAAAGAAAAGCCATTTGCACATACGTTATGAGAAAATATATTTTCTCTTTAAATATGACCTTTAGCTGAGGAGGACTTAGAAAACAGTTTTTGTTGACCCAGAAGAGATTTGCGACTAACATTGATTAGAGTGAAACAAAGTATTGACTCTTGTAAATGATAAAGTTTATTTTCTAACAAATATGTTTTGTTACAAATGATTACTCTAAGAAAACGTATAAATAGCACCTGAGTTCATTTTTCTGGGTGTCCTGTTGAAACAATACAGGATTTTCCTTGCAGGTAGAGAATTCTAATAGGAGTCTTAGATAGTTAAATGGTTAACTATGTGCTATTAATTAACTAGCCCTTCGAAACTAAGGACAGTGTCCCTTCTCTAAGAAACCTAAGTACTCAAAAGAGTTTAGCCTTGAATAAACTATTTTAGTACCATCACCTAAGTCTTTGTTTATGACAGTATTACTAAAACATCTATGTCAAGAACATACTTTTGAAGTAGCTACAGTGTTCAAATTCAGGTTATTAAAATAGATATAATGCCCTTTAGGCTTTGAAAAGAAATAAAGAAAAATGTTTTCTTTATGTACCGACTTTAAAGTCTTATGACATCTTCTTTCTTCACTGAAAAATGAAATGTGTTTTTAGTACAATAGAGAGACCACCATCGAAGCACTAGTGTCTTACAGAAACAAGGAAATGGAAAAAAAAGAAATATTAGCCCCATGTAGAAATTGGCAGAGAGGGCACCTGCTTATAAGCCTATTATCTGCATTCTTCAAATTGATTTCAATATCCAGGCATTGTGAAAAAGAACCAAATCAGAGTGGCAAGCTAAATTTCTAAGTATTTTTTTCTCCCGCAGTGTTGAATCATTACTACCAAATAAGGCATGGTGGTTGAATCTCCAAATTCATTTTAATTGAAAGTAAGCCCTCCTAAAATGACAGAAGTGTTTTCATCCTGGATCATCATGGAAGACAAACCTTCCCATGTATCTACACTTAGGAAAGTGTCTGCTGAGCATTGCCACCTGTAGAAACATCTACGTTACTGCAGTTGAACACACAAGGGAAAAGGAAATTTACAGTTACATTCCTCTAAATTGGTCTCCATTACCTTGAATCTTAAAGCATGTGCTTGTAAAATACTGACCAATGGTGGGGGAAAGCTCAGCCCTAAGACACTGTAGTTCCAGTGTTGAATCTTTGCAGGCAAGTGTTGGATAAAGCAGCCACCCACAGGTGTGTGCTGAATGCTGGATGAGGAAGACCAAGTTAAATGTAGTCTCTGGCTACCAGACCGTGTGTGTGTCCATGTGATGAGCACAGCCAGGTGAATATTGAATAAGGGCCCTGACCACTGACAGGTGACCATCATTTTAGGAGTTTAGAGCAGTGGAAGAAAAGTTCAATATGCATTTTCAGTAGGGGCGTTATCAGGACCAAAAGGATCTTAAAGGTACAGCAGAAAGAGGTGTAAGATGTAGAGGCCACCCCAGAGCCACGAACCACCTCCCTCAGTCTGTGTGCCATGTGATCATCCGTGTGGCTCTGAAGCTGTGTTTTGCCCACAGCCAGAAGACTTGGACCCATTCCAGGAGGCTCTAGAAGAAAGACGGTATCCCGGGGAGGTGACCATCCCAAGTCCCAAACCCAAGTACCCTCAGTGCAAGGAGAGCAAAAAGGACTTAATAACGTAAGCATGCTGTGAGGTGAAATTATGAATCTTCTTAATCTTCCCATTCTTTGGCTGATTTTTTAAAACTGGATCTGTATATGCCTTGCCGTTTGAGCATGCGACATTCGCAGCATATAAATGTTTCCGACTGCTGGGTCAGTAGAGTGAGCAGCTAACCGTGCACTTGCCTGTTCCCAGTGACGCTCTGTCGGATGGGGGCGTCATTTTCATTTAACCCGTGCATTTTGCCGCTTTTCTTCAGGGTGCTTAAATCCCCTTGCAGACATTGCAGCTAAACTGGAAACAATGAAACTTTTTTAAAAGTTTTTTTTTTTTTTAAACATACTTACTATTTTGGCTGTTTTTGTTTTTGTTTGGTGGCAGATGTCCAACTCCAGGGTGTGATGGGAGTGGTCATGTGACTGGTAATTACGCCTCACACAGAAGGTGTGACTTCATTTTTCTCATGGTGGATTCTGTCTTTTCAATTTATTGTTTTCAGCTTACCTCAACAATGCTGTCAAAGTAAAAATGTTGAATTCTGTGTCAACCCTTTAAGTGCTATATGTTGACCTTCAAAAGCATGCTAATTTATGTGTTGTATAATGTCTTTTATTTTCAAATAAACGACCTAAATTTGTAAAATTCTTCTTAAGCATTTAAGCCAAAGAGCACAAATGTTTTATCTTATTTTTAAACAATTGCTTATTAAGAAATATTTTCTTAAATTTATATTCGAACCGATTCAGAATTAATTACACAAAAAAAAATTCAATATACAGCACTTGCCCATTGCTTTTCTGCATTAAACTCTTTAATTTCGGTTTTTATGTTGTGTTTGTTTGGGAGTTACGCGCTTCGCAGTTGACTGACCTGCCTGTCCCGGCCTGTCTTACAGTCTGTCTGGCTGCCCCCTGGCGGACAAAAGCATTCGAAGTATGCTGGCCACCAGCTCCCAAGAACTCAAGTAAGATTTAATGACAATAATTCTCTTTTAAAAATCCATGCACTCAGTAGTTCACAAAAAAAAATGATATGTCATTTGCAAAGAAAAATGTCTGTTAAAAAACATGGCCTGTGCACCCCAGTGCCTTGATGTAGACATGGGATTGAATCCTCGGAATTTCAGCCACTTTTCCACACAACCCATTCTGCCTTTTCCCCTGACATACCTCCAGCTTGTTCATATCATATCCTTCCTATCTGGGATATCCTAAAGCATGGGTGTTTTCTCTTCAGATATGCATGCATATGGAAGGGAAATTTTACAGTTACTCAAATTTTTAGAAAATGACTGTAAATAATCAAAATTTAATTTTTAAAAGAAATTCATAGCAGTATTTACAATATGGATACTTAAATAGCACTTATGACAAAATCTACCATCATAATAGCTAATTTCTTAAATACACTGTGGTCTTAGTCATGAATACTCTTTAGGACAGTGACAACTCACGGTTCGGGGATCCGGAGAGTCATGGAATTCAACCAGACACACATCATTCTAGAGTTTTACCTCCCTCTTCTCTATGCCTATAATTTTTAAGCATAAATCTGGCAAATTGGTGAAATACCTACATTTATACTGCAACACTGAGATTTTCCTCCTTCACATAGACATCTCTAGATGTAGGTCCAGACAGGTTTGGAAGAAGTGGGTAGAAGTCACAGGGGGAGTCTCAAAGCCTCCGCAATCCGGGGAGAGCATACGTGCAGGTGCACACAGGGAAAGAGGGTGAGACCTGGGAGATGCTCACAGCGAGATGAGAGCCAGGAGTCCCCAGATAATCGATTTAAATTATCGGACAGGCCATATCATTATGTCAAATTGCTTGGTTTTCCTTTTGTTTGGAAAAAGCGTTATCCAGGCAAAGATAATGCTGCTTTTCAACCCACATTTGATCTCTTTCCCAATCATCCCACCCCACCTCGGCATCCGAGGACCCTGACGATAGACCAGGACTATTGCAAAGTGTAGGCTTCTATTTCACACCCATGTCATCTTTTACAGGATCCCTGTCCAAGGCCCTAGGGCCCTAGATCACCTGCTTATGTTCAGTGACTTCCTGAACTAGCTCTTTCGCCACAAGACCCTTGGAACTTTCTTCATGGAATGTAAACGCCTGGAGGGCTTCCTCTTACCTAACGGCTGTAAAGTCTGTAGCCTCATCCAAAACAGTGCCTCATGGAAAAGTAGATTTAGGATCTCAAAACGGACAGCATTAGCAAGAGCAGTTCAACCCACTTTGTTCAGGCGTCTTTTGTATGGCTCGAAACCACATTTCCCTCATGGTCAAAACATGACTAACTCCACTTGGAACTTGGCCAATACATCAGAACATGGCAGCATTCCTTTGAATTTCTTGATGAGGGACACTTTGCCAAAGATTGGCACATCTCCAGTTCCAACAGGCCAGCTGTAGACAGGAAAACAGCCTCTGTAAAAGTTGCTTCTAGTGTTGCCTCTAACTGGTCAGAGACTGCAGGGATTCGTTTTCTTTGGCTTGCATCCCTTCACGTTGGGCTTGGCGGCTTATGTTGATTTGAAATTCCGAGCCAACTTGCTGTTTCTCCAGCATCGGCACTTTCTTCTTCTCTTACTTCATCTTGCAAGATGGTGTGACGGTCCCCACCTTTAGCATTTTCCGAGGGAGCCGGTTAGCTCTTCATGCCTTCCAGGGCAGGGTGCGCATGGGCAGCCCCTCCTTCCTGTCTTGTCCTGGAGGGGAGACTGTATCTTACAGGAGGTGGATGGCCTTTTGCTAATTTTGGTTGATCGAAAAGCCACACATGTGTCTAAACCTATCTTTGCAAAAAGTCAATCCTATTCTGATAGAGCCTTTCTGGGAAATCTGAACTTGACTGAATTTCTTAAATTGTCCCTTTCTATGAATGGATCTTCAAAACTAAGAATTTCAATCAAGCATCTTCTATAAAAACACTAATGTTTCAATGACCAAATGTTGCTTCATGGTATAACCACATGTTATAATTTCTTTGCTTTAACCTTGTAATTGGTGACCCCTTTTATCTGTTACTTGTTGGATCTGGGTCAGCAAGATCTGTTGAGTGGGTCTCTCAAGCCCAGGAGCATGGACTGAGCCCCTCATGACTCGCAACAACTTTCTTTAGAATAATTCCCGCATGAGTCCTTTTTTATATTCTTTGTGTATATTTTCAAGGGTTTGGTTAATTTGTCCTGCAGCAGCATCGTCCCTGATTAACATCGTGATATTAAGCCATTCACTGTGTCCTGTAACAGTCTCTAATCGTTCATAAACACATAGTAGAAAGTGGGCCCCAATTACCCCCAAAATTATTCTCTACAATACATGTCAGCTAACAAATGGAACTTTCTGGAAATTTTCTTCTTGTCACTTCCAACACTGAATTGTGATATTTGGCCTTTAACAGGACATTCTTGATCATGGACAAAACAAATTTTCCAGATAAACTCTCGCTCTTGGATCCTCTAAGCTCTTAAACTTCCTGAGATAACACTTTGCCTGGTCTTACCCAAAGCAGCAAACATGGGACGTTTTGAAAAGAAAATCCATCACTTCATTGTCTAATTATGTATAATATGTAAACTGAAACTGGATTAAAATTTAACGTGCACCTGAATCTTACTCCAACTCTGGGACTGTTGCTTTCTTTGCTCCCTAGCCCATCTGGTGTGTCGAAGACATAGTTCAGAGGCTCAGAAGTCAGGGAGGAAGCCCCCAGGGTAAAAGGGACACTTCGAGGAGGCAGACGGAGGAGGGACACCCAGTTCCGAAAGCCTCTGTGCCTGGCAGACTTTTGCGCGTCGATGCTTTGAGGTGGAGTTCACCGTCACCTTGTATGCCCTTTCTAGGAGTCGACCTCACAGGGTCACCGTGAGCCCTGCCTGGCTGTGACGTTCACTGAGACCACAGGCCAAAAAGCGAAAAAGAATACATTTGTGCAAATTAGAGTTTTGGGGGGTGAGAACTCTGCCCACCATGAGCTCTGATTCTCAGAAAAGTTTCTTCTCGTGACATTTCATTTGCTAGGATTCCCTGAAAGAAACAGCAGGAAAGAGCTTGCAAAACCTATCAGAGCTGGTCAGCCTTTTCTTTTTCTTTTTCATTTTCTTAAGGAACCATATTCTCCCAGCCAGGAATTATGTTTTTCTGCTTCCAGATATGTGTGCCGTTGTTGACATGGGCATGGTGTAGGTATGACCAATGTGAGCCAAATACAAACTCATTTCGATCACAGAGAATTGGCTCTTAAGAGGAGCCAACAAATAGGCTTCCATTGATGCTTCGGTTGGCCAAATTAAGATTCCTCCTTATTATCCATGCCTTTATCTTATAATACCACGAGTCCCGACATTAGTGTAACTCCTTGTAGGAAAAAGAACCTTGGGACACTTGTTAGTTTTCCTGATGTCTCAGCCTGGACTGAGTCATCACGGCAGTGAGCAGATTGTACTTTTGGTCCCTTGGCCTTGCGATGGTCCCGTACGCGCAGTAGTCCCTAGGCTTGTATCCTAGGCATTTTCAGCTTGAGCATACAGGAATTTTAGCCACATCTAACACATCTTTTTAACCTGGTTACATGCATTTTAAAATACATCATAAATCAAAGAATTAACATTTTGAATGTAGGTCAAGATGTTGCTTTTTGCTAAGGCTACTTATTTCTAGACCATCCCGAGGCTTAGATTCTCCACTGTAAACTTAATGCAGGCACAGGGAGATTATTTACCAGGCTCTCCTGGAGGGAGATGTGAGCTTTGCTCACCCCACAGCTTCCATTGTTCGGGTGCAGGAAGGTCATCCGCTTTGACTGCTCACCAAGTTCTTAGGAATAATCCTCATTTCGGTAATCTTTTGCTTTCACAGTTTACAATAGTCAATCCACAGAACTCTGTGAATTACAACTGCCCTCGGCTGGGGTCTGGTTTCTTTACCAGGAGGCCGTATTTCCTTATCAGGGGAATGAGTTGACCTCTGTGTAAATTCAGCTCTTTTAGGACAGAAAGCTGTGTGATTTCAGCCTCCACATTGGGAGGAGAGCTAATGTGTGATCTCCCACTTCGAAGCTTGCTCCTGTAGCACCCTTGTTTCTGTTATAAAGAATTGAACCATTCGGCAGCTGACTTGGCTCACCCGAGAGCACCCGGGTGCACGTGATCAGCCATGCGCGTGAATGGGAATGTCTCGGGGGAGAAGAGGTGATGGCCTGGGGTTTCTCGGGTGTGGGTCACTCCCGTGCATAGCGTCCACTGGGGCTCCAGCAAGCACGGCCCAGGGCACGGGGATTGAGCTCCTGCCCCAGAGCCTTCCCCAGATCTGTGGTGGTACCCGCTTGTGCTGAAATACTGCAGGCTTGTAGGGTGCCTGACAATGGACAAAATGCTTCTGCACAGACTGTCACCTTCGTGAGGAAAGCGGGGAAGGGGTGCTTAGACCCATTTTACGGATGTGAGAACTGAGGAACAGGTGGTTGGACTGCCCAGTTGAGATGTAGAGACAATCGACTGCAAGGACAAAGCCTGTCTCAGAAGCTTTCCCACGCTTCATGCCTGCTCCTCAAAATCAGGGCAAAGCCCGAGCTCAGAATCTTCCCCACGCTTCATGCCTGCTCCTCAATCATTAATAACACCACCTTCAGTGTGCTGCTTTGTGATTGAGAATTAAAGGTTTACATTTAGCGATGACTACAGCCATACACATGCACACACACACAGAGAATTTATTTTTATTTCCACACTTGGCCTTGTGCAGTTTCCCTGTGACCCGCACAGGGAGCTGAGCTGAGACCCGCCCAGTGGTGGCCACCTCCCCAGCACTGTGCCACATCCCTGGTGGAAAGCTGACACGCCCACTCCTCACAATCAGCTGAATGCATTTTCAACTTGCTCCTCCAGGGACCCAGTGCTACCATTTACATTTTCACATCTGCAAATGGTTTATAAAGTTTGCACTACGGCATTTACAAAAAAAATCCTACAAAATACAGCCTATTGGAGTTTTATTTTATCATAATGAGTAGGAGAAATTAAAATATAGGAAATACAATTAAGCATAATACAGTAAAACTTCTAAAACAAGAATGTTTCAAAATGACTTCAGACACACACACACACACACACACACACACACACACACACACACACACGAACCTGCAAACCAACAATAAACCACCCAGGTCTTGGTTCACGGAGTTTCTTGTTGAGGGAAGATGAGCCAGAAATGCCTCGGTCTTTCCTTCTGTTTCTCAAGTCCACTGTCAGGGCGAGCCCAGCAGCAGGAGCCTCCCTAGGCCCAGTGGAAGAGGCTACAAGTGGGGAGGGTCCCTGCTGCGAATCTTTCTTCCTGCCTCCTCCTCCTCTCACAGTAAGCCTGAGACCTGGATTATTAAGGGAGGGACCCAGGCATTGGGGTTTGGGCTGAATCTGACTTCTTTTAACTAACTATACTGACGCACAAGCCAGCCAAAAACAAAACAACCACCACATCGAGAACCTTTAGTGTTCAGCTTTTTAAAGGGCTTGATGAAACATTCCTAAAGTTCTCCAGCAATATTTGAAACGCAGTGCAGGTCCGTCTGTTTATGCCTCGCCATTGTCTTGGTTTTGATGAAGAAAATATTAAAATTCACTGAGTAAAAACTCAGACTTGGGTAATACAAGGAGGCAAGAGGTGGCAGGATCAGAGGCCAGTGGCCAAGATGCTCTGCTTTTCATGGAGAGGTTCTTTGTGCAAAAGAAAACGCAGACCATGGGTTTTCCAGTCATTGGAGATCACTGTCAATCTCCCTGTGCCTCAGTTTCCTTCCCTGTGAAGCGGGACAGTACTGGTAGCAAGCACACACCTGACATTCAATACCTGTTACCACTGACAACAACTGTGTACAAAAATCCCCACAAAATGAAACTTTTCCATTTTTCATTTATATTTCATTATTCATTCTTCTGAAAACTAAATGAAACATGCTGCATGTAGACCTGACTGCCCCATCTACAGTCAGTTAAGAAAATAAAGTCTCATTTAAAAGTGTTCTAGCTACTCAGGAGGCTGAGGCACAAGAATCACTGGAACCCGGGAGGCAGAGGTCGCAGTGAGCCGAGATCGCGCCACTGCACTCCAGCCTGTGTGACAGAGTGAGAGTCTGTCTCGAAAAGTAAAAATAAAAAGAGCTTTCTCCATCTTACCTTACCTCATTCATTGCTCAGGCCAAGAATGTTTTTACCTTTGCAGCCTACACTTTGGCAGCGTCAGCATATTGTTTGCTGAAGAGAGGGTGGCTTCTACTGACATTTTATTTTATCTTTAATTTGCCATATTTACCGGCTTCTTGACCAAATTGATCTGTTTGCCTTAAGCCATCTAAAAGGCAGTTTTCAAGGATGGTGGCTTGATTGAACTCAGAGGTAGGGAGCTCGACTCTCCCAGGGAATTAAGGTAAATTCCTAACTGTTCACTGAAGCTGGCTTTGTGATGTTTTTGGTTTTTATTGTGACAAATTTTGGAACATTTTAAATTCAGAAGAAAATCATGAGGAAGATTTTTAATGAAATGTTTCTTAGCATTCCATTCTTTCATTTCAAAATTATGAAACATTTAATACAAACATCAGAAACTACTGAATTGTATTGCATACTTTCAAACAAAAATCATGTCATCAAATCAAATGTAAAATAATGCATCTTATACAACCTATTTCAAAAATTTTTAAATACATTGATTTTTTAACTTCCGGATGACTTTTTAATATATACAGTATTCCTGTCACACATGAACAGAAGGAAGAATTTATTGTCCTTATAATTGTAAGTACTGAAGTTTTAAAGTTATTTAAAATATATATACACATATATTACTAAACTATAAATATATATTATTACTTTGCACACACACATTTTTTGTTATTTTTTGGTCTAGGTTTCAAAGATGGACACATTTCCTTTCATGAGACATGTTACATTGTTTGAGGTCTCTTCATATTTCACACCTAATTAAATTTGGCCTCTTCTAATTTGGAGGAATTCTGGGCTCCTCTGGAGTGGCTCTGAGAAGTGAGCTTTCTTGGACTTCATGGGCCCCCACATCTGACTCTGGGCAGCAAGAAGGATGAGAAGCCAGCACTCTGTGATGGGAGAGTCTAGTCAGAATGAGGAGGTTATGTTGTCCTTTAATTGTACATCTGAGGTTTTAATCTAGTAAACACTTCACTAATTTATAGTTCCCTGGAGCAAAATGAATGAAATTGGAAATAAAGTAGATGCTCCCTTTGGGAAATGATTGACAAGGATTTGGGATTTCCTGGCCATTTCAGGAGAGACTCGTTCTCTCCCAGGCGCTTTCTTGAGTGAAAGGCTTTGAAGGAACTCAAGGGCCGTTGGGTGCACAGGGGCCGGGGAAGCAGGAAAGCTCACAGCCACGTCTGCAATTTCAACCTATTGCTGTGCTCTCTCTTACATGTGATCTGTGGCCTTCCAGGGGTGGTGACTCAGGGAAATTACTTCTCTTCTCTTCTCTTGTATTGTTTTTTTGCATTTTTACAGAAAGAGGTTTGTTTCTGACACTAGTCAATTCCATTTAATGACATTTTAAAAGTCCCTAGGTTCTACAGGTGATTACATGTTTCTATTCATGAATGAGAGATGGAGACATCTCGTCTACCTCCAAAGAGAAATTGAGAATATTATAAGAATGTAAAGAGGTTGGACATCCCACACTTACCTGATGTTTTTAAGAAAAAGCTTTCTAATAATTAAAATAAAATGTGACTTGGTTATGGAAATGAGAGCCTGAAATGCCCGATGGAGCTTTCTGGGATGAAGTTGCCTGTTCTGTGCTGTCCCACATGAAAGTCACAAGCTGCTTGAATGAGGCTGCCGTGGCTAAGGAAGTGCATTCTTGATCGTATTTCATCTTCATTAATTCAAACTTAAATGCCCACATACACCAAGCAGGTGTACACACTGGACAGTGCCCAAGAGAACCTTACACTTATTTTATATTGTTCTTTGTGTGGTTTTTACTACACAAAGAACAAGAGAAATTATCTTAATTCTAATTAGAATTACATTCTAACAAACGTGTAGGAATATTCCATTTCTGAAACTGAACAGTTTATATTTTTTAAGCATCTGGCTTATACTACTAAGCCACTGACAAACAGTTTAATAATTTTTTATTAATATACTGGTATCTTTTTTTGTTTAATGCAGTTTGTAGACAGATTAAATGTGAAGTAAATGTCAGTGTTACCATTTTCAGAATGGAATACCTGCAAGCTGCACGGTGAGATGAGTGCAAACCTCACTGTTTGGGACGAGCACTGGGGCAGCACTCAATAGAAGTTACTGGAAAGACTCAGTTACACTATTGTGAAAAACCATGCAACTTGATTACTTTCAAGCATGGGCAGAAATTCACATTTAGTTAATCAGGTGTTATCAAAGAGAGGGCCACAGGCCACCTCCTTCAGTGACTAAATAAACCCGACGTAATTAACACATACATGGCTAATAATTGGGGCCTTCAAGTTCTTGGAAGCCTGTTTCCACCTGTATCTTCGATATTTCTCTCCCAAGCTTGCTGATGCATTAATTAGCACTACCTGCAGAGAAAAGCTTAGTCCACGGAGGGGGACCCCAGCACTTCCCTGGTCCCAGTTAGTTTTCATGTTGAATTAGGAAGATGTCATTATCATGCATTTTTTTTTTCTACAATTTAGGATACAAACAGGTGACCTATTTTAGGCAATTTTTGGTCTCAGAGCCAACTGAGAGCAAGCAGAGTTCAGCAGAACTGCTCACAGCCATGGCCGCGCCCGGAACCCCTGCCTGTCCCAGCACAGGCGTGCGAGCAGCCAGGTCCCATTCCTCAGCTCTCACCGTTCATGTCCCTCTCCCTTGGCCAAGTGCTGATGGCGTTCATCATGCACTCTTACTGAACAAGGATAAAAAATCTACCTGATATATAAAAGCACCTGCTTCTGGCACAAATGCATCCTCTTAGCAAAGGGGAGAAAATATCAGTCGAGCAAGGAAGTTTTTCAATGACTTTTTGGACATAAACCTAATATAAGCTCAAAAAATTGAGAAAGAAAAGACTTGGAAAAAAGAAAAAATATGTATAAACTCACCACTCTCACAGATATGTTTGCATTTTTGTGCAATCACAATGTGATTGAAACCTGCTTTTCTGCTTAGCATATAAGTCATATATCTTATTTTTAATCGCTGCATCATATTTCGGGGAAAATGTGTTTTTGCAGCTTCCATCATAGCCAACAAGTGATAAAAGTCTCCAGCACCAGGAATCCAGGCATTCTGAAGCCTGTGTTCTCCATGAGGGCTCCTTCCTCACCTATGCAGCTGCAACCACGGGGGTCTCCCCAGAGCTAGGGTGATGATAGGCAGAGCTTAGATGCTGAAGGGCTTTGCGGAGTGGGTTTTTCTGCTGCAGGGTTATAATTTATCCTACAGAACCACGGACTGACTGTGTGGTGTTCTCTGAGCTGTGGTCCTCCCGTGGGACCCTGGTCATAAGGAGACTCAGCTTGAGTCTCCAGCAGGGTGAGCAAGCCATGTCTGCGTCCTCCCCTGGTCTGACATTTGGGGAGACGGCGGACACATAGTCCCAGCATGCTTAGAAGACATCGGGATGCCAGCAGAGGAGGGGCAGGGAGAAAGTTCTAGAGCAGCAGAGCTGCATAGGCATCAGATCACCTGAGGTCACTGGTCTTGGCAGGACTTTAGTTCTGTCCTGAGTGAGACGTTGCTTCTCAAATCTCCCCGATGTCTTGCAGTTAGAGGCCAGTCCGGAGCCCTGGCAGTGGGGTGCAGGGCTGGGATGGGAGGCAGCAGGTGCTGAGGTTTCAATGGCGGCACGCATAGGGTCAGCTGCGGGGACTCAGTGTGGGCGAACAGCATCCAGGAGAGTCACCCAGAGGTCCACTCTGGCCACGGGCCATGGGGAAAGGTTGCCGGGGTGAGGGGTAGGCGCGGGCTCAGGAGCCCCAGATGGACGGGGGGGTCAGGGTCCCTGCAGGAGCTGTGTGGAGAGTGGAGGAGAGGGATGTCGTGCATGTGTGGGGGTGCTCTGGGGGCCTGTTCTCAGGCTGGACTCGGAGTCCTGGGCACGGATGGCACGAAGGCCACGCGTGGACGCATCACCAGGCAGTAGGTGTTGACAGACGAGGATGCCAAGACCCACCCCTTCTCACTCTCCCAGACTCTGGGGCTCAGGCCCACGCCCTGAGTCTGTTGCCACCCCCAGCGAGAGGGGCCCACAGAATCCGATTTTCTGGGAATTAAAATAACTACAAAATTTGGAAATTCCATCACAAAGATTTCTTCTCCAAATGTGCTACTCACCTGAGAGTACAGCATTCCCCTGCACATCACTGAAAATACCCGGGAATCAGGCGGCCAAAGAGACTTTCAATATCACTGCAGCCCTCAACCTCACCGCAGATGTGCACGTGGACAGAACTGTACTCCAGAAACCCGAAGTGTACATCTTTGTTAAGATATAACTACTGGGGATTATTTAAATAAGATTAAATAATGCGTTTTTCCTGTAACACATGAACAGAGAGATAGGGGCCCACTTTCAAGGGTAGAGAAGTTCACCAGCACAGCTGCACTAAGAGTGCAGAGCCCTGGGGTGGGAGAGGGAGCAGCGAGTTAATTCTTCCTCACTGGACCCTTGAACAAAGCAGGCCGAGGCTTAGGTGTGGCATCACTAGGTCAAGAAAGAATCGGAATGAAGGTCTTCTAGAGGAGATTTCTTTCCTGGCAATAATCTGATTATCAAACACGATCTGCTTCCGCTCATCGATCCCCGGACATCCACCCTTAGTAAAGTCTGGTTGCCTCCTGGCCCAGTGCTTGGGGACAGAGACAGAACGGCAGTGAGGCCGGGAGGGAAACTGAGGCACTCGCCTTCTCCTCAGAGAACTGCTTTGATTTTGCCTTGAACAGGAAGGATGGGACACATTCAGAGATGTGCGAAGTATTTCACCACAAGGCTTGAAGAGAGCGTAAGGAATCTGAAAATGTATATTTCTGTATTCTTAAAGCAACCATTTAAAATGTATGCATGTCTCTTGGTGCAAGGACCACGTCACGCCCTTCCCTCTTGGCCCTTGGCAAGGCAGGCACACTCTCTTGAAATGGACTTCCTTGGCCTCCCTGTTTTCTGAAATCCAGGCTGTTCACCCAGGCCCAACACCAGCACAATGTGCGACTCTCTAAAGGTCCAGTTTCCCGCCTCAGGATGTCACTGTGACCTTTCCCCGCAGCGATCGCACTCACCCCGGCAGCTCTATGCTCAGTCAGTATCTTCCGCCTGCGCCGGAACATAGAAGCCTTGGGGTAGGACGCCAGGCTTCCAGATTTGAGCCTCTCCCTGATGGCGCCCCTCAGCACATGTTGCCCATTGTTTAAAATCCAGGCCTTTAAGTAAAAAAGCTAATGAATAAATGAGAATATACTTATCTGCACCAAACAGCTCTGTGAGGAACGCAAGGACTCTGGAGGGAGGACCACGGATGGGCCAGCAGACGGGCCGCCAGGTGACCTCAGAAAGGAGGCTGCCTGTCCAAGCTCCGGGCTCTTCCTTAGTGAGGGGAGGGGCTGGCAAGATTGTCAGAAGTTCACGCGAGCCTGAAAATCCCGTTGCCCTAGGTGGAAATGGGGCAGGAGGATGGCTGAGGCCAGCATGTCACCTTTCCATGAGGACAGCTGTAAGACTGGCTGCTGGAGTTGCCTGCAAGTGGGATCAGGTTGCAGCATCACATGGAGGTGGCAAACGGCACGGGCAGAGGGACGTGGCTCCCTCTGGCTCTGCCACCCTGTGTCCGACATCATCACCTGCAGCAGGGCCTCAGACGGGGGAGCAGGTGATGGAGGAAGGACATCCGGCCCAGCCGCTGGACCACAGGTTGGTGGAAGCCACATCATTGCCCATTAGGTACGCCTGGCTGCCCCCCATCATGCCCTGAGCCCACATGGCCCGTCCACGGCCCTCCCCACAGCAGGGGAGAGGATCCCAGGGTGCAGCTGAGAGATAAGTCTGGCCAGTGCTAAAGAAAGTCAGCAGAGTTTGACAATCTTAACCAACGTGAAAACACTTAATAAAATAAGGAAAACACAGCACTTTTCCCCCTGTTACATTAGCTTGTCTTCACAAAGCAGGTGACCTTCCGTGCCCATTTCACAGATGGGGAACCTGAGGCTTCTTGTGGAGAAATGACTTGTATCTTTCCTTTGAAACTCATATTCACCTCCTACATTTAAAATTCATCTTGGGGGAAAAAAAAAAAAGAGCGTTTCCTGTTTTCCACACCTGGGTTGTTTGTGGAGGGAAAGGAGAAGAATATTGGGTTGCTGAGAACATGGGCATTCATCTCAGGCCGGCACGCAAACCCCTGGATCTGTGTCCTGGCTGCCCTCTCCTTGCCCTCTCCCTGTCCTTCCCCCGACTGTAGATTTCCTGTCACTTTCTTCGTGCCCTGTCCCATAGAATCCAGTATCTTTGACCATCCCTCATAGAGTCCGGTATCTTTGACCATCCCTCTCCACCCCTCTCCATCTGGGTGGTGGTCATTAGATGGAAGACACTGAGCCATCAGAACTCATCAGGTGCTGAATTTTCAGGCCAAATAGCTTTGAGTGTATTCTACTCTTTAGAACTTGTCTACTCTCAGGAAGTCAAGATCTATTTGTCGAGTTTTTCTATTCTTATTCCTTTGTTTGTTTTATGTTAAATCTGTCATGTTTTCAGCTGAAGCTCACAGGTGAGGGTCAGAGCTCTCTGAGCGCTCCCCAGCAGGCCAGCACCCTGAGTCTGGGATTGGGGCTTTCTGTGCACCCAGAATGGTGCCTGATGCCTGCCAGATGCTGAACAAATCATCAGTGAATTTAATTGAAGCAAAAATCTCAGTCATTCTTATTAATGCTGGCATTTCAGGAGGGCATCTGTAGCAATTACAATGCCATGTGCCTGACTGAGTTTGGGTTCAATCAGCTCTTACTATCAAATAACATGGCAGTGACTTGTGGCCTCTCCATGTACAGCCTCGGAGGCGCTGGCATCTCTCTAAGTATTTCTCATTTTTTTCTCATATCATGACAAGAGTTTTTGTCATTGAAAAATGTCTGCCTTTAGCTTTTAATTCCCAGGGATATCAAATGGAGTAAGATTTTAGGTAAAATAAAAATAGTTTAACATTTGTTTTTAATTTTATTATATTTGAGATCCACTATTTTCTGTAAAAATGTATATATTTTAAAATATAGTCTGAATATTTAAATTGCATTGATAAAGTTTCCTTAAAGGCCTGGAAACATTTGAAAACCTGGGAGGGTCTCAAAACATGCTGTGAGGCCATGACCCTGGAGAGCGGACCCTCTCTCCACCCGTCAGCAGCACCTGTGATTTCTATGGCCCCTCTGCAAAGGCCAAGGCAGGAGGCAGGAGCTGGGGCAGTGATTATGAGCACAGCCTTCAAAGCCAGACTGCTGGCTTCACTCCCTGGCTTGGCCACCCACAGGCTGTGTGATCCTCAGCAAGTTGCTTAACCTCTGTTTTCCCCATCTACACAGTGAGGATCATGCTGGCCCCTACCTGAGAGGTCATGATTATAAAATTAAATGGGCTCATGTTTGTAACGTGCTTAGAATAGCACCTGGTGGTGCCCAAAATAAGCTGTATAAGCATTTATTACAGAAAAGAATTAAATCCCAGAAAAGACAGGTAAGAACCAGCCCATGAATGGCCTGGAGTTTTGAGACTCTGTGGAGGAGGGAGGGCATGTCAGAAAAAAGAGGACAAAGATAATTAACAAACTAAAATTTATCCCACTTCCAGCAAGGAATGAAATAAAACTTCTTATACTTGAAATTCCAACAACCAAGATCAAAATATTTCAAAGATAAAAGAATTCCATTTTTCGAATATATCTTTGCCTTATTCTAATATGGTACAATTTAAAAATATTCAGACTTGTAGATCAGGCTGAAAATCATCAAATAAAAATGTTGACCAGCCCACAAGCCCATGGCTGATCTAGTCCACACCGCTGCCTTCTCCCTGTCCTCACCACTTTCCAAATTCTAAACCATTTTCCTAGCTGGCATATTTTGGTCGTCTTATTCTCTGTCATTTCTTTATTTTTCAAACTGCCTTAATTCTGGCTTCAGTTCTACCTTTCGTTGGATGACATGTGTGTGAGGGTGAGAACGTGATGGAAACGGAGGCACTTTTCATGCCCTGGTGGATGACTGGGGGTCGGAACATAGCTCTCCGAGACAATGATGGAGACATCCAGAAATCTCCTCCCTTCTGTTTCCCGTTCATGTAGATTCCAAGCCAGACCAGTCCCCAGGCTTCTTGGGGCAGCCTCTTTTACAGAAGATTAGACTTCCACTTCCCCAGGTACACACTAGCTCCACCTTCATGCGGCTGCACCAGCATCACCTTGATCAGTTACCCATCAAGTACAATGCGAGGTGCTCCATTGTCTCTACGAATAATGCAGCTCATACAATGCGCCTCCTCCAGAATCCATGTGGCGCTTCCGAGTTTCATGTCTCAGCGATGACCTCTGTTGCAGCTTCAGCTTGGATGGTCACCTCTTACTATCAGTGATAACAATTTTGGTTTGAATCCTGAGCTCTCTTATCCATGCTAGTGGCATCTTATACTTGCAAACTCTTCACTTCTTTCAGAATGTTGTGTTATCATTTGACCCACACAAGAATTTTTTCAACACATACTTGTTTAAGCCATTCTTATTGTGCCAGGCCCTGAAGAGGCTGAGGACTGAGGTGGCCTGAGAGCCTGGGGAGCAGCTGGGCCGGGCATCTGCCCTGTGAGATGAGGGGAGGGGCACAGGGACCCTCGATCCAGACCCTTCACCCCTCTAGCCACCTGGGCTTCTGCAAGTCAATTCAACTTTCTGAGCTTCAGTTTTCTTATCTAGAAAAAGCAACAATACCCTCTGCCCTCCGGCTTCACTGGACTCATGTGGGGTCCCACAGGGGCACGCTGTGTCCAGCTCTCTGCAGAGGACTGCGGCTGCAGGGCATGAATTGGTATCCCGGTTCTCCAGGCCAGGGAACTGAGGAGCAGAGATAGGAGGGGCCCTCCCGGAATTCTCCAGCAGCGGCGGCTTCCAGCCAGGTCTGGAGGCAAATCTTCCCACAGAGTCCCCTCCATCAGCGCACGGAGACACGTGATCTTGGCACACAGAGATTTCCGTAGCACTTCAAGGGTTAAATTAGTTGCCTAAGAGTAGAGGTTTTACTTTAGACATGTAAAGTCACTTGATTTTCAATCCATCAGAATCATGACTTTCTGTGTTAGCAGACTCTGGAAACCAGGAAGGGCCACGGATTAGACCGACTCTCAGACCCAGCTGCCCCTCCTCAGCTTCTTCTGTCTCACCTGCATTTCCTGTCCCTTTCCTCTCCCTCTGCGGGGAATTTGTGATCCATTTAAAATTGTTCGTGGATCCCGTGCACCAGCACACAGCCCCAGCCTAGGGCAGGGCGGGTAAAGCAGAAGACCAGTGAGAAACGGATGGTCCAGATGCCCAGTGGGCAGCTCGCAGAGCTGGGTCTCCACACACTGCAACCTGCTTCCACACGTAGGACACTTTAGCAGTAACTTTCAGAAATGAATATTGTACTTCCATTAAAATTGTAATGCTGCTTTTCACAGAGACAAGATTTCAACCCAATCTTCCGTAACTGGAGTAGCAAACAATGTTGATTAACATTTTTCAGTGTGCCATAGGCTCTGACAAATCACATAAAGAGAAAACACAGATCGTGTAAAATGTCCCTTTTGGAGTTCTGCCTACAACAGCATGATTCAGAGTTCACGATGGACTTGCCTGGCCAGGTCTTGTCTACAGGAGAAGAGGAAAATTCTTTCCAAATGAGGTCTTTGGCCCAAAATCACCAACTGAAAAGAGACCCCTGGTCACTGAGGCAAGACTGGGCCATTTCCACAAGCTCCTAGTGCCAGCAGACCGACCCTCTATGGCCACCTCAACCCTATCCTGTCCTGCTGTGTGTTTGAGAAGTTTCCAGGCTGCTGCTCTCTGGGGCAGAGTCATTCATGACCTTTCCATAGCCACACAGAACAGGGAGGGAGCTGAGGAAGGAGAATGCCAGGGAAAGACCTATCCCCCAGCACCAAGCAGGCTAGAAGTCCTGGACTGAGCCTTCAGATCAGCGTAATGGGACAGAGAGCTTGAGGACTCCTCCCCAAATCCATGCAGCTTGGGTGCACTTTGGATTTCTGCCAAAGCAACAAGCTTTCTCTGCACCGTGAAATGATTTCAATGAATAGTTTCAATGCAGAAATTCTCATTACTAGAGTCAGCATCTTCATGAGTCACCATCAGAACTGACATCATGCAACAGGTAGAGGAGAAGAATGCCCTCTGAGTTCGACTTCTCGGCTCTGAAAAATCGTCTGACAACCCTGATGGCTCATCAACCTTACAAATGGTCAATTTTTCAATGCAATGGATGAAGGCTGTTTATTTTTAATGTCGTTTGAATTTAAAGCACTTATTAGGTGACTAGCTTGTTTCCTGGTATGGAAATTGGAGATCTGTGTGGTATAGTGAGCAGACACTGGCCCCAGATTCAAACAGCCTTGGGAGCTCCTGGCTTGCCACTTGCTGGGAAACCTGAACTTAGTACTTGGTTTTCTTCAAACCTCAACTTCTTTCTGAAACTGGGATAATGATAATAATCATCTTCCAAGTCTAAGATGAGGACTAACTTAGATGAGTTAGCCTGTAAGTGCCTGATACTGTGTCTGGCAAACCGTAGGTAATCACTAGATACCACAGACCAGAACAGAGAGAAACGGCAGCATGAAGTCCTGCCTGCCTCATCACCATTCCTTCCACCTTAGAACTAAATGCTTCTCCCCGAAACCAGGGCGTTCTCATCATCTTGGAGCCTGTGAAGTGTGTAGGGCACGGAGTCCCATCTCTGTTACACCGACCACATGCAGGCACACACACAGGCTCACGCACATGCGTGCACCGGCACCGTGCACAGGACAAGGAGCCTCCAGGGAATGCAGCTGGCTACTGGGGAGGACTTGGAGTGCCAGGTCTCATGAGACCCCCAACTCAGTGCCCTTCCCAACCGGCTGCGCCATCGTCCCTGAACCACTTTCTTAGATGAAATGTCCAGGGCAGTTGGACAACACAACCCAGGTCCAGGACTGTGTGCTTTGTCTCTGGTGGAGGTACAGTGGCACGTGGAAAAGAGGATAAGTCCGGGACTGTGTGCTTTGTCTCTGGTGGAGGTACAGTGGCACGTGGAAAAGAGGATTGCAGCTAACACGTGATTCTGGTTTCTGTTTTGACTGTGCATGGACCGGTGAGGCACAGACCATGCCCTGGTGGCCATGCCAGGAGGCAGTCCTGGCTGAAGCTCTAGCACCCATGGCCTGCGGAAGCTCAGTGACAGCTGGTGTGTGTTCCAAAGGTTCCTGGGCTGTATATCCTTATCTCTGCTGAGGGCTGGTTAAGCTGAACCTGGTGTCACTGAGAGGCCTTCCCCTCTCCCGGGAGCCCACTCCCATGGCCACCACACCTGAGGGCATCTCCCCTCCCTCCTCGGTGCCTGGCAGCGCTGCAGTCAAGGAGCTGATCCAGGCTCTCAGGTTTCCTGCACACGGTAGAACCAGCCTGCACCGCAGGGAGGAGGGGGGAGGAGGGAGCCTAGCAACCGTGTCTCCATAGCAACGCTCGTCTGCATCCCCCCTGCCTCTCAGCCCCAGGGCAGGCCCACGAGTGCCAGAGAAGGGGGGCACAGAGAAGGCAGCCTGAGGAATGGACCCCCTTCCCTTCCTAAGCCTTCAAAGAGCCTTCCTCCCTGGCTGGGGACGCCTGCCCTGCCTTCGGGGCCGGGGAGAGGGGGCTCTGGAGACCTGCTCCTTGCCAGTGCTGATAAGACAGGAAAATTAAAAACCACTGCAAGCCTCTCATCCTCTAAGATCCTTCCCAATTATCAAGGGTTTCTTCCTTCCTTCCTTCCTTCCTCTTCTAGAAAATCATTCCTATTCTTTCTTTATAGCTTACATAACAACAGATCATTTTTAAAAGGAGATTCTTTGCCTAAGAAGCACATTTTTGATATTATGCAAGTGCAGGTTCTATGAAAATACACTCTGAGACAGACACATTTTTAAATGATTTTCTTAAACATCAGAGCCAAGGCCGGGCGCGGTGGCTCACACCTGTAATCCCAGCACTTTGGGAGGCCAAGGCGGGCAGATCACCTGAGGTCAGGAGTTCAAAACCAGCCTGGCCAACCTGGTGAAACCCCATCTTTACTAAAAATGCAAAAATTGGGCATGGTGGTGCACGCCTGTAGTCCCAGCTACTTGGGAGGCTGAGGCAGGGGAATCACCTGAACCCAGGAGGCGGAGGTAGCAGTGAGCCAAGATCACGCCACTGCACTCCAGCCTGGTGACAGAGCAGGACTCTGTCAAAAAAAAAAGAAAGAAAAGCATAGAGCCAAAGTTGCTTCCCATTGAAGGTTTACTAAATAAAGATAGATATTTCTAACATGAAATTTGCCACAGTCAGCAGCCCCACCCTCCCGCCATAAGATGTTCTTTTATTTGGAACAGTTTTGGGGAAACAAATTAATGGAGAATAGCTAATGTAATGAAGGTAATGTGTGAACAATGACCTTCATCTACATATTCACATTAATGAGCATATCTATATCTAATCGGCAAACTTTCATTGCATCCAGACTGCCATGAGGGGGAATTGCAGACAGAGGCATATGCAGCCTCCATCCTCTCTGGAGGAGAGCCAGAGAGCGCCCCGAGGTCCCCCACCCCCAGAAACCTGTGGACGTGGCTGCCAGGACCACTCTTGGCATCTGCCATTCACTGACTTGACTTTCTCCTAATCCTCCTCTGACAGATGAGCTTCCTCTCCCCAGCCAGAGGCAAGGAACACCCTTGAGACTGAAGTTGAGGACTTTGGATTCAAGTTGGTGATTAGTAGTGCAGGAAAACCTGCCAGACGTCTGAACCCAACCTCCAGGGACGAGACATGGGATAGGCAGGAGGCAAGGGCGCTGTGGGGCACCGGGGTGAGAGCCAAGACAATGGGGCCTCTGAAAGATGCTCATAGCCTGAGTCCTGTGTGCGACCCTCGGTTTACTTCCCAGCAAGGGTGACCCTCGGTTCATTTCCAGCAAGGCCCCCCTTCATCCACACCTTCGCCCAAGGTCTCCCTGACAGGCGCCCTCACCCCACACCCTTTTCTCCACTCAGTGACTTCCTGGGGCTGAAGCTGCTTCCCTGGCACTGCTGCACTCTGTGCTTGCTGTGAGCAAGACTCTGTCTCTCTCCCTCCGTCTCTCTTTCTCTCTCTCTCCCTTCCTCCCTCCCTCTCTCCCCCAACCCTCTCTCCCTGGCTGCCCCTCTCCCTCTCTCCCCCATCCCTCTCTAGCTGCCTGCTTTACTCTCTCTCTCTCTCTCTCTCCTCCCTCTCTCTCTCTTTCTGTTTCTCTCTCCCTGCCTTTCCCCACCCTCTCACTCTCTGCCTGCCTCTGTCTCTCACCCTTTCCCTCTCTCTTTCTCTGCCCATCTCTCTCTGCCCTCCCTCTCTGACGGCCTCTCTCTCTCCCCCTCCCTCTCTCTCTCCCCCCTTCTCTGCCTCTCTCTCTCCCCCTCCCTCTCTCTCTCTGCCTCTCTCCCCCTCCCTCTCTCTCTGCCTCTCTCTCTCCCTCCCTCTCTGCCTCTCTCTCTCCCTCCCTCTCCCTCTCTCTCTGCCTCTCTCTCTCCCTCCCTCTCCCTCTCTCTCTGTCTCTCTCTCTCCCTCCCTCTCCCTCTGCCTCTCTCTCTCCCCCTCCCTCTCCCTCTCTCTCTGCCTGCCTCTCTCTCTCTCCCCTTCCCTCTCCCTCTCTCCTTGCCTCTCTCTCTCCTCCCAACTCTCTCTCTCCCCTTCTCTCTCTGCCTGCCTCTCTCCTCCCACCTCTCCTCCCTCTCTCTCTCTGCCTCTCTCTCTCTCTCCCACTCTCTCTCTCTGCCTGCCTCCTTCTCTCTCCTCCCCCACCTCTCTGACTGCCTCTCTCTCTCTCATCTTCGTAAGGCCATCATGATCCACACCTATGGAAGCTGTGGGCAGCAGGCGACGGGGCCAGAGGTGTCTGTGGAGCCTTGATCCTTTGTCCACTCACAACACCCCATGGTCCTGACTCTGCCTAGCTCTGACCTCTGTTTTAAGTGATCTTCCTTTTTTATAAAAAAGATCCCCTTGGCCATGGTCTCCACCTCGGCTTGACCTACCTGCTTCCATCTGGCCTGTACTTCTTCCCACAAGGCATCTCCAGGCCGCCTCCTGGATGCTTCGAGCTGCTCCATCGCAGGCAACTTCCTTTCGCACCTTTCAGTCCGCCCCTGCTGCAGCACTGTCACAGACAGCCCTTGGACACTGTAGCTCGGAGGCTAAACCCAGTGCCTCTGAGGTGGGACAGCTTGGGTTCAAAGCCCACTCCTTGCCATGGGCAAATTCCTGAATGCCTGTGCCTATTTCATCTGAAACAGGGTTGGCAGCAGTAGCCTCTTGCTCAGGGGACTGATGGGAACAGCAAGTGAGCAGGCAGCGTGTGGAGGAAGATGTTGTAAACACAGTGCTGCTGGCTCTTCTCATGGGGTCGTCTAACCCACCACGCGCCTTGTGTACTGAGCATGTACTAAGTGCTGGCTCTTCTTACCCCTGCAGAGCTCACAGGCCTTCTTGCTAACCTGTGAAAGTGCACTAGTCCCTATGTGATCACCTGCACCACCACGCAAAAGAAGGCTGCCAGCCTCCAGGAGATCCGGGACCTCTGTAACCTGGCCTAGCTGCTTAAAAAAAAAAGAAAAAAAACAAGGAGGGGGAGCTAAAATTCTCTGCACTTTATTTAGTTCTTTAGTCCTCACAAGGATCCTAACGATGCGGATGGGCATTATTTTTCCTATTTTACAGATGCAGAAACTAAGGCTCAGAAAGGTTCAGGGACTTGTTCTGAACACACGCCACACCAAGGGAATGGCAGAGCCTCAGGCCAAACCCGGTCTGGCTCTCTGACTCCGGGGCTCTTTGGCCACACCCCTGAGTGCCTCAGCCTCAAAGCCCACAGGAACCCCGCACGGCCGCAGGAGCAGGGCTGCTGGCCAGGTGTGCAAGCAGCTGGGCTGGAGGGGGTGTCCCTCAGCCCCGTCAGCCCCCTCTCACATCCAGTGCAGGTCCCACCTTTGTCTGCACCTTCCCCAAAGCAGGCGCTGAGTCCACCAGCCCCCAGCCCAGCTCTCCACACAGACGCCCAGGGACTCAGTACCCGGGGCAGATGCGGTAGCCTGGAGGGTTAGCACGCTGACACCCACACGGGCGCCCTTCCCCCGCCTCCCCACAAGAGCACCTGGTGGGGACAGCACCCTGGGGCCCATAGAGCAGCATCCTCTGGCAGAAGCCTGATGACAGGAAAAGCCAGAGCCTAAATAGAGTGGAAGCTCAGCAATCGGGCACAACTAAGCCAGGCTGAGCCCCAGCTCCCAGCTGAGAGCCAGGAAAGACACTTGGAACAGGCCAACCCCTCTGGCAGCAGCCACCATCCTTCACCAGCTCTGCGAGCCTGGCATGTGGCTGGCTCCTCAGAACCTGTAGAGCATGAAGGCTGCCCCGAAGTGGCTGCTGAGGAGGCTTCAAGCAGGGGCCAAGAACCTCCCACACCTCCTTCTGTTCTGGGAGACATTGAGGGCAGAGATGTTGTGGAGGGGAGCTTCATGTGTGGAGGGGCACCCGTGCCTCCCATCCGGGCTCAGCCCTGCCCTCCCAGACCCTGAATAAACGAGATGCCTGAACACAGAGACAGCTCTGCGCAGGAGGCAAAGCGGGAGCTCAGCCTGGGGACGGCGACTGGGGGACAGGGCCAGCTCTCCCCTGGGGAGTGTCCAGCAAACTTTCTGTGGGGCCCCATGTTGAACGGGAGCCAATAGGACAGACAGGGCTGCAGACACGAAGTCGGCACATGCCTAGCTGAAGCTGGGAAGGCCGGAGCTGGCAGGGAGGGAGCGGCAAGACTGTGGAGGGCCTGCTGGAGACTGGATGCACCCATGGCAGGGAGGGCTGTGGAGACTCCGTGGAGGGTGCAGCCCCTAGGCAGGGGTTTCCAGAAGGCCCCGGACCTGCCAGGTCTGCTGGGGGCTTTCTTTCTGCGTGTTGGGGAGGACCTCAAACCACATGGCCCTCACACTAGAGTTGCCCTCCCCTGAGCATCCTGTCCCCTAAGAGCCGTGGAAGCCTCCTGGAATTCCCTGAAGAGGCATCTTTGTTTCCCAGAGGGAAGGCACAGCCCGGCCTGTCACCATCCACCTGGGCCATGTCAGGCTGTGAAGAAAACCTGCAGCCGCAGCCCTGGGGGGCATGAAGGCCAGTGGCAGGCGCCCATCCAGCCACCTTGTGATGCTCCTGCACTTCTCAGCAGACCCCAGCGGTCCTTGAGCTCCTCTCCTGAGGGTGAGCTCCACCACCCAAGGCAGCCGTTCTTTCCTCCGTCAACCATGGTTAGAGGCTCCTCCCGAGAGGGAGTCCCAAGACATTTATGAATGTTCAGAACAAGATTTCTTTCTGCCTTATAACATCTACTTCCCATCTATTTTAAAGGAGTCATTTGTTTCCCTCCTCTTCTCTGAGCTAACTATCCCCCCAAATATCCCCAAATGCCCCCCCCTTTTTTGTTTCTCAAGTGACATGGTTCAAGTCCTTCCACTGTCGCCACCACTGTCGGAATACAATCGGCACATACCGTTTCTATCCCTCCTGGGGTCGGGCTGGAGCGGGACATGCCATTTCTATCCTTCCGGGGTTTGGGCCTGGAGTGGGACATGCCGTTTCTATCCTTCCGGGGGTCGGGCTGGCGCGGGACAGTACTCTGCAAGCGTGGCTGTCACACTGCTGTGGCGTCATGTGAAAGGAAGTCTGTGGGGATGAATGTCGGAATCTCAACACATCTGAGCTCAGTCTTCTCACCCTTGGGTGGATTGCAGTTTTCTTGTTGTTTTGCTCTTGTAAGCACATCTTCATTTTTTTCATCCAGCCTACTTTCCCTAACTTACTCTTGAAACAGATTCCAGATGGGAAAGGGCCTGTGCTTCTCCTGCAGGTGGCCAGCGTGGACTAAGCCTGCTGGCAGCACCTTGGCTTATAGTCCCAAAGGCCACAGGATCCGTGAAAACAGCACACTCCACACTCAGTTCTCCTGAGTTAGGGATCTTTGGTTAAGGCACCCAATAGAAAGTCGAGAGCCTCAAGGAAGCAGGCCCTGTTTTTCTCTCCAAGAGTTCAGAGCAGGGATTGAGCCCCAAAGCTACCACCATCTCCATGGGGTGCCCAGCATCTCACATCTGGACACGCTACCATTCCCAGTGTCCATCTGGGCCAGCCCTGTATCCCTGGCCTCCTGGATCATTCCAGCGTTGTGAGCCTCCTGTTGGACACCAGAGTCTCCAGGATCTGTGGTGTATTTGTAATGCACCTGCAGCAGCTCCTCCTCTCCTCTCCTCCTCCTTTCTCCTTCTTCTCCCATCTTCCCTACTCACCTCTCTCCTTCTTGATTTTCCCTCTCCCCTGTCCACTCAGCCAATTCTCGTCTTTCCCCAGGGAACACACGTCACTGATTCCAGAGCCAGAATATGAGACGGCCACATCCCTGCAGCGTTTGCAGCAGGTGCTCCAACCTCTCTCTCTGCCCTCTTTGGCCCTCTTTGTAACCAGAGGGAAGACATGAGAAGCAGAGGACAGTGTAATTTTTAGCAACTGCTATGGATGGCTACTTCCTGACACAGAAGTCTAGATACATTTTATTTTCTTTCCTAGAATCTTCTTCAATCTTCTCAATTTTATATGACCTGGAAAGTCCATGTGAACTGATCAATAAAAAGCACAAAGAGGAACGAATGAGCCCTTGAGCTTTAAAAACAAATGAACTCACCCCATAGATCACATTATAGATTCTAGATTTAGGGGTGGGCATTATTGATAACAAGGGAACCGGCAAGAAGAGTTTAGTGCAGTCAAAACGCACCAGAAGGTAAGAGATGGTTCCTGTAATCTCAGCTTTGTTGCTCCTTTTTGACCTTAAAGGTACTTAACTCTTTACATCTGTTTCCTTGCCTGCAAAATAAAGATTTTTTGATTTTTTTTTAAAAACCTCTTGAAAAATTAAGTCTGTGAAATAATTTGTAAATTTGACAAATGAAACAAGGTTTGAAATCAGGGAAAAGGCAGATTCCGTGGTAGAAAGGAAGAATATGTTCCATTTTTAATAAAATAAGAGGCTGAAAGAGGAGAAAATAAACCCCAAAAAAGTTTTAAAATCATACTTATAAACAAGAGGATAGGGGCACGAGGCAGAATTTGGGAGGAAGAAAGAGAAAACATCAGGTAACCCCCGAGTGTGAAAAATCTCAGCGAATTCCAGGATTACACAGGCTGCAGGCAGATCCAGGATTACACAGGCTGCAGGCAGATCCAGGATTACACAGGCTGCAGGAGGATCCAGGATTACACAGGCTGTAGGAGGATCCAGGATTACACAGGCTGCAGGCAGATCTAGGATTACACAGGCTGCAGGCGGATCCAGGATTACACAGGCTGCAGGCAGATCTAGGATTACACAGTCTGCAGGCAGATCCAGGATTACACAGGCTGGAGGAGTATCCAGGATTACACAGGCTGCACACAGATCCAGGATTACATAGGCTGCAGGCAGATCCAGGATTACACAGGCCGTAGGAGGATCCACGATTACACAGGCTGTAGGAAGATCCAGGATTACACAGGCTGCAGGCAGATCTAGGATTACACAGGCTGCAGGCAGAGCACAGCGTCTTTAACACCCCCCCAAACCCCGATTAGAATACAAATCTTTTCCCTATGAGAGAAGTTAAGGGCTACAAAAAAAAAAAAAGATTCACAAACCAGGCAAACAAGAAAAAATAGCACAAAAATAACACGAATGTAAAGGATGAGGATCAACATTTCTGCTGAAGAGGAAAAACATGTACATCCCCTCCTGTCTAGGTGGCTCTAGAAATCCTTCCTTTCTCCTGTCCTGGAAGACCTGCCTTTCCTAAGGCAAGCTGAAGTCTACCAGCTTTTGGAAACTGATCTGCTTTTGAATTCTCTGAACCTCCCTTATGTAACTGAAAAGGAGTCTAAACCCTCCCGGAGGGAGATAGGAAGTGGCCGTCCCCATGCCCCAGTTCAGCAGTGGAAGAAGTCGCTGCCCTCAGGACCCCTCCAGGCACACACAGGAGTCTGTGTCTGACCCCACAGAATGGCTCTTTCAGTTCCTCAGGGCCTCGGGGTCCTCAGATTTAAAAAACAATATCTGAGCTGTGTTGAGTTTTTGGCCATTGTCGCCGCTTCCCTCTGTGCCCTCTGGGGCTAGGAGTGAGTGTGTGTGCACAAGTGTGTGTGTGTGTGAGGTGAGCAGTGGTGGTGCTGGCCATGAGCGTGGTCGCCGTGGTGGTGCTGGATCCTCCGTCTTAGTCTCACAGGCAATCCAGTGGGTTCTTGGTGTTGGAAAATTGGTGCTGTCGAGGCAGTAGCCCTTGCAAAGAACCGCTCCCAGCCCCCACCATTAACCCTCCAGGATGAATGACTCCTCATCCCACAGCGGGTTCCTTACCCTAAGGGACAAACAGTCCTTGCCTCTGAGAGTGATAAGGACAAAGGACTGTTTGTGAAAGCATCTCCAGACCATCTAATAATGGCCGTGTTGAGAGTAAGGTAGAGATGCTCAGTCTTACACATCTCATCCCGGATCCCACCGCCCGAAAGGAATTCCCTGCAACAAGCTGCATAAAATGTATTTTAAAACATGTTTTTACTACATGTAAATGGCATTAGCTGCCTTAGGGCTCCGTGTAATCAACTCAAGGTGAGTACCTCTCTTGCGACCCCAGGCCCCAGCATCCCAGCCCTGAGTGAGGTCCCTTTGCATGTGGAATTGGGGGCCCCACCTGCATCCCGAGCGTGTGGTTTGAATGCGTCAGGCCCTGGATGAAACTCACTCTTCCACGCGAGGGCGAGAGGCTGGGGTGGCGTTTCTGTTGCCTTGCGTCAGCTGCACCAGTCACCTTTTGTATTTTTTTTTTGCATGGGTCCTCCGAGTCCAACCCCAATACTGGCTCCGGCGGCCCCAGCCTCTTGCTTAGCCGCTCCACTGCTGCTGGACGTGCATGTGCTCTGGCAGCAGTTCCCATGGACACATCCCGTTAAGTGAATGGGACGTCAGGATGTGCTAGGTACGTTCTGCCGCACTGGACAGGAGCCTATTGCTGGATGTACTTGGGGCGCCTTTCGGCCCTGCAGCGGTTCGCAGTGTTGGCAACGAGGGCAGCATGATCAACACAGAGGGATAAGTGAAGAGTCCTAGGCTGCATGGTCGGGAAACAGACAAACTGCATGCAGCATGGACAGTGACGCTGCCGTGGCAGCCCCTGGGTGCTCCCCAAACAGCCAAACCGCAGCGAGAGAATCCCCAGAAAACAAGCCCAGGAGTGGAGACAGACCTGTCACCAGCGCGGCCCGGGTCCCCTTTCCCAGAGCCCCTCTCATCCGGCGCGCTGTCCCCAACGCTGGGGCAGCATGCGTGCGTCCTCCAGGGTATCAGGGCACCAGGGCCAGGGGGCAGGGCGGCTGGATGGGACGTGGTGCAGGTGAGAGGCTGACCCAGTGCTAATATAGGCACTGGAGCCGCAAGCCACGGTGTAAATCCCCTGGCCAATATTCCTGCTGTCAGCGGGTGATACCATCTGCATGTCATCCAGATAAACTTAGGTGTGTTCTGGTTACTACAGTTATTGGGCATCATACAACTAATAATGCTTCTTCACTCGCCCAGTTGCTATTTTGCCAGCCATAACTTCACAGTTCTTGCACACTCTCAGCCACAAGGCCCTACAACCAGAACTTTGGTGTTTCATTTGCATGATGACCCTTGCACGTTCTGAGCAACCTGGGGCCTAGCCCATTCCAAAATCTCATCTGCGTCATGAAAAAGAAATTTTTAAAAAATTATGATAAGGGTACTTTTAAAATTATTTCCCATGTATTTTTTGTTATTTTCTAGTGTAATTTAAAAAGAAAAGTGCTGGGAACCAAAAGAAAGAAAGGTGTTTTTTGTTTACAGGTTACATATATCAGAAAGCAAGCATTCCACCTAAATGCCACAAATATAGGCAAGTCTACTTCACACTTTGAAATGTGTAGGTTTTCCTAATACTGGAATATCCTAGACATCATTTTGTAAAAAACCCTCACCTGACTTTCAGGAAACCAAGCCGAATGGGAGACCCTCTAAGAATCTCAGGGACAAAGCCTCCCGGGAGACCCAGAGTGGCTGAAGCTTAGTGACAAGAGCACCCTCCCCCAGGCTGTCAGGGTGTGTGTGCAGCACTCTTGCAGTATCTGGTACTTCCAAGTAGCAGGCATGCCGCCGCACCCTTTCCTAATGAGAGGCTTTGGGAAAGGGAATTCGGAGAGGGCACCGGGCAGGGAGGCTGAGGTGCCTATGGGGGAGGCAGCAGAGACTCCACCCGGGAGAAGGTAGCAAAAGGTGGCTTGGAAAATATCAACGCCCCATGCGGGATCTTGCACTGCTGTATTAGCGTGGGAGAAAGTGCAAAATACGCATACTTCACATGGAATTCCAAAAGAAGACAAAATCACTGAATGTCTTACAAACTGCAGAGTGATTTACAAGAATTGCCTTTCCGTGAATTTTAGGAAATCTCTTTAAGAAATTGGCCAGAAGTGATACAGGATAGTTGTTTCCCAGCATCCCTGGGGGGTTGGTTCCAGGACCCCTGAGGATACCAAATCCAAGGGGGCTCCTGTCCCTGCTACCAGCTGCACACATCCTCTCATGCATTTTAACTTTCTCTGGATTACATACAATTCTTAATACAAAGTAAAGGCTATTGATGGAGTTGTTATAGCGTATTTTTAAAATTTGTATTATTTTTATTGTTTTTTATCATTTTTCTCTGAATATTTTTGATCTTTCATTGGTTGAATCTGAGGATGTGGAGCAGTCGGATGCAGAGGATCAGCTCTGAACTGCTTACTCCTAAGTAGCCTGGTCTCTTTCTGTTTGGAAAGAAAGTTGCAGCAGTGCAGACTAAAAATGGGTATCGAGCCTTTTTCTCCTATTTGAAATGTCTTTATTTTGCCTTTCTCTACATTTCTTTATTGTTTCCCATTTATATGACAACAAGAATCAAAATTAAAAAATATATTTAGGCTGTGTGTGGTGGCTTACGCCCATAATCCCAGCACTTTGGGAGGCCAAGGCGGGCAGATTACTTGAGGTCAGGAGTTTGAGACCAGCCTGGCCCACATGGCGAAACCCCTGTCTCTACAAAAATACAAAAGATTAGCTGGGTATGGTGGTGCATGCCCGTAATCCCAGCTGCTGGGAAGGCTGAGACAGGAGAATCACTTGAACCTGGGAGGAGGAGGTTGCAGTGAGCCGAGATTGCACCACTGTACTCCAGCCTGGGCAACAGAGTGAGACTCTGTCTCAAATTAAAAAAAAAAAAATAGTAATATGTATTTTAAAAAATTTTTTTTACCATGTCTCTGGTGCTTCGGAGCAATACATATTTTTAGAACCAGATCTGTTTAGGTGAAAAACAAGTTTTAAAATTGAAATTTCCATGTAAGTGGGGCAAAGGCTTATTCACGTGGCCAGAATCATTCTGATTTACAAATATGTTTTTCTCCTATAGGTAAGGCCTGATTATACATTTTTGTTATTTTGTTTTAATTCGGGGGATAAAGAAAAAAATCTATTTTTTCATATTTTGTGTTTTACTACTTAAGTCTCCATGATAGAGCTACCATGAAACAAAGGAATGAAAAAAGACACATGAAAGGGGCTTTCTGAGAAATTCTTAGAAGAACTCAAAGTCTCTCCATCTGACATTTGCATTATTACTCCAAATATTCAATGTTGTTCTGTACATTTTAGCTGCTGAGCTCAAAATCCGGGGAGCCTTTGAGGAATGACTCAATTAGATGAGGGCAGCCTCAGAGATCATTAATCCAGACAGAGCTGAAACATTCTGGGAGTCCTTTTAGCCTTCATTTAGAAGACTTTTAAAAAAAATAAATAAGTAGTTAACTCAATCAAGATGAGAGATTGTGCGTCTCTTCCAGGTAGTTCTCCCTTTAGACTGATTTGGAGATAGATGATGGTGGACCCACTGGGTCTTGGCCCGCAGTCATGCTCCTGTAAGATGCTGAGTCACGCTGGGAGGACTCCCAGGCCCTGATGACTGGCTGGGTCTTGCCTCGTGTTCATGCTCCTGTGAAACACTGAGTCAGGCTGGGAGGACTCCCAGGCCCTGCCTCCCAGGCCTGTGGCCTCTGAGCCTCCGCGTGCACTTGCTCTGCAGGTGATGGTGGGAGGTTGTCCTCACTGACTCTGGGTGTTCAACACGTGTGTCTAACAAAAGCATGTGGCAGCTTGTCCTGACCCCTGGACAATGAATGTCTGTGCTGTGGGCTCTTTCCTGGCCTCTGTCTCCAGGAGTCTCTGCCTTGTTTTCTAACAGCATTGATGTAAAGTGGGTTTAGGCAGTAAAATGTGCTGTACTGTGAGCATCCATTTAACTAGAGGCAGCCCTATCCTGAAGAGCATGTCGTGCTTTCAATGCCTTGCTTAGTAGAACTGCAAGCATTTATTTAATTTCCATACTATTTCCTTTTGAAAGAGAGAGGATGGGATGATAGACCCTAGAGGGAGCACTTTCAAGACATTCGTATGAATAACTGGCTACAATACAGCCTCAGTCGGTAGACACAGCTGTTTCATGTACACCACCCTGCTTCAGGTTATGGTTTTGTAAATGGGAGGGAATCCGCACAGCAATGGGTTTATGTCCTGGGAAGGACACATCAGAGGGCATCTGAAAAGCCAGTTGGTGAGCGTCCCAGCTGCGTGATGTGCACCAATGGAAAACAATATGATTTTTTTATGATGATGTATTCTAATGCCTAGATTTCGAGCTCTTCTTTTATGTTAGCCGACACATCTTATGACCTCCATGGACGTGTGGTCAATGCCGCTTCTTACACAGGCTCACAGAGATTGTTTCTTTGGTGGTGAATAGTAAAGACAAGGCCAGGAGCACAAAGGGGACAAGGGGTCAAGTCCAAGGGTTCCTCAGATGCCTCAGATCTGCAAAAGCAACAGGAACAGATGTTTCTACCTGACAAGGGCTCTTGCCTTAAAGTCAGAGTTCCAAATGCTTCTGAGCGTCCCTGTCTTTTACTTTTTGTTTTCTTGTTGTTGCTTGGGTGGTTTTGTTTTGTTTTGTTTTGTTTTTTTAGAATTCGCCTGAATTCTGCACGTTGGCTGTAATGTAAATACTGCTTAAAATATTTTATTATGATTTTTCCATCACCACTCGTAAATGTCTATACAAGACACATTTTTTCAACCAGATAGTAATATGTACAACCAAAAGTTATTTTCTCTTAATATGTACAACCAAAAGTTATTTTTTCTTCAATTCTTCTTCCTTTTTTTTTATTTTTTATTTCTCTTAAATTCTTAATCTCAGGCAAACCCATGACCAGAGATGAAGCAAGATCAGGACTATTTTTGTCTTGAAAATATCCGTGGGGCAGCTCGTGTGGGTTTCAAGATTATTTGTTCATCATCTTCTTTCTCCAGTTGTTTTTAGCAATAGTATCTTTGGAATAGAAAAGAAAATATATACATATGTATATATAACCAAGCGTTTTATTTAATGCAAGTTTACACCTTAACCATCTACAGGAACTTAAAATAGCCTTGCTGTTATTGTTCGTGGTAACTGTCAGGAAAGCAGGCGGGGCGCTAGGTGAGTGGTGCTCTTTCCAACCCCACTCTGCTCCCCAGCAGCCTGAGTGCTGCAGCGCTGAGAGCCGCAGCCTCCCTGAAAGGGAGCTGAGAGGCCGTTTCCATGGAAACCCAGTCAATCTCTTCTGCCATTTCCAAACCCAAGCTGTGCAGCACAGGCTGCCATCTGATTCTATCCACGGGGGATGCTGATTGTCCCACCTGGGCTTCCTTCGTGGAAAAGGCAATGCTCCTAGATGGGCAGATACAAATCGCGTGTTTGTAAATCGATTTCACGCCACGCCCGTGGTCGAGGATCCTGGAGCTGACTCCGTTTGAGAGGCGAAGATCCCTTTTGTTAGATGAACAGTCACTTCCCCATCCATCGACTTCAGAACATTGTATTTTTTTAATGTTGAGATTTCTTAAAGCTAGGAAATTTGTATGTAAATCTATGAGTTTTTAAAGAGCCTTAAATTCTTGAACAGTAACATAAAAATGGATACCAAGAGCGGTTGGAAGGAGGAACCCTTGAAAAGCCATTCTGGGCTGCCTTATGTGGTCTAGAAGCACCACCTAAAGACGGAAAAGCTGAATTACCACCCCCGAAAACCGGGGGCTGGTTATCTCAGGGAGACACAGCCAGTGTTTCCAGCATGTCTCTGCTCTGGGCGCTAGTGAGGACGTTGAGGGCAGCCTGAACTGTGGCGTTCACAGGAACCTATGCAGGCGGGTGGAGAGGCGTCTCAAGAGAAGGAGACGACGTCAGGCCCAGGAGGACTGTGAGCCTTCTCGGGCCAAACAGCTTCCCCACATTCATTCACGCGGCTAGCAAGTGGCACGCCTGGGATGAACGCCCCACCCGCCCAACTCGAAATCCTGGAAATGAGAACAATCCTTTTAAGAGAGAAAAGCCTCCTTCCAATGATTTTTTTCTTCCTCAGTACAGTGAAAGCTCTAAAAATGAGCTAAATCAATATAGTTTTGTTTGTTTTCATGATGAAAAAGGACATTTTAAAAACTTTTTTTACTGAAACCTAATTTGATTTTAAAATTAAGGGCATAGCACTCATCTAACCCCATTGGTGTAGACTTCAGCAGCACACTTGCTATTTTCCGTTAATCTCATAACACAGATACATTTGAGCTTGCAGTCTGCACCTGAGTAGTGCTTATTTAGCGGACTTGGGTAGAGCCCTCCATATGTATCATTAATCTCTTTACATAATCACATTTAATGATGGCCCAGTAATCTCAAAAAAAGCCCTACTTTAAAGACTAATCAATAAACAAAACAAAACTCACAGTGTTCCCCCGCCACCCTCCAAGTTAGCAGTTGTGAGTTGTATTTATACTGAGACCTAATGTTTTCAAAGTAGTTCAGGTTCTCCAACAGCCCCATCCCACCCGAGAAATGCAGCAAGAGTCATCAATTATTTTATTCTACCCTCCCAAATTTTATTAATCCAGTGTTCTTTGGATTTTTAAGATATAAATTGGGAAAGTGCTATTAATAAGCTTTTTAAAAAGGCATATTCTCCTATAACAAGAAGGACACATAAACCAAGCAATAAAAGTATTTGACAGGACATTAAGTTGCCACAGGTGCTGGTTAAAACACCTATTTTCTTATCAAACAATGGATTATACTTTCATAAATGACATTTAAACACATAAAAACTACCACAAAAACTTTTATAGGTAGTAAAAATATGATTTTCACTGAATTATTTGGCTATAATATCTCACTTTAAATTTGAGCAGAAGAGTCAACTTCCTTCTGCCCCAACAAAAAAGAACATCTCAAAAATGTTTAGCCATATTAAAATGAATAAATTTTAAATAAACATGCACTATGTACTTGAATTAGAAAGTTTAAGAATCTTTTTCTTTTCTTAAGCAAAAAGTAATACCAAGTATGTATTGGTGGCTGGTAGGAAAAATTTGTTTCTTGATACATTTTTAATACAGATACATGCACCACGATTAGCTTCTCTTGGATAGAATGATTTTTGTTGCTTTCAAATGTCTTCCTATGTAAGCATATGGGTTTGGAGTTTACCCACATAAGGTGTCATTTGAAAAACCAGCTAGTTAAGTTCAGTCATTTATTTTTTAGACAATAATTACTTAGCAACTGACTGAATAGTCTTACGATCAAACTTTAAGTATATGTGAACAGCTGTTACTTGAACAAAAATCAGGTCTAACAATTGGATTTGGAGTTGTTGCTCATGATATGCAGACGCTGTTTGAAATACCTCATCACTGTTCTGCCCCAAACTCCTCTTTTAAAATCCCCAGTTCCCCTTAGGCTGAAGAGCAGTGATGGGAGCACACAGAAGAACCCTTTACTGCTTCTTCACTCAGTGACCCTCTCATTCTCCCCGGGAGCAGGTCATAAATTAGACTTTTCCTCTAATATGATGTGGAAAACATCCACTTCTATACCCTGAGATCTAGAGTTCTGTTCCCTTTCTTAGGACTAAAGGAGAGTACTGAAAACCATTTACACATCCAAGTATCAAAATGTGACATTCATACACTTAAAATTCGGCCAATGTCATGTGTTCCCACTCTAATCCCTGCCATTCTCCTCTGATCTTGAGAAAGCCCACCTGTAAGCAAGCACTTTGCCGTCCTGGTCTCAGCCCCCAGTACCCTATCCATAGTGACTTTCTGAGTGGAAAGCAAATTGAAATCTCTAGGAGCAGTAGACATGTATTAAAATATTTTTAAATTGTGATTCTTGATCTTGACAAGAATTCGGGTACTCACTGAGGTGGGAAGGGGCATGGAGTATGCTTTGATGCTTCCTACTAGGTGTAATATTGCTCACTAAGTTGCTTTCTCCTTGTCATTTTTGGAGAATTACAAATGTAATGGAAATAAAGGGAATTTTTTCTTAATTTTTACATTCATGGTGGGCGCAAATGCAACTGAAATAGCTCAAAGTGAAAATGTGTTTGCGGTGTGATCTCATTATTCTTGAGACAGCATAGTTAAGAAGTTGATCTCATTATTCTTGAGACAGCATAGTTAAGAAGTTATATGGAGGGCAATATAATTATAAAGCTCTTTTTCTTAAAAAAAGTCTCTGATTAGAGAAATAGCAAGACCTTAATTAAGAAACGGGATGGGGTTGCCTCGGTAGGCTTCAGCAGATGAGTGTATGTCCCCATGAACTGTTCAGAGCCTCTCCACTGACTGACCTGGTGGATCTGAACTGATTTATGTTCTTCATGTCGCTCAAGAGTAACAACTATTTTAAGGTCTATCAAACCTGCCTGAGTGCACAGTGGTCATCGGAAAGACAGTCGGCCTGCATTCCCATGGTCCAGATGCGGGTCGATACCCTCACTGCTCCCTGGGACCACCCAGGCTGGCCGCAGCCCTGGCCAGTCTGTGGAAGGGGTGCCTTTGCAGTGCTGGGGTCTGAGTTCAGACTAAAACCATTCTCTCAGACCCCAGGGCATGTCTGTTCATGTGTGAGCCTTGCTTCCCACGTGGGCTGGTGCAGTAACAAGCCCTGTGGTTGCTGGCTCTGCTGAGCTTTAAGAATGAGGGGAGGAAAGGCGGGCTGTTAGGAGGGAATACAGGTTCTAGAATGAGCAGCCTAGGGACCAAAAGTGCGGCATCTGCTCCAGAGACTGTGGGGAGCGGAGCAGCCACGAAGCTCCCGGTGCTCTGGAAGGTGTGTGTGTGGTCATGGTGACTTCCAGCTCCATGAGGGAGCTTCCGGCTCCACTCAGCCTCTTTCAAGTAGGAAGTGAAGCAATAGAGTTAGTTTGCTTTTTGGATTAAAAAAAAGTTAATTGTTCAGGGAACTTTATTTCTTTCCATTTTAACACAATTTGCATTTTTTATTGTAGGTGCCCCACGCCTGGCTGTGATGGTTCTGGACATATCACCGGCAATTATGCTTCTCATCGGAGGTATGTAGAGATGCTACTCTTCTCTCCAAAATGCTCTTTCTCACTGAAATGGCAGGAATATCACTCACGTCAGGCTCCAAGCCTTGCGAAGTTTGACACCATGGGCAAAATTAAGGATCTAGAGACTCTTAGCGCCATAAAGCAGTGACGTCCTCATTGGAGCTTCTCTTAGAAAGCAAACCTTCCTTTTCCAGGGCCACTGGCTCCTCTCAGGACATCTCACATGCAGTGCAAGTGGCCCCACTGAGAAACATTCCACCTATCCAGCTGCACTTCTTTCTAAATTGGAAGAGTAAAGGCAAAAGAACAGTATCTACTATAAGATCCCTGAGAAAAGCCATCAAGAGACACACATTCTAATGCCACTGAGAGTTGGTCTCTTAAATATTAAGATTGGACCACAAAGCTGTACAGTTATTCTAAGCAGAATGTAACATTAAGAAGCACTTAATGTTACAAAGTCTAGGCACTGTCTCTCCCAAAAAGAAGGTACTGTCTAAAATATAATATAGAGATTTCATCATGTGAGATAACAAAAATTCTATACCACTTGACATTCAGTAACTACTGGATTAACATGGAATTTAGGACAGGCACTATTTAGCCGAGAATGGAAAGAAATTGTGGTACTATTCGAGAAAAAATTTACCACTTGTTAAAGATGGTACACCAGACTATTCAAGCGGGGTGGGCAGGGCAAGAGGTCCAGGCGCCATGCAATGAGCTCCTGTAGTCGGGGAGACTGGACTCAGCTCAAACCCTAATGAGGACAAGTGGGGATTTACAACCAAGGAGCAGATTGGGGTCAGTGGATGGAAAATTCCCCACGGGAAGCACCAAGGAGAAGGGATTTCTGGCCAGACGGACTTGATGGGATCATTGCTGTCATTGCTGATGGCCGGCCAGGGTGGTAGGATATCCAAATGCTCCGACACTGATGGTGGGGAATTGTTCTTAAACTGAGTTAGCAGGATTCTTGCTCAAACTGGATCCTACAAGCACAGAGAGGGAAGCCAAGGTCGGGTGCATTCTAGTAAAGGACCCAGAGGAGCTCAACTAAAGTTTTGGTCAAGAAGAAAACCTTTGTGAACATATCGTCCACACAAAGGCGAATCCACTACATGCTGTGAATGGTGAAGTCATGTTTAGATGTACCAACAGCCAATGCTGAGGTAAAGACAAGAATGTTTCTGAAATAAGACCGATTTAAAGTGAAGTCTCCCTGTATGGGAAACAGTGCTGCATCTATCAAATAAACGAAGTTGTAAGGTAGCTGCTCCCTTTCAGCTCTCTAAATTTTAGCTTATAAAGTACGCAGTCCAGACGCAGATGAGGCCTCCTGCTTTTAACATACTGCTTGCAATAAAAAAGAAAGAGAGAAAAGACAGGGAAGGAAGGAAGGAAGGAAGGAAGGAAGGAAGGAAGGAAGGAAGGAAGGAAGGAAGGAAGGAAGGAAGGGGGAGGGGGAGGGGAAGGGAAGGGAAGGGGAAGGAAAGGGAAGGAGGGAGGGGCAGGAGGGAAGGGAGCGAGGGAAGGGAAGGAGAGAGGGAGATAAAGGAAGCTAGGAGAGTTAAAGACACTGTCAGCAGTGGATAATGGCCCCCCCCTCACCACCCCGCCCCCTAGAGCACGGTTGTCTGTACAGAGTAGCTGAGTGAAACCTGCTATCTGTCCCTGAGTGACCAGATCCCAACAGTCAGAGTGGGGGACCCTCACCTGACTGGCTGGCGTTTTGGATTAGAAACAGAACTCACAGGATGATTGTTTTGTCATTAAAATCTCACTGAAGGTAACTCGCTCCTGTGCTCACATCCCAGCCATTTGAGAGCTATGTTTAAACAGCACGTGTCTATGAAAAGCACACATTGTGAATGCCACCAAAGAAAAATGAAGCATGCAACTTGTGGGAGGATTCTCCAGACTCCGTGCCAACGTTGCAAGCTCTTCACCCAGATTCCTCAGCCTCTGCAGTGCTGGCAAGTGGGGGCAGATGGCTGTTTGCCGTGGGGGCCGTCCTCCGCACCGTGGGACCTGTGCGGCACCCCTGGGCCTCACCCACCAGATGCCAGGAGCATCCACCCCTTCGTGACAACCAAAGATGCCTGCAGTCACTGCTGAGTGTCCCCTGGGGGGACCACTGCCACAGACCCAGGGCAGCAGAGGGCTTATGACATTGATGTGGCTTCACCAGGCAGCACAGAAACAGCCACCACATTTGGTAGAACACGAGTGAGTCGCGCCGTCCAACAAGATTGCCAGAATTAAATCACTGGTTTAGATTAAAAAAAAATTTGTAAAACTCCAATTAAATATACAAAGACAAGAACATTCCATGCTGGTGTTTATTTCATCTTAGAAAAGCGATGTCTTGGTCCTCTCACGTGGCCAGAGCTTCCGGCATGGCGTAATGTCAGCACCCCGTAAGGTGAACACTTCCTGGTCACTTTGTGTCCAAATGTCTGTTTTTCTGATTTTTTTTTTTTTTTGGTGGGAGTTGGCATCATGTAAATTTAGTCCTCATGTGGGTTAAACATTTTATTCATTTTACATATATCTTAGACTGTTAAGTCTTAATATAGCACAAACCCATGATTAAAATCTAAGCTCAAATTTAAGCTACCATCTATGCCTGGAGTAAATGATCCCAGGGTTAAGTCAATGGAGTTGGAAAGTAAGTGTGATTTGTGTTTGACAAATCTGAGACCTAGACAGAGCCCTCTCGGGGTTTTAGCGTACTGAAGGTGGAGCACCTTGTGACGTTACTTGTTCTAGTAACAGCTTCCCTAGTATAGACATCTAAGCGGGGCTGGGCACGTTGCTCAGCAGAAGTGTTGCCTCCACGTGACAGTCCTTACATAAAGCCCCCGCTAAAGGAAGATGGAGGCCCCAGCAAAACAAGTGCAGTTCTGTGTAAATGAGCTGCTGCAGACAGACAGAAGCCAACAAGCAAACAAGGAAACTCTTAAAGGTCTGTTGGCTCTTGGTGGCCAGAAATGCAAGTAGGAGGAACTTCTTTTCATGTTAATCTTCTATTGTCTGTTTCCCAGGAACAGGAAGATAATGTTACCTATAGGCAAACGCCACTTAGACGATGATTCACTGGCCTTCTTTTTCCCTCAGTTATGCCACAATTCAAGGTAGTTGTGTGGGTTCAAGGCATCCTCCTCCTGTACTGTGGGCTGTTGTGAGAGGGGAAGTCACCAAACAATGATCCTGAACCTGTTCAGAGCACAGATCCGCCTCGCGCACCTGTGGTGTCTGGAATTCTCCCTCCTGCTCCCAGGACAAACGCCTCGCGCTTCCGTGGTGTCTGGAATTCTTCCTCCTGCTCCCAGGACAAATGCCTCGCGCTTCCGTGGTGTCTGTAGAATTCTCCCTCCTGCTCCCAGGACAAAGGCACACACTCCAATTCTGTCTGCAGTTGCAGAGCATTCCCAGCTCCCATCTGAGAGAAAACTGAGGCCAAGCCCCAGCCTTCTCCTGGGCCCATTCTGGGAAACTGGGTGAGGAGCTGTCCTCCACCATCTCCACAGATGCGCTGAGAATTAGCGATTTCATTAACTTTTGAATTTGAGGAAACTGAGGGGCCAGGAGATTCAGTAGCAGAGCTGCAACTGGAGCCCATGTCGTCTGACTCCGAGTCCCACCTCCTGGCAGCCCCATGAGCCTAGGATGGCCCTGGAGGAAGTAGGTGTGCCTAAACCACCTAGAGAAGGTGGGGTTGTACCTGCCTCTTAGCGGTGGTGTTTTCTGGCCTCCACATAGCATCTAAAACGTCCCTAAGTCCATTTCAACAAATGTTTATTGGCTGTGATGTTCTATCAAACAATCCTCTATCCGCTGCTTTGCCGACTCTCCGTCCTCAGTGAACAGAGGCCCTGTTGACCAAATGCCTACAAAGGCTTCCATGTCATTCACAGTCATCCATGGGGCTCCTCTTTATACTCTTGTTTTCAAACTAACAGACTGTTTCTTAAGTGTGTCCTCAAAATCCTGTTTTCCAGACCCCTTTGCTCTTTTTTCCGACCCCCCAGGCCCACTTCTTCACCTGTAGTCTCCCTTTGCTCTTTTCTCCGACCCCCAGGCCTTCTCCTTCACCTGTAGTCTCCAGGTCCCGCCAGACAGGCCTGCCCAGGGGTGCTCCTCATTCTCTCTGCGCAGCCGTCCCACATGCGTTTTTCATAGGATCAGGCAAGCAGCAAGAGCTCCAAGGGCCCTGGAGTTGTTCCAATGCAGAAGTCAAGTCCACATTTTCCACAAATGATGATGCTCCAGGAATCCGACTCCCACTAGAACACCCTGTGGCCTCTACGGTTCCCGAATGGCCTCTAATCACAAAAGAACATTCACTGGGCACCTGCTATGTACCAGAAATTACAGTGAGTATTTTACATCTATAATCTCACCATCCTATGAGATTATTGGTATCCTGACTGCAAATGAAGATGCGCGGGCACAGAGATGCTCAGCTGCCCGTCTTGTCAGCGCCTGTGCTCACCTGGAGCACTTCCACTCTGCTCTTTTACAATAATGCGCAAAATCGAAGCCTCCAGCATGGCAGTCAAACGGCCAGACAGTGTCTACCTATGCCACTCCAGTGTGCTGTGGGGACTTTCAACAGGGATCCCAAAGGCCTTACCTGCTGTGAAATGGAGACATCACCAGGTCCTGAAGAAGACAGTGAAGAAACAGGCTTGATGTCATGCAGAAGAGCCAGGAGCAAGTCTGCCTTGGAGAGTCTCAGGTCCCGCTGCCAAAATCCGGAGAGGTGGCTCCTCACCAGGGGGCCTTGGGAACCTTGTAAGGTGGTGCTTGTCCAACCCTGTCAGTATCTGCCCTCACACAGGGTGCAAAGCTGTTTAGTCAGAGGGTCCGGAGGGTCACAGGATCCATTCTCATGCGGGGCATAGAGCTGTTTCGCCAGAGGGTCAGTGAGGTCTGTGCTCTGCCCCTGGGCTCCGGGCCGGACACCCACCCTAGCACCACTTTGGCCTGGGGGCCACGAGGTACACTGCCCTTGACCACATGTCTCCCGGGATCCCAAATCCTCCAGTTTCTCATAATCCTGCACTCACCTGTTGTTGGCCCTTTCTCGCTGGAGCTGTCCGTATGCTCTGTCCGTGTGCTCACCCCCAGCCTTTCCCTCCCCCAGAGAACACAGAGCTCTCCCTTACAGCGTTTCCATCGTTTACAAAGTTCCAGATAAAGATGTGGACATATGACAAGCCCCTGTGAATTGTGGAAAACAGTTTCTGTCTAGGAAATTATTAATCATTTAAACATAATCCCAAATGCCAGCGTGGAATTCCAGAAACCTAGTAAATTAGTAAATACCTATTTGAGTACGTAGTCTGTCCCCGAGGCTAAGGAACAGTGATAACTAAGGTGTTCCTAGCCTCGAGGTACAGGTAATTATGAGGAAAGACATAAAAGCTAACCAGCCTGGCGCACTCTCACGCATTCCTGCACAATTAAGGGAAACTGAGATGGGTTCCAGGAGGGCGCACCTCAGGGCAGTGGCCTTGAGGCCTCCAGGTCGGGATGGCACTAGGGTGGGAATCTGACCTGAAAGATACTTTTCAAATATGTATGTACTTATCAAAGCCTAAAGATAATGAGTAAGTCATGTCTGAATTCTGACAAGGCAGGGTGGGTTGGAGCCCAGGAGAGAGGAGGCGACGCTGAGCCACTGCATGAGGGATGGTGAGGGTCTCTAGGAGGTCATGCAGAGAAGGATATTCCAAGCAAAGGACCAGTATTACAGAACGTCTTATAACACCAACATCAATGCACATTTGACAGTGAATAATTCAGTTTGGCAACAGTTTCAGGTCTAAGCCTATGGGAGCAGCTACAAACGGAACTTGCTTTAGGAGTCCCGTTGAATTCAGTATAAGGGGGTAAAATTTTATTTGCTGGAAAACGGGTATTCACCCAAGTGCAGGCTTAGCTTTTAGCCTAGACAGCGGGCTGCTGAGAGACGGCAGGTGTCAAAAGCGCACTTGGATGGTGACAGTGGCAGCCGAGAGAAGAGCTGGTGCAGGTGAGGAGAGCAGCAATGGGGCCGTGACCAGCAGGGCCAGGAGTGGGAGGGGCCCCTGGGGAAGAAGGCAGGCGCTAAAGAGGGAGGGCCTGGGATGCAGCAAGCAGCCGGGGGACATCATCATCCGGTATAAAGAAGCCCACCAGGAGGAGTGGGCCTTAGATTCTGTCTAAACACATTAACTTTGGGATTCTTATGATATATTCAGGTGAGCAAAGGAGGAAGGTGAGAGGAGAAAAACAGCTTCCAGAGTCACCAGCAGATGAGCTGTTCCAACTCATTCACGAAAAGAAAACGACACTTTTAAAAATGGAAGATGGTGGCTGGGTGCGGTGGTAGCTCACGCCTGTAATCCCAGCACTGTGGAAGTCTGAGGCAGGCAGATCGCTTGAGGCCAGGAGTTCGAGATCAGCTAACATGATGAAACGTCATCTCTACTAAAAATACAAAAATTATCCAGGTGTAGTAGTGCAAGTCTGTAATCCCAGCTACTCAGGAGGCCGAGGCAGGAGAATCGTTTGAATCTGGGAGGCGGAGGCTTCAGCGAGCCAAGGTCATGCCCCTGCACTCCAGCCTGGGCAGCAGAGCGAGAGACTCTGTCTCAAAAAAAAAAAAAAAAAGGAAGATGGATCCAAATCCTAAGAAATGAACTGTGGATGTGAGCCCTGAGCAGAGCATGGAGCTGTAGCTCCAATGCCCAGGAAAGGAGGGATTGCTCCCCTCCCTCCAGGGCTCGGGAAGGGCCTGCAAATGAACCCCTATGTTTCTAAAATTTGGAAGGAGAAGACGAGGGGGAGCGACTTTTTGTTAGGTTCAAATCTGGGCCCTAAAGAAGGGATCACAAGTGCAGATAAAGGTGAAAGTCAGGATCTAAAATCACAGAGCTCCTTCTCTGTGCCCAGCATTGTATGTATCATGTTATCACTTCCAGTTTTCACAGCCGATGATGCAGGTATTTCTGCCCCAAAATACAGACAAGGAAGCCGAAGCACAGACACTCGGGCCAGGTCTGCACAGCCTATACATAGCATCGCCTCTTCCTTCTCTCCCTTGGCGCAATACCTGGAAGTGGCCGCTCAGATCCTTCTCACAAATAGTCATTCTGTAGAGAATCTCCACTCTGGGGTCCATAGCAAGTACTGGCTTTCCATCCTATGTTATAAGCCAAAAAGGGAAGTTTTAAATACTGAACAAGTTCTAATTCCATTGCTCCTAGAGTTCTAGTGCTTAGTTGGTGGGTAGGGAAACGTTCCCTTGTTTTCATCAAGCATGAAAAGTAGCAAGAAGTAAGCAGTATAAAGGTTCCAGCCATGCATTAAGATGCTACAGTGAGAACAGGGTGCTGCGGGGGGCCCTGGACTCCTGGGGGTGTTCAGTGCTGAAGGGGAAGCTAGGTCCTGCTGTGCTAGGGATGGAACAGAGGCCCTGGGCTACGGCGTGTGGAAGAGAGGACCCCGTGGGGCACAGGTGCCGAGCTGCCCACCAAGTGAGTGGGGGCAGGTAAAGACCACACCCCTCCAAGCACAGGCTTCTCACAGGTGCCCTGGGCTAGTGCCCCAGAAGAGACCACAGGGCCTCTTCTCACCAACAGACATGGCTTTCAGATGAGAGCTCCTGAGCCCCAGAGCAGGCATTCTAGGAGTCTAGAGCAGCCCTGTGCCAAGGCCAAGGCTTCCTGGAGGCCACCGCATTGTCGGAGCCAAATCTTGTTGCAGATTTGTTCTGTTTGGTTTAGTTTTGCCCCCAGCCCAGGCCTCCATGGTGGCCCAGAGCTGTCCCTGGCTCCCAAGTCCACAGGGAGTGACTCAGGGACAGGGCAGGGGGCAGGGCCTACAGGAGCTCGGCCTCTGTGGTGGAGTCAGGGGCTCGGCTTCCCCCACAGCAATCCTACATCTGGGGAGATGGGATCCTGGGTAGGACTCCGTAATTCTCCCTGGGTAAGACACTTTAATTCTCCCTGGGTAGGATACCGTAATTCTCCCTAGGAAGGACACCATAGTAATTCTCCCTGGGTAGGATACCGCAGTAACTCTCCCTGGGTAGGACTCCGTAATTCTCCCTGGGTAAGACACTTTAATTCTCCCTGGGTAGGATATCGTAATTCTCCCTAGGAAGGACACCGTAATTCTCCCTGGGTAGGACATCATAGTAATTCTCCCTGGGTAGGATACCGTAGTAACTCTCCCTGGGTAGGATACCGTAATTCCCCCCTTGGTTCCTCTTTTCTTCATTCATGCATTGAATGACCCGCTCTGTGCAAGGCGTCGGGCTAGGAATTGGGGAACCGCAGAGGAACACTCGCATGGTTTACACTCCCAGGCATCGCCTCTCAGAGGAGCCTGTAGAGGAGAGAACCGTGTGAGCCTGCAGCGGCCGCACTGTGAGGACAGCCAGGCCCAGGCTTCTTGCAGGATGCAGAGGCCACGCAGCTGGGAACGAGCCACAGACAAGGCAGGGACATCGGCCAGCCCGAAGGATGGCGGCAAGGGTTGCAGGGAGAGCCCAGCGAGGATGGCGGGGCCTACGAGTCGCGTGGAAGAACTCGGGTCCCCCTGAGGAAGCGGAGAGCCTCGGATGATGCTAAAGCGCTGGCCTGGAGGTGTTCCCAGCCCGGGGGCCGGTACTAGCACCGCGCGCCTGGAAGCGGAAGCGCCTGGAAGCGGAAGCGCCTGGAAGCGGAAGCGCCTGGAAGCGGAAGCGCCTGGAAGCGGAAGCGCCTGGAAGCGGAAGCTGGACAGACGAGGAGAGGCCTTGGGTGTGACATCAACGGAACCTGAGGGAAGCAAAACTCAGCAAGGACGCACCCGGTCTGCTGGACTGGGGCTTTGGGTTGGTGACGTGGACGATGAGTCTAATTTTGGGGCATCCGCGCAGTTGTGCAGCGGTCAGTGGGGTGCAGGGGTGGACGTGAGGTCAACCCACGCCGGCCTCAGAGCCCCAGCGACCTGCAGGCAGGTCAGGAGCCAGAGGGTGGGGCGGGGGCGGAGGAGGCCAAGGGAGGAAGGAAAGGTCGGGGGAAGCACAGGCGGGCCCCTCTTTCCAGATTCCCTCCTTTAAGAGGGCGGGGAGAAGAAAGGCCCCAGCAGGCAGCGAGCTCAGGTGCCCTCGCCTCGCCGCCTCTTTCCTCTTCCTGTGAAGAGCGAGACAGGGGAAGGAGCAGGAGGATTCCCCGCTGGCTCCAGGAGGTGGGGCAGCAGGGGCCTGGGAGTGAAGGCGCTGTGGGGCCCTGACAACCTCCTTTCTGCCCAGACACGAAACCCGAACCTTCCCGAACCTTCCCACACCCGCCTGTGCTGAGGTGCTGCCCCCACCTGAACAGGGAGGAGGATGGCCAAGGCCTGGGAGGCAGGATGGAGCCTCCCTTTAGGGGAGTGAGCACTTCCTCCTGGGAATCTGCGTGTTTCCAAGAATCAGAACTGACCAAGAAAACTATCCCCGAGCTCAGGAAAGCCAGGGAGAAGAGTGGCCTCCCACCTGGACCCACCCGTGTGCCAGCGCCGGGCCCGCGATTTCCACAAGACCCAATAGCATGGCAGGAGATTGCCCAATTTCTGGTTCTTCAATTCTTTTCCAAAAATCCCATTTGTTTTATGTATTATTTTATGTGATGTGTATGTGTGTGTATGTTTCTGTTCCAGCTGAAAAAATTCCCTTTACAAACATGTCCAAAGCCTCTGTACCCAAGAGGTTGAAAATTAAATAAAATAGGCGTGTCCAGCTCCCACTCTCCCGTCTGCAGGCACAACCCGAAGCCTGGAATAAGTCACTAGCCCATCACTGTCTCCCAAGACACGAACCTGAGATGGAAGTGCTTGGGAAGCTGCTGTGAGAGACAGAGTACCCAAGAATGGGGCTGGGAGGCTGCTTTTTTCTGCCATGTTCACCCCCGACATGCACGCATCCGTGTGCGCTCGCTCCCGCGCTCTCTGTCAACAAAACCTCCCCCAGCGTCTTTCCTGGTGACTCCCGACTGCTTCTGCTCCCTCCCGGTGGACCAGTTTCTCTCCCGTTCACAGCATCCTAGCCCACCCCAGTCTCCCAACTTTCTTGAAAGGGGACTGACGGTGCCTAGAGCCTTGGAGAGGACACAGGGAAAGAACTCTCCTCCTGAATTTTGACTTTGTGCCCAGAAGCACAGGTTTTGGAGAGAATCAAGTCACAGCCTCGTCGGTTAAGAAAGCTCACTGGGGCGGATTACGAGGTCAGGAGATCGAGACCATCCTGGCTAACACGATGAAACCCCGTCTCTACTAAAAAATACAAAAAATTAGCCGGGCGTGGTGGCGGGCGCCTATAGTCCCAGCTACTTGGGAGGCTGAGGCAGGAGAATGGTGTGAACCCAGGAGGTGGAGCTTGCAGTGAGCTGAGATCGCACCACTGCACTCCAGCCTGGGCGACAGAGCAAGACTCTGTCTCAAAAAAAAAAAAAAAAAAAGAGGCCGAGGTGGGCAAATCACGAGGTCAGGAGATCGAGACCATCCTGGCTAACACGGTGAAACCCCGTCTCTACTAAAAAATACAAAAAAATTAGCCAGGCGTGGTGGTGGCCGCCTGTAGTCCCAGCTACTTGGGAGGCTGAGGCAGGAGAATGGCGTGAACCCGGGAGGCGGAGCTTGCAGTGAGCCGAGATCACACCACTGCACTTCAGCCTGGGTGACAGAGTGAGACTCTGTCTCAAAAAAAAAAAAAAAAAGAAAGAAAGCTCACTGAAATCAACGGTGTGGGGTGCTTTCTGAAATGTGTTTCTTATTTAGCCTTTCAGGTTGCCCAAGAGCAAAGAAAAGTGGTATCAGGATAGCACAGAGCAAAGAAGATAAAGAAGATCAAGAACCCATCAGGTATGAGCACCAGTGGGGCTGAGAACCATAGCAGGGCTGCCATGTGGGGACGAGGCATTCAAGCAAAGCAAGTATATGTCAACAAGAAAAAGAGACAGCGGGTCTTAGTGGCCATTCTTTGAGATTTCCACAAATGCAAGGTCAGATAACTTAGACCCAAACCAAAGCACATCTGCTGATTGGCTGAAAAGTTACATGGGCTGTCCAGCAATAAGCTGATATCCATCAATCTGAGGTTCCATGTAACCCAAATCCCCAAAAACAAGCCTTCCCTCTCCTCTTGGTGGGAAAAGCAGCTGAATTCTTGGGAATGGCAGATTGGTGAATGCTCCTGAAGGTACTAAATACAACATCACAAGCGGATGTTTCACTGGTATTCTGGCTTATAAAAATAGTTTAGTTATACCCTGCCTTGCTCTAAGGCAGGGCTTGGGGCTGCAGTGGACACTGAGCTTGGAGCCTGTGACTACCGCTGGGCTGCCCAAGGGGGTGTTTGTCCCCATCCCACGCCAGCCATGCCTGGGCCCCAAAAACCCACACAGTAAGCCTCACTTCACATCCCCAGAAAAAAGTTTTAATTAAAACAAAATAAAAATGAATTAAAGCATAAATTATTCAAATAAATTAAGATTTGTCAAAATAAATAGGTAATGCAAATTCTGAGGAATGCAAACTTTTCTGTTAATAAAAACAATGCAGGCAAACTCACTGCTCAGGACACATGAGGAGCGCTTAGGCCAGGCCCTGCCTCCTTCAGGCGCCTTTGCTGCCCTGGTGTGTGTCTTGGTCCTGCCATTCACAAGTTCCCAGGAACACACCTGTCCCGTGTCCCTGTGTCAGCCCGATTCCAGGAGACTTCATGAGACGTCTCTGCAGCTTAGGATCTTCTCTAGCTGGAAGGGCATTTTAAGGCCTCCAGAAGATACGGCCAGACAAATAAATGTCTTCTAGCTCTTGAGAAAAGCACGAAACAGCCTCTTTAAAAATAATGCCACGACATCTTATTGACGTTGCATTTTTTCCACCTGAAAAGCCATGGTTCTGTCCCAAAGTGGTATCTTTTAAACACACGCTTGTGTAGCTGCATGTGCCTGCGTGGTCTTTTGTGTGCTGAACCCATCAGTCCCACCAGGCACATACACTTTGTTCCAGAAAATCCTTCCATCTGCAATGGGTCAGGCCTTCTGCGCAGGGGAAACAGTTCAGTGTTCCACTAGGTGGTGTCTTTTAGTGACTTTTCTTTCTTTCTCTTTTTTCTTTTCCTTTTGCCCAGCCAGGAGGGCATGGTTGTTTTTTTCTTCTTCATGCCGGGTTATTCTGACTTTGTTACAGAAGCCACCAGGCGACGGTGGCCAGACAATAAAGTGTGTCACCTCTGCCTGCCTACAGGTGTCCGGTCCCCGGGTGCGACGGCCAGGGCCACATCACTGGGAAGTACGCGTCCCATCGCAGCGCCTCCGGGTGCCCCTTGGCGGCCAAGAGGCAGAAAGACGGGTACCTGAATGGCTCCCAGTTCTCCTGGAAGTCGGTCAAGACGGAAGGCATGTCCTGCCCCACGCCAGGATGCGACGGCTCAGGCCACGTCAGCGGCAGCTTCCTCACACACCGCAGGTGAGTGGCCGCGTCTGCGGGACCCTGGCTGGGATGGTGCCGCCGAGAGCCGACTGGCACGGCTGGTTATGACGGCAGCAGGTGCCAGCTTCTCCCGTCACCTGTGTTTAGAAAGAAAAGGCTGAAAACTATCGTACCAACCTAACAAAATTCAAGGGTTTGGGGACAGTGTTGAAACATCTTAAACTTACATTAGGGAGCCCAGCCTCCCTCAGCCCCATCTATAGATGACCACAGCAGTTTTCCGTTTTTGAAACTAGAATCCACAGTAAGATATAGATTTTCATTTAAGACATGCACATGAGGGTCTTTAGATGTAGTTACTTATTTCACCCGAAATTCACAGGCAGGCGTCATTGGGGGAAAGAGGATGGCATTTGGCACGGTGGCTCCTGGTGAATGCCTGCACCAAAGATGCATGAGAACATTCCCAAAAAACCCCATCAACCTCATTCATTTTTGTTTGCTTCATTTAAAAAGAAATACATGCAGTTAGATTATCTTAGGAGAGGCCCGTTCTGTGCAGTCAGATTGTGCAGTCGGTCCCTCTGCGGGGAGTGAAGACCTGGGATGGGACCCGTCTCCAAGGCTGACGGCACCCATTACACTCAGCGTCCCTCAGCTTCCTTGAGGAGGTGGAGGGGAAGATACACACATCACATGTACGATGTGAAGGCCATACCCTTTGGGGAGATTTACAATGGTTTCCTTTCTGCTGCCCTATATGCCACTTTCTACGAAAATCACACCTGCGCCTCAAATCCATCTCAAACACAGAATGAACAAAGGGGTATGCAGATTACAGGAATAATGGCATGTTCAGTAATAGGTGACTCTGACCCTTAAATGTTAAGGAAGATTTTTTTTAATTATTAAAGAAATTCCTGCTCAGGTAGAAAATTCAAACAATGTAAATGGGTTTAAAGAGAAAAATTGGCCGGGCACAGTGGCTCACACCTGTAATCCCAGCACTTTGAGAGGCCGAGGTGGGCAGATCACCTGAGGTCAGGAGTTTGAGACCAGCCTGGCCAACATGGTGAAACCCCATCTCTGCTAAAAATACAAAAATTAGCTGGGCGTGGTGGTGCACGCGCCTGTAATCCCAGCTACTCGGGAGGCTGAGGCAGGATAATCACTTGAACCCAGGGGGCGGAGGTTGCAGTGAGCCAAGATTGCACCACTGCACTCCAGCCTGGGTGACAGAGCAACACTCTGTCTCATTAAAAACAAACAAACAAACAAAAGACAAAAAAAAAAAAGAGAGAGAGAAATTGAATGTCCTTTCCCCGACCTAATCCCTTCTCAAAGGCAGGCAGTTCCCGTCTTCTCTGGAACTGAAAAGCACCCCTATTTATACACATGGATCTCAGTGTCTCCCAGAACCCAGCATGAGGACAGGGGCCTCAGCTGCTCACCAGGATCACCCAGGGCCCAGCAGACAGGGCGTTCCTTGTTAGGTGCACAGAAGCCCAGGGTGTCACAGAGCCGCCTCACCCTCCCCATTGAGCCTGTTCCTGCACGTGCCACCTGGTGTCCTGTCCAGGTTTGATTGTTACAAAGAACTCCGCGTGAACGTCCTTGTGCACACAACTCCATGTCCTTGTGCAAGCAGATCTTCAGGCTCTATTCCTGGAAACAAGAATGCTAGCTTTAAAATTTTGACAGATCATGCCAAAATGCCCTCCAAAAAAGTGTCTACTTTCCCAAACCTTTCACCATTAATAAAATGTTTAAAAATTTTGTAAAAACCCTGCCCATTTGACCTATGAGTAAGGGTTTGTATGTTTCGCTAACCTGACACAAACGAAAACAATTTCGTCCTCTCACGTGAGCATTTCTGCACTCCAGGGACGGCACTGGTTCAGAGCTGCCTCTGCGGAGCCTGGTGCTTTAGCTTTCCTCCTGCTGAGAGTTTGCCCCTTTGATTTAAGCAGCAAATACCAGGTGCCAGATGAATGCTGTTCCCTCCCACTCCCCAGCCTCTGGTTGCATTGTATGTTAGGGTCAGAGGACAGCCCTCCACCAAGATCTCTGTCCTGCCCCTTTTTCCATGGGGGAGGGCTTAGAGCTTAGGAGCCACTGAGGTGGGAAGCAGGACCCCGCCCCATGACGCCCCTTCCCAAATGCCAGGCACAAATTTCTGCTGCTAGACCCTCACCCACACACCTCTGTCTACTCTCTTGCCAGCCTCACCTCAATTTCCACCCTTCCCTGTTTCTTTTCTCCAAAAGGGAGCCTCTTCCCCAGGGTCCCTGGCACAGAGTGGAGAGTATATTGAAATGCATGCTCTGGCCTTGACAAGCTGATGGAAACTTGGGGGCACAGGCTGATGGAATATTGGGGTGCAGGCTGATGGGATCTTGGGGTGCAGGCTGATGGAATCTTGGGGTACAGGCTGATGGAATTTTGGGATGCAGGCTGATGGAATTTTGGGATGCAGGCTGATGGGATCTTGGGGTGCAGGCTGATGGAATCTTGGGGTACAGGCTGATGAAATATTGGGGCCAGGCTGATGGAATTTTGTGATGCAAGCTGATGGGATCTTGGGGTACAGGCTGATGGAATATTGGGGGCGGGCTGATAGAATTTTGGGGCACAGGCTGATGGAATATTGGAGCGCAGGCTGATGGAATATTGGGTGCAGGCTGATGGAATTTTGGGGTGCAGGCTGGTCGAATTTGGGGGCACAGGCTGATGGAATGTTGGAGTGCAGGCTGATGGAATCTTGGGGGCAGGTTGATGGAATCTTGGGGTTCAGGCTGATGGACTCTTGGCAGATTGATGGAATCTTGGGGTGCACATTGATGGAATCTTGGAGTGCACGTTGATGGAATCTTGGGGGGGCAGGCTGATGGAGTATTGGGGGCAGGCTGATGGAATCTTGGGGTACAGGCTGATGAATATTGGGGTGCAAGAATACTGGGTGCAGGCTGTTGGAATCTTGGGCCACAGGCCACGTCAGTGAGTAAAATCACAGCTTACAGGCCCATGTTACTCGGAGAATTTGCAATGCTAGAAGCTCCCTTCTCTGGAAAGCTGTATGCCTCTCACTTCCCTCCCACCTGGTTGCCACCCACCCTTGCCCCAGGGCTCAGCAGCCTCCTCTTTCAGGATCCCAGGTCCCTGGAGGGCCCACAGAAGTCCAGGCATGATGGAAATGACTCCAGCTGCCTGTGCTCCACCTAGCCTGCAGGGCCACAGCTTGATGGGAAAGGCCCCAGGCTCCAGCCCCGGGTATCAGTATTCACGTGTATGCAGAGATTGAAATGTCAGCATGCCAGGGGCGGCTCCTGCTGGAGCCCTGCCATGGGCTGGCTGAGCTACACGGAAATGTTGATATTCCTCCGTTTTACTAAAAGGCACCATCAGAACTCTCTGAACTGCTGGCTTCGGCGACCTCCAAGGAGGAAAGGGGACCTCCCTGTGTGTCACAGGGCTCTGGGCGTGTTTGCCCGGTGACCAGCAGCCCTGTTTGTGCAGCAAAGGAAAACCCGGAGTAGTGGCATAAGGGGAAAGGGGCAGTCCAGGCCTGAGCACACCGGACCTGGGTTCTGTTCTGTTCTGTTTGTTTTTGTAGTTGTGGTAAAATATTAACATATGGCATGGAATTTACCATCTCACCCATCTTCAGGTGTATGGTTCAGTAGTGTTAGGTATACAGATGGTCCTCAACTTACAATTTTTCGATCTTACAGTGGTGCAAGAGCAATACACACTTGGTAGAAATGGTGCTTTGAGTATCCATGCAACCATTCTTTTTCACTTTCATAGAGTATTCAATAAATTACATGAGATATTCAACACTTTTGTGTAACTAGGCCTTGTGTAAGTTGACTCTGCCCAGCTGTAGGCTGATGTAAGTGTTCTGAGTGCATTGAAGGTGGGCTAGGCTAAGCTATGATATTGAGTCAGTACAAGTATTAAATGAATTTTTGACTTAAAATATTTTCAAGATATGGTATTTTCAACTTAAGATGGCTTTATGGGGATGCTGACCCCATGGTATGTGGAGGAGTACCTGTATCCATCCCCATGGTATGTGGAGGAGCACCTGTATCCATCCCCGTGGTATATGGAGGAGCACCTGTATCCATCCCCGTGGTATGTGGAGGAGCACCTGTATCCATCCCCGTGGTATGTGGAGGAGTACCTGTATCCATCCCCGTGGTATGTGGAGGAGTACCTGTATCCATCCCCGTGTTATGTGGAGGAGTACCTGTATCCATCCCCGTGGTATGTGGAGAAGTACCTGTATCCATCCCCATGGTATGTGGAGGAGTACCTGTATCCATCTCCGTGGTATGTGGAGGAGTACCTGTATCCATCCCCGTGGTATGTGGAGGAGTACCTGTATCCATCCCCGTGGTATGTGGAGGAGTACCTGTATTCACACTGTTGTGGAACTGATCTCTCCAATTCTTCCGTCTCCATTGAAACACTGTCTCCATTCAACACTGACTCGCCCTTCCTCAGCTGCCTAGCCCCTGGCACCCACACTGTGCTTTCTGCCTCTGTGAATCTGATGCTTCTAGGGACCTCCTATAAGTAGAATCCCATGGGGTTTGCTTTTTTGTGACCGTCCTATTTCATGGAGCCCCATGTCCTCAAGGTTGTAGCACGTATCCAAGCTTCCTTCCCTTTTGAGACTGAATAATATTCCATCATGTGTTGACTATGGTTTTTCTCTGTTGAGCAAGCCTTCATCAATTTTAATAGATAGGCAGAATATTATTTTCTGAAAGTGTAATAATATGAATACCCAGCAAGAACACAGCTAAGCGCACAGAAATACACTCATTAGGAAGTCTTAGACATTTCTCTTTCCTTGGAAGCCCTGGCCTTGCCCAGACTGCCAGGACTGCCTGGTGGTTTTCCCAAACCTGGTTAGCAGGAGCCTCCCACAAAGCCCCCGCGGGCACGTCAAGATTGGAGTTTGGAGGGCCCCTGTGCATCCCACCCACTGCGCAAACAAAGCAGCGGTTAGAAGCAGCAGCAAGAACAGATTGAAATAGAAGTTGCCTGTTTTATTTCTCTTTTACCCCAAACTGTGACAATCTAGCCAGATGATGAAGAACTGCTTTCAAGCAGGTGCCAAAATAGAAACAGTAGAGGAAGCAGGAACCAATGCCCATGGTTTGGGGCCCTGCTCACATGCCCAGCCCACTCCCGGCCCCGGGTCTCAGACCTGACAGGAGCCCCTGGCCATCCACCCCATTTGCTGTGAAATCGTTTCCACTTCACTTCATGGGGAGTCCTGGCGCAGCCGCTGCTCTTTCTGCGTTGAGGGTTAGGCAGGAGGGCTCCTTTCCCCGATCCTGCTCCCTGAGCTGAGTCGTGTCTGAAAAAAGCAGAACTGATGTAAGAGAAATAGAAAACATTTTATCTTTAGGGTTGGCAAGGTCTTTCTAGAAAAGCAGTGTCTAAGATGAAAAGTCAAGGCCCCATCCCGGCTCCTGGGCACACACATACGTGGTGCCATGACCTTTGGGGAAGATGCCATGTTGTGATTGTAAAAGCAGCTATCATGAGACCCTCAGGTCAGGTGTAAAGGCCAATCCCTCCCAGAAAGGAGGGGGAGAACTGGAGGCACATGGAGAAGCCCAGGACGGAGGAGTCAGGGAGAATTCTACAACGACAGAAGTCAGGTAGAAAATGTTGATTGTATACATGAGGAAGCAGCAGAGCGGACAGCTCAGGACAGGAAGGTGTCCTCAGTCCCGGTGAACACAGACTGAGGACAGTACCAGGCCATGACCAGGGACCATGAGGCCCATGCAGACCCCCAGCAAGCGTTCTGGACAGGTGCTAAGGCCAAGCCACATAGCAGACGCAGCAGAGCCTAGGGTGGTGATGGTGAGTAAGACCTAACACTCACTCCCCGAGCCCAGAACCTCACAGTGAGGGAACAGACTCACATAAGAGCCTCGGATGCGGGCACTGGGGCAAGGCCAACCACGGGACAGATGCAATGCCACTGGCACACACTGTGGGGGACACTGGCTTTACACTCAGAGAAATCTGAGGAGGCTTCCTAGGAACTTGAGACCCTTGGGGTCTGTGCCCGAGGAGAGCTCAACCTGCAGCTCACCCTCCCCCTAAGCCGCCGACAGACGTGTCATTCATTCATCTCATTCGGCCGACACAGACAGACATGCCTCCACCAGCACCGATGATCTCCGTCCAGGTCTGGTTTACAAAGTTGAGTACCGTGGCCTGCTCTTTAGAGGAGAGAAGAGACCATCTTTTAGAGAATGCTGTGGACTGGGGTGAAGGAGATTACAGATGCTGCAACATGGTGCCAGGCCAGCGATCAGCAACACAGAGGAGAAATGTCTAGTCCAGATGGGGTGAACAGGCCAGGGCCCTTCAGGAGCCAAGACAGGAGCTGAATTTTGAAAAAAGGCACAGCTCACCACAGGGAGGAAGGTTACATTGAGGGCTTTAAGTGACTCTTGGAGTCCGGGCTTTGAATGCACCACCTTGGTGGCCGCGGAGGAGAGCTGGAATGGACGGGCAGGCAGACACGTTGAGCCGTTCCTGCAGACCTAAGCGAGGCATGATGAGGGCTAGACCTCCAACATGAAAGGAAGGACAGATTAGAGGACTGTTTAGGAAACAGAATGAGCAGGGCCTTGTGGGTGAATCCCGGCAGGAGAGGTGGCCCCAGCCCCAGCAGCTGCACGGGTGGCAATGCTGGCAGTTGGGAACACAAGGAAAGAATGAAGCCTTGAACGCCATGGGTATCTTAGTCTGCTCAGCCGTCACAACAGAATACCCTAGGCCAGGTGGCTTGAGCAACTGACCTCTATCCCCTGTCCCTGGGCTGGAAGTCTGAGATCAGGTTCCAGCTGATCTGGTTTCTGGGGAGGCCTCTCTTCCTGGTTGGCAGACAGGGGCCTTCTCACTGTGTCCTCACAAGGCAGGGAGAGAGCAGGCTCGCTGGCATCTCCTCTCATAAGGACTCTGATCCCATCAGATCAGGACCCCACCCTTACAAGCCCATTTACATGAATTATTCCCTTAGAGGCCCCAGCTCCAAACACACCCAGGGGTTAGGGCTTCAACACAGGAACCTCGAGGGACACAAATACTCACACCATAAAAGTGGGGAAAGATGGTTATTTCATTTTAAATACGTGAACTTGAGATTCTGTGGGACTTTGAAGGGGGAATATCCACCAAGCAGCTGGTAACGGGCCTCGGGAAGTGTCTGAGGAGAGCCGCGTAGGAATCGGAAATCAGCAGCACTCAGGTCACACTTGACCCTGCAGGTTCACCCCGGGACTCAGGGGTCCAGGGGGAAGAGCATCAGCAAAGACACCCCTGGGAGACACACACGTTTTGTGACAGGTGGAGGCGGAGAGGCCGTGATGAAGACAGAGTTGCATGGTGGCATTAGGGGAGCCAGGCGCCATGATGTGCAGAAGCTTCCAGAGAAAAGAACACACACAATACTGGGAAAGTGGCGAGAGGCCGGTGTGGCGGAGAGTTCAAAACGATGCTGGGCTCATTTGGGGCATTGGCCGTGGGAATACAACTGAGGCACTTTGTGGAGAGTTTAGGGAAAAGATCAGGCACCAAAACCAGACTGAGATAGGACGAGAGTCAGATGGAAAGTTCAGGGGGTTGTAGAGGACATGACTAATGGTTCTAGAAATGCAGACCAGACGAGAGGGGAGGAACGACGTTGGCAGTAGCTGGAAAGGCGCAGAAGTGGGCAGGACCTCACAGGCAGAGAGAAATGTGGGTCTGGAATTTATCTGAAGAGGAGAAACCAGGAGGAAGAAATGGTTTAAAGATACAGAAGGCAGCAGGAGTACCAGGTGGAGACAGATCTTGGTGGAGGTCAGGAAGCCACAGACAAGCTGGACAAATGTGGCTGTAACTGCACTGGGGAGCTGGGGGTCCTCAGAGCAGAGCTCCATCTGGGGGGAGCCAGGGGTCCTCGGAGCAGAGCTCCATCTGCTCCATCTGGACAAGGACTTCATGGGAGTCATTCACACACGCGTCGGGCACCCGAGTGGGGTTGCAGGGTGTGGTGGTGTCTGGGACACCTTCAGGAGAGGGGATTCCAAGGGAATCACGGCCATGCCAAGGACACACAGGGAATTGGAGACCACGTGTTGGCCACTGGAGGGAAGGGCACACTTTTGTCCCCAACACTCAGCTGTCAGGATGTGGGGAAGACAGCAGCGTGGGAGCCTTACTCCAGCCCCATTGACATGCAGGTGCATGCGGGAGGTGCAGAGGGAGCAGCTCCAGGCCACCAGCCACCAAGGGGCTGTGGAATTTGGAGGATCCTGTGAGGGAGGCCGCAGCCAGCCAGCAGGCGAGGACAGAGCGAGAAGGCACACTCCACAGTTCCCCTAGGCCCAGGGAAGAGGCTCCTGAGGGAAGGACTCCTGCCACCCTCCACAGTTCCCCAGGCCTGGCCTTCCTCCTGTCTCTGGGAGCATCTCCTCCTAGCCATCCCAAGCTGCCTCATCCCCATGGTGTTTCACACCTGTGAGCCCTTTGGGGTGCCAAGAGCACCCTTTCCCACATCTCCCTGTGAGCCCTTCCAGGTGCCGAGAATACCCTTTCCCCCATCTCCCTGTGAGCCCTTCCGGGTGCCGAGAACACCCTTTCCTCCATCTCCCTGTGAGCCCTTCGGGGTGCCGAGAACACCCTTTCCTCCATCTCCCCATCTGCCATGTGATGCCTCCTTATCTTCCAGACAATGTCAGTGGAGGCTGTTCAGGACTTATTATGGGCCAGACAGAGCTCTAAGCACCTCCGCATACCAACCTTCTTAATCCTCACAGCAGCCTGAAGAAATGGGCTCTGTAATTATCCCTGTTTTAAAGATCAGGACATTGAGGCAAAGAGAAGAGAACTTCCTGCCTGGGGTCCTGTGAGTGACGGAGCCAGGGCTCAGGTCCAGGCTGCCTGACCCCCCGTGAGTGACTCCTTTCCACTATCTCATCTCTCCCTGACTCCGATCCCTGTGATGATCTTGGTGAAACTGCCCCAGCCTCCTCTCTGCAGACACTGTCCCTTCTCTTTCTACCCGATACTAAGTAGCTGCTACATCTGTCATGCTCCATTGCAATGTCTGTGCGTGGGGACCTTTGTTCCTTCCTGCACATCTGGGGCACCTCGCTCGGCGCTGCACACACAGCTCCTAAGAAAAGTTTTCCTGCACCATTGACTCAATACATTTTATAAGAGGAGATTTAAGTCTGTGTTGAAACAGGAAGCAGCCATGTGTTCGCTGGGTGCAGATGTGAGGAACCTAGGGCCTGCCAGGAGACAGGTGCAATTCACAGGTGTATGGGAGGGTCAATTCACAGGTGTATGGGAAGGTCAATTCACAGGTGTATGGGAAGGTCAATTCACAGGTGTATGGGAGGGTCAATTCACAGGTGTATGGGAAGGTCAATTCACAGGTGTATGGGAGGGTCAATTCACAGGTGTATGGGAGGGTCAATTCACAGGTGTATGGGAGGGTCAGTTCACAGGTGTATGGGAGGGTCAGTTCACAGGTGTATGGGAGGGTCAGTTCACAGGTGCATGGGAGGGTCAATTCACAGGTGCATGGGAGGGTCAGTTCACAGGTGCATGGGAGGGTCAGTTCACAGGTGTATGGGAGGGTCAGTTCACAGGTGTATGGGAGGGTCAGTTCACAGGTGTATGGGAGGGTCAGTTCACAGGTGTATGGGAGGGTCAGTTCACAGGTGTATGGGAGGGTCAGTTCACAGGTGTATGGGAGGGTCAGTTCACAGGTGTATGGGAGGGTCAGTTCACAGGTGTATGGGAGGGTCAGTTCACAGGTGTATGGGAGGGTCAGTTCACAGGTGTATGGGAGGGTCAGTTCACAGGTGTATGGGAGGGTCAGTTCACAGGTGTATGGGAAGGTTGGAAGGTGAGAGATTCTAGTCCAGCAAAAGAAGTCAGGAGGTAAAGTTGGGGGAGAAGGAACCAGGGAGTGCTCTGCCCAGTCCTCAGCACCCCCAGAGGTGAGAGGCCCAACGCCATCTTCATGGGAGATCCTCACCAAGCGCTGGGCAGCCAGTAGATGCAGGGAGGATGGGGCAGAAGAGGGAGGGAAGTGGAGGTTCCTCTGCAGCTGTTGAGACTTCTCTCTCATGTGCAGTGCCCTGAGCATCCTTTTTTGCCACCACTTCAGTTCTCACTCCACTTCAGTGAAATTTAAGAAGAGTCTCCAAACTTAAAGTTCTAACTCTGAAAAACAAGTATTTTTAGAAGTAACTCATATCTTAAGAGTCTCGTCCACCATACATTTTTTTAAAGTCCTTCCCTAGGCCCTCTTAAAACCTTTTCTGTCTGGAACATGTGAATTGTTCTATTTATTTTTTGGTTCCTCTCTAGTCCATTATAAATGAGAACATAACCTTTTATAGAATGTTTGTCTTGCTTGATATATCTCAAGGGAATTGTTGCAAAAATAAATCACCATATTGAGTACTTACTATGTGAGCTATTTTTTAAATCAGTCATCTCATTTAATGGAAGATTAGCGAGAATAGGCTGACGGCCATGACAAACACACTTCAAACTATTTGAGCAGAGCTGAGGTCTACACACATCACAGTGCTGGACAGGCAACAGGGAGAAGGGCTCTGGCACCTTCGACACACTTTCATACGGTTGTTTTTATTCCATAACAGAGAGAGGAAGAGAACGTGGAGGATCCCAAGAGGGAGGTGTTTAGGGTCTGGATCTGGAGGAGCACACCTTACCTCTTTCTCATTCCATCTGTAAAAACCACCCCACAGTGTCACCTAACACTGGGAAGCTGGGAATTCCATAAGTAAATCCTGCCCCAAGATGTCACCTACCATTAGGGAAGCTGGGAATTCCATAAGTAAAACAGGCCCCCCAGTGTCACCTAGTACCAGGAAGCTGGGAATATGGTCTCCCATGATCCCAAACAGGACGCCTGCATGCTCTCTTGCCTCTCTGTG